>NC_000018.10:75441594-75742950 GCF_000001405.40 Homo sapiens
CATTCTGAAAACGAGGAGCATTGTAGCTGACTTACACGCTGTTGAAAGGTCCTGAGGAGTTGCAGAAGCCTCCAGAATTAAGAATTGTGTCTGTAAAACCACATTTGTGTGGAATGTTCCTACATTTCCTTGCAGTGAGTTATCTGCTTTTGCAATTTGGTCACCAGCTCTCCCACTGCCACGATGGCCTCTGCACAAACAAGCCTCACCCTATGAAAAAGTGATCAAAAATAAACCCACAGGGAAGTTGTTGGAAGTAGAACCATATTATACCAAAAATGGAAAAATGATTTTCCTTGAAAACCACATAGGAAAAGCTTCATAAATCATAAAGGACTAGCAATACACCTCCTGGATTTAAATATCAGTGCAATTACATTTTGTTATATGCAACTTTGCTACTCAGTTATTATTTTACACACTCCAACAGAATAATTTCCCGTGGAGAAAACTGAGTCATTGAAATGTTCTGCTTTCCCAGAGTGCCAAGGAACACATCCGTGCATGTTTTCAGACATATTCCACAGGAGCCAGTTGGGGGAGCTTCATGTTGGACCCAGCAGCAGGGCAAGCAATGTGTGGCATGTGTCTTGGTGCACGCAGTGGGTGGGGATGGGCCCAGGAGGCCGGCAAGGACGAGTTCTTGAGGATACACATTTAAAATGTCTCAGGAGTCCTAATTTAATATTGTTCAGTAACAAATGACCTATTAAGATCTTCCCTGTGAATTTGGAATAACCAACCACCAGGATTTTTCCGCCACTTCACTCCCATGACTGGTCTCCCACATTTTCCAGTGCCAACTTCAAGTCATCATCTGGCCACTTCAAGACCCAGAGACCAGCAGAGTTCTGGTCATGCGGGTTCTGTTTTGAACTAGCTCCTACTTTCCCAAAGTTAATTTACTTTAATGAGATATTAATAATAATCGAACAGGCACTGTCCCTTTCATGGGAATCAAGGTAACTGGTTTCAAGGTGGAGCTTTTTCTCCAGTGTCCAGTTTCAAGGAATCTACGTCCAGCATGGCGAAGTTTGCTGGATTTATTAAGGAGAATTGTCCTATGCCTGCTTGGGCTGGCTGAGCTGTTATATTGTCTGTTTGAGGTCAAGGGCTGATTTGCCATCTAATGTGAATTATGCATTTGCTCTCGATTTCAAAGGTGTAGGAAGAAGGAAGGTCATCCTACATTCCATATCCTACCATTCAGTGAACTGCAGGAATAGCTCTTACTGTGGAAATCAATAATTGTAGAATTAAACGTGGTTCCCAGGAAAACTAAACCCCACATGCATCAAAGGTTCCGAGAAGTTTTCCTGCAATTTAGTCCAACAGCATACAGGTTTTCTGAATCTCCATTCAGCTGTTTTGAAATGCTGGCTTTAAAGGTCCCCTGAGTCCTATATCGCACCCGTGATTATAAAAATATTTAAAGCCACCGAAAGAATATATAGCTGTTCAGACACATGTGCTGATTTATTGTATACCATGGTTTGATACAAACTGGAAGGCAAGCTTTCAGGCTGACAAGAGCATCAGAGTAGCAGGATTCAATCCATATATTACGGTACCAGCCCCAGAACAGGAGCAGCCTAGAGCAAGCCTGTAATATAGGGTTTCTGAAACCTCCTCCATATAACCAGGAGACAACATAAAAAGTTACACGACTATTTATGTGACATGGAGTCGTATTAGTAGTGACGTGCCCACATAAATAGCACTGTGAATTTTTGGAATATGGAAATTAAAGAAAAATATTTCAAACCTAAGCTGTGTATTATGAAAAATAACAAATCTTCCCAAATGCCATAAAAAAATAGAGGTGGAAGGAAAGACAAAGGGCTAGAAGTCTATGAGTATTCTTTCTTGATAAAAATTTAATTTTCTAAAAAATCTCATAATTGTACAAATAGTAAATAAACATTTATGAAAGGAAGATATCTGGGTTTCTTTTTGTTTTTTATGAATGTCACCCACAATTTTTGTGGTCTTATTGAAATGTTAAACTACAAAGTCTGCATGCTTATTTCTTAAAGCATTTCCCCACTGCTTTCCTGTGTGGAATCTCGGTCTGTAAAGCCCTCCATGTTCCTGTAGTGTCTGTTTCTTCAGCTCACCTCATGCCCCTCTGCCTTTGCTCCCAGTTCTTTGGGAGGCTAAAGTGGGCAGATTGCTAGAGCCCAGGAGTTTGAGACCAGCCTGGGCAACATAATGAAACCTTGTCTTTACAAAATATATAAAAGTTAGCCAGGCATGGTGGCAGGCACTTGTAGTCCCAGACACTCTGGAGGCTGAGGTGGGAGGATCGCTTGAGCCCAGGGAGGTCGAGGCTGCATGTCTAGCCTGGGATTTTTTCTGCTGAAACTTGTCAAGCCTGTTGCAGCTGTGGTCTTTGTGCTTCCTGTCTCTGTCTGGATGTTCTGACCTCAGATTTCCTCATGTCTTTCTTCTTTTGTCCTCCAAGCAGCCTCCCCACCCTAGTGCAGTACCCCAGCCCTTTCCTATTTCACCTCTGGACTTTCCTCATATTAAGAGGTAACCAGCAGCTTCCTTCTCCCACATGAACCCGATATAATGCCAGTTGCCTTTTGCAAATGAGTTTCCTCTCAATAGGAAGATGCTGAAGTACACAAGGACAGAGAGAAGGAATGGAGAATTCCTATGGTATTTGAATTACTGTAACAATAACCCAAAGAACAGTGCCAGATACATAGAAAATATATGGTCCATTCATGGATTATGAGTTAATAAATGAATGACATTATACAGTAAATGAATAAACACGTCTACTGCTAGGGAATACAAGGCTGTATTATGACGAGTCCCTAGAAGCTTATTCTAATAATAAGTTTAATAAAAATCAATCATAAATAGCTACAATCAAATATGTAGAGGAGAAAATAATTATTTCATAAACAATATAACTGTATATACGAATGTTCCTGTCATTGTATGTGAAACCTTCAGAAAGCTTGAATTTGTTGACAGTGATCAGAAATTGATGTTAAATATATTTATGGGAAGTGTTCAAGTGTAGCAGTTTAATTACTGACACATTATACAGAGTTGGATATTTTCATCAGTAGTATGGTACCTGCTTGGGCAGGAGTGAGAGCAGTATGAAATGAATCCATTGTTAACTACTTATGAATTGGTACACTTAAATATTTCAATGTCTGGCTACTTTATATAAAGCCTGAGAAGTGATTTTAAAAGATTACAAATAAGTTTCTGGCTGGGTGTGGTGGCTCACAACTGTAATCCCAGCACTTTGGGAGACCAAGGTGAGTGGATCTCTTGAGCCCAGGAGTTTGAGAAAAGCCTGGGCAACATGGTGAAAGCCCATCTACAAAAATTATCCAGGTGTGGTGGCACATGCTTGTAATCCCAGCCACTCTGGAGGCTGACGTGGGAGGATCACTTGAGCCCAGGCAGGTCGAGGCTGCAGTGAGCCATGACTGCACTGTAGCTTGCATGACAGAGTAAGACCCTGTCTAAACAAACAAAACAAAACACACAAACAAACAAAAAAAACAAAAAGAAAAAGAAAAACAAGTTTCTATTTCAAAAACCCGTCAGCAGATTGTTTTTGGAGATGAGGTTATAAATTGTCCAAGTATATTTAAACCAGTTTATGCCAGTTATCCTTTTTACTATAATTAGGTTATATAATAAAATACCATATGAATCAAATAAATTTATTGTTTTTATGAAAAGTAAGTTGAATTCTTTGAAAAGACTTAATAAAGTTAAGTTGATAAATTGCTGATGACTTAATTATGAACAAGAAAGCAGTAACGTTTGGGGCAAAAGCCTGAAAAATCTAGGATTCTGCACTTAAATTGCTTCCCAATTCCTTTCCTCCTCTTTCTGCTTTAAAAGAATATATAGAAGAAAACACAGTCGATGAACTAGGGATGTGGTTTATGCAAAAAAAAAAAAAAAAAAAGGAAATCATTGACAGATCCAGCCTCAAAAAGGAAGCGTTCGTCTTCATTGGTTAAAGAGTATGAGTATATATTCATAAGTTTTGATTAAACTTCTAAGCTTTAAAGATGTTTAGGTTACGTAGTATTGTAATAGTTTTCCTCTTTACCCAACTTTCTCTAATGCCCTCATTGTATCTGATAACAAGATTTTGACTGTGTTTTGATAGAGGAACAGACTTGATTAAAAAAAAAAATTGAGCATGTCTTTTGAGTAAAAGTATTCTGTTAACTAGAGCAAAAAAAAAGCCAGATTATTTATGTTTTATGCCATTTAGTTATTAAGGCTAATCATTTAAGTTGGCTTGCTTTGACAAGGCCTCCAATGGCAAAGAATAAAATATAATGAATTGGAACAAGTTTTTCGGGTTATTTTGGAAAAAAAAACACTCAAATTGAGGTATAATTTCCTAATTAGCATGACTGGATACTAAGTGCTGAGGACAATATCTTCAAAATTGTGAGGAAAGAAAATTTGAACTTAAAATATCATACAAGTAAAAGCAGTAATTAAGAATGAGAGTAAAAAACACTTTCCAATTATAAAAGACTCAAAAAGTTTACTTTGTCTTTAAAAATTACTCCAATAATATTCCCCCAAAAATTGAAAGTGGAGGGGAGAGAGGACAGGTGGAAGCTAGGTGAATACATTGAATTCCTCATCTTTCATTACAGGAGTAACTTGATAAACTCTAAAATGGACAAATCAGCATTTTATACCCTCTTGTATTATTAGGTACTGCAACCACACCTATGCATTATTGCTATAATGAAATTTAATATGATAAGGAACACGTTTTAAAGTACAGCAATATCTTAAAGTTATATGGTGATCTATGGTTTAGAAAGAAATTATACCTACATTATAAAATTTATTTCCAGCTTTTTCTAACCCATCATTCCAAAAGCTGAATAAAGCAGAAAAGAGAATAAGATTGCTCACAAAAGAACTGAAAACTGTAGAATCTGATTTTAAGATGTTTCCTTTTGTAAATGTTAATATTGGAAAGTGTATCTAATAAGATGTTTTTAACAGTTCTTCAAATTTATCTTTCAGCTTACTAACAATTTTAAAGCCAACTTTAAGAAAAAATTCACAAAATTATGAAAGTTTAGGCACCAAATGTGAATCTTTATTTAGAAAGAATAGAAATCACAAAAATTACAACTTTATAAGATTTGTGAGACTTGAGGATTATAATTTTGAGTCTCATTTTAAGGCAAAGGAAATACATTTATGGATACAAAATTAAGTAAAAGACCTAGAAAGGGACTCATGAAAATGAAAATGATGGCCTCAAAACTTACGCTTCACGAACTTCATGGTTCATGGACCTTGCTCTCATATCCAGGTCATAATTATGGGTGCTGGGCCTGCATCAACAGAGGCAAGTAATGTATCCCTAAAAGCCATTGGACATTGAGAGAGTTAGTAGTAACTTACACTTGGAAGTGACTGTGAACTACATAAATATATTCCATTAATCCTAAACTAAATGGACCCTCAATTCAAATTCCCTGTGGTCAGATTTCCAAAATGCCTATGACCACTCAATCACCTGATAAGCTTGCCATCTGATATGAGGAGAATGTGTCAGAGTTCAATATACTTAATGTTTATTCACCATTCCCCAACCCAATAATTCATGTGTTGAAATCCTAACAGCCAAGGTGGTGTTTTAGGAGGTGGAGCCTTTGGGACGTGCTTAGATCATGAAGGTGGGGCCCTCATGAATGGGATTAGTGCCTATGTTAGGATTCTCCAGAGAAACAGAGCCAATAGGATATATATAGGATCTATATCTATGTAGAAAGATGAGAGCAGGTTTATTAGGGCAATTGTCTCATGTGATTATGGAGCTTGAGAAGTCCCATGATAGGCTGTCTACACACTCGAGAGTCAGGGAAGCCTATGGTCTGGCTCAGTCCAAGTACTGAAGCCTGAAAACTGGGGGAGCAGACGGTGTAACTCTCAGTCTGCAACTAAAGTCCTGAGAACCTGGGGGCTGCTGGTGTAATTTCCAGAGTCCAAAGACCAGAAAACCTGGAGTTCTGATGTTTAAGGGTGGAAGAAGAAGGGTATCTTAGCTCCAAAAGAGATAGACAGAATTTGCCTTCGTAGACATACCTGGAAATAATGCTTTACCAGTGATCCAGGTATTCTTTAATCTAGTCAAGTTGACACCTAAAATTAACCTTACAGGTACCCTTATAAAAGATATCCCAGAGAGATATTTCCACCCTTTCACCATTTGAGGTAAGAAGATAGCTACCTGTGAGGAAGCAAGCCCTCAGTAGACACCAAATCTGCTAGAGCCTTGATCTTGGACTTTGCAGCCTCCAGAACTGAGAAATAAATGTGTGTGTGTGTGTGTGTGTGTGTGTGTGTGTGTGTATTTAATGGCATTTTTGTTATAGGAACTAAGATGGACTAAGACAGAGATAAAATAAAAATCGAAAGAAAAAACAGTCTTAACTGACTGTACTTGGAACAAATCTGTTTTTGGTTATTGTTGCAAGTTTTGCAAATGTGACCTTCAGTGCACATGTGTAGGGCTCCTTCCAAGTCTTAGAAAGATTTGTGCAAGTGAGGCACCCAGAAACTTGTGTCATTAATTTAACAATAAATCTGCTTTCATTTACAAATTATTTTAAGGGTCTATTTTTATTGTCTATTTTTTCTTGGTTCTGTTTCTAGTATGTCTACTAAATTTTGATTGAATGTTAGACATTACGTAAAAAAAATTATCAAGGCTGTGGATAATGTCATTTTCCTTCAGAGAGCATTCACTCTGTCCTTTTTGGCGGGTAGAGAGTTGGGGAAGTTTATCTTAATCTAATCAGGAACTGAATCAACTGGTGGCAGAAATACCTCCAGAGATAGGAATGGAAATCTTGGGATTTTTACTAGGGATGTTACTTCCTGGCAGGCTCTGAATTTCAATTGCTATCTTCTCAGAATCATGAAACTGCTCCACATCCCCCTTTTCCATTCAGCATTTTTCTGCTTAGCTTCTTAGATCTTTGCCTTATGAAGTTTAAGAATTCAGCAAATGATTAGAAATGGAGAGAAAGTTGCTTGTCTCTAGATGTATATTTTTGCATAGTTTTGACTCTTAGAACCATAGTAATGTTTTACATATTCCCCAAATAAATGAGTAAGTGAACATATAAAATTAATCGGAATATAGGGGGAACTCAAAATAGAATACAAATAGTAACATATGAACCCAACTGTACTGTAAATGAGTAAGTAAACAACACTGAAATTAATGGTGAAGAAAATAACTAACATTAATAACTTTGGAAATTACTATTTTTCCTTTATTATATAAAGCTAAAGATAAAAAACTTTACAAAAATACCATTGTTAGTAAATCTTTTTTTCCCCCACAGGGTATAGGTTAGAAATTCTGTAACTACTTTATGTGCATATTAGGTTTGAACAAATAAGTATATATATTGTAGATGGTGAGAACCAGGCTTATCACAGTGAGGGGAAATAGATACAATAAAGAAATGGGGAAGACTAAAATAAAATGTGTGGTTTTTGATTATGAACTTATGATTTTAAATATTTATACAGGTAGATAAAATGTAGATATATATATATTACATCTACATATATGTGTACATATATAATATGTATACATATATTTCATAGCTCTGTCTGCTAAGAGGAGAAGAAATTACAACTCAATAGCACTGAGCACACAGAGTCTAGATCTTGCTTTCTAAACACCATTTCCAATAAAAAGTACCATGGCTTCTTGGAAAAGTGATTGATTTCAGAAGTGAAGCAGAGACATCATGTGAGCCTGGAACACCTTACAGAACAAGAAAATAAGGAAGAGCTTGAAAAATGGTGGAAACAAAAGGGGCACAGAACTCATCTGACAAAGCTCTCAATGGCTAACACTGGAATAATCTGAGCAACAAAATAATAAAAAATGACATATTAAATTACAATCCACAAAATAAAATAAATATTAATGAGTCTATGCTGAATAAAAATGAACAAATTAATAAGTTGGAGAGAAGTGACAACTCTTCCTTATAGAAGAATTAAAATTAATATAGGTAGAAGAAATTAGGGAAATAAAAAGTACCCTTAGGCAAACCTCAAAGTAATAATTAATGCAGGGAATAACCATTGATGGATACTGAACACTTGGGCAAAAGTTGGAAGAGAAACAGAATATTTGCATATACTCAAAGATTCTTTCCCAAGATATTTATCAACTACCAAGAGATAAATTATAATTTTGCAGTGGAGAAATATGGTAGACAACACTTTAACCAAGTGATCAAATCAACACTACCAGTAATAAGAGATATTGACACTAGGGCTGGGTATGGTGGCTCAAGCCTGTAATCCCAGCACTTTGGGAGGCGGTAGTGGAGGGACTGCTTGAGCTTGGGAGTTTGAGGTCAGCCTGGGCAACATGGTGAAACCCCATATCAACAAAAAATACAAAAATTAGTCAGACATGGTGGTGCACATCTGTATTCCCAGGTACTTGGGAGGCTGAGGTTGTAGGATGGCTTGAGCATGGGAGGCAGAGGTTGCAGTGAGCAGAGACTGCACCACTGCACTCCAGCCTAAGTGACACAGTGAGACCCCATCTCAAAAGGAAAAAAAAAGAGAGAGAGAGAGAGAAATTGACATTATATATCTCCTGATACAGCACACTGGAAAGAGCACACCACTTCTGTTGAATTCTTGCCAAAAATGTATAACCCCAATCTAATCATAAGCAAACTTTAGATGAATAAAATAAGGAGAGATTCAACAAATTAACTGACTGGGTCTCATCAAATAACTCAAGGTCATGAAAGATGAGGAAAGACTGAGGAACCATCACAGAGTGGCGCTGTTTAGGGAGTCACAACTCAGTGCAGTGTGAATTCCTGGGTGGGTCCAGGAGCAGAAAATGGACATGAGGGGAAATTTGTATAAGGTCAGCATTTTAGTTAATTATATTATACCAATGCTAATGTCCTGGTTTTAATAAGTGCACTATGTTCATACAAGTTGTTAATGTTAGGGCAATGGTGTTCAACCAAGAGTGATTTTGCCTTCCAGGGGACATTTGGCAATGAGTGCAGACATTCTGATCTTCATGACTGGGGAGGGTGCTACTAACATCTAGGAAATAGAAGCCAGAGATGCTGCTGGGGGAAGCTAAGTGAAGGGTATATGTGAACTATCTGCACTATTTTTGAAACTTTTTGTGAGTCTAAATTATTTCAAAATTAAAAGTTAATATATAAAAATAGAGTTCAGCAAATGCCTTGAGTGGGAATCCTCTGCATTTTGAGCCTTTTTCTGAGCTTTTATTATTTCAATATCTTGACCTTTTGAGATCCACTTGTGTTAGACGTTCCAAAGTCAAGTTTTTCTCTCCAGCATTGTGAAGTGACAACCAAATTCTCAGCTGAATTATACAAATCTCAGCTGCAGCCTTCTGCTTGGATTCTCAGCCTCTTGCTTGGCATCAAGAATTGGCAAATGCAGCCTTCACTTCTTTCACTGAGTTTCTCTTCTCCCCAAGGTCATGGCCCCTCGAGTCCTGGCAAGTCCAACAAGCATTTTTTAAAAATTAATCCACATTTCCTATTTGTGTGCAGTGAGACCACTGATCTTCCACAAACTATGCAATCACGGCTGAAAGTAGAGTCTTGTTGCCATTTTATATAACAGCTTTATTGGTGCATAATTTACATAACATAAAGTTAGCTTGTTTAAGTATACAATTCAATAATTTTTAGTACATTTACCATATTATGCAACCATAACTATGATCCAGTTTTAGAACATTTTCTTCACCCCCATGCATTTTAATGCCCTTTTACAGTTAATCTTCATTTCTATCATAGCCTCACACAACCACTTATTTATTAATACTTTCTGTCTCTACAGATTTGCCCTTTCTAGACTTTTCATATAAATGCAGTCATACCATATGTGGTCTGTTGTGACTGGGTTCTTTCACTTAATACACTTTTGAGGTTCATCTATTTAATAGTATGTGTCAATACTTTGTTTCTTTTTATTGCCAAATAGTCATTATCGTATGGATATACAATATTTTGTTTATGTATTCATCAATTGATAGATATTTGGATTGCTTCCTCGTTTTGGATATGAATAACGCTGCTATGAACATTGGTGTACAAGTAAGTATTTGTGTGAACGTATCTTTTTATTTTCCTTGAGTGGATACCTAGGAGTAGAATTGCTGAATCATAAGATAAATCTATATTTAACTTTTTCAGAAAATGCTAAACTGTTTTTCAAAGTGGCTGAACCATGTTACATTCCCACCAGCAATATGCAAAAGTACTGATTTCTCCATATTCTCACCCAAACATGGTATTATCTGACTTTTCAATCATTGTGATCTCAGAAGGCATGAAGTGGTACCTCACTATAGTTTTAATTTATATTGACCTAATGATTAATAATACTGAGCATCTCTTCATGTGTTTATTGGCCACTTTGTTATCTCTTTGGGGGTAAATTTCTATTTGAATCTTCTGGCTTTGTTTTTTTTTTTTTTTTTTTTTTTTTGACAGGATCTCACTTTATGGCCCAGGCTGGAGTGCAGTGGTGCAATCACAGCTCACTGCAGGCTTGATCTCCTGGGCTCAAGAGATCCTCCCACCCCAGCCTCCAGACTAGCTGAGACTACAAGCAGGCAGTAGCATGCTTGGCTAATTTTTAAAATTTTTTGTAGAGACAAAATCTCACTCTGTTGCCTGGCCTCATCTAGGACTCCTGGGATCAAGCAACCCTTCTGCCTCGACCTCTTAAAGTCTAGGATTAGAAGGCATGAGCCTCTGTGCCTGGCCTTTTTACCTAATTTTAATTGGGCTATTTATCTTCTTAGTATTAAGTTATGAGATTTTTATATGCTCTTAGATACTCTGGATACAAATCTTTTTTAGAGTATATGATTTGCAAATATTTTCTCCCAGTCTGTGGCTTGTCTTTTTGCTCTGTTAATGGTATACATTTGGAAGTGAAAAGATTTTAATTTTGACTAAGTTCAATTTATCAACTTTTTCCTTTATCACTTGTGCTTTTGTTGTTTATCTAATAAATCTTTGCTTAAATAAGGTCACAAAGATTTATTCTTACGTTTCTTTAAGGAGTTTTACAGCCTTAGCTCTTACATTTTGAATTAATTTTAGTGTGTGGTGTGAGGCAAGGGTCTACCAAGGTCCACCATTTTCCATGTAGATATCCAATTGTTTGAGCATCATTTGCTGAAAATCTTTCCCAACTGGATTGCCCCTGCTTGATTTTTTAAGTAGGATTTTCACTTCCATTTTATTTTCTAATTTGTTGTCCTGGCATAAAGCAGACACCTACTGATATATTATTTTAAGTTGTATTTAATCACTTTACTAAACCATCTTAACTTGATTTTTTTATATAGTAAAAATAATCTCCAACTAATGATAATTTCATATATTCCTTTCCAATAATTGTATACTGCATATATTGTTATCTTATTTCATTGATTTGGAATTCCAGAGTGATACTGGAAAAAAACAAACAGATTAATTTGGTCATTCTATCTTATTCCTGACTTCACTGGAGTATCTTTAGTATTTCATCATTTAGCATAAAATATTTGCTGTGAGTTTTGGAAGATATTCCCCGGACTGTTTAGGACATTTCTTACGAGCCTAATTTACTATATATTATTAAAAACAGGAAACGTTATTAAATTATATTTAGTGCTCTTCTTTTTTTGCATCTGATGAAATTCTTGTGTGACTTTTCTCTTTTTAACGCCCAATATAATCATGTTAACAGACATCCTAGATATAATTTATTTAGTGTGGAAAAAACTCACTTTTTCAGAGTATTTTCCTTTTTTTACTTTGTCAGATTCAATATGTTAATAGTTAGAACTTCTTTAACCTATGTTAATAAGTGAGGTAAAACTATACTTTTCAGTTTTTCCTATATTTATCCGGCTTTGTTTTTAGTACTATGTTTGCTTCATACATTTATTTGGAAGGTTTTCCATATTTTTCATGCTATAAGAGTTTAAATGACAGAAGAAACTATGTATTTTTTTAAGTTGATAAATAATCTGGGCCTGAAGGCTTTTTGTGATAGATATTTGATACGCTTTTAAATTTCCTCTAAAATGATTGATATAATAGGTTTTTTACTGTCTCCGGCTTTTTGGAGATAAGTTTGGTAAGATGTTTCCTAAAAATATTTTATTTCATTTGGTTTGTATGTTCAAATGATTGGCATGATGCTATGCATGTTATTTGTCATGAGTCTAAAATTTTTATGGTTACCTGTTTATTATCCTATTTTCCCATTTTGTTGTTGGTAAAGTATAGTTATATTCTTTCTCTCAGATTAGTTTATTGTCTATTTTATTAGTTATTCCGAGGAACTTCTGTTTTGCTGTTCATTAATTTCTGGTGCTTATTAACTTTTACATCTTCATATTGCTACTCTTTAGCACCTAACACTTGCTCAAAAGAAGTTTGTTGAATGAATGAATGAAATCAAAACACAGTTTCCTCGGGGAATATAGGAACTCAAGAAAGCATGTTTTTAAAATGGAGAAAATGGTAGAAGCAGAGAAGCAGAAAAAGTGATGTGTAAGCAATTCTAAATCTCCAGACATCAACCCCCAACTTATTTTCATATCTAAACTTTTAATAAACATTAAAATCTTTCCTTTTGCAGAGTGGTGCGCATTTTTACCATATAAGAATCAAATGTTGCATGTATTTCGATGTTTACATTGCTCTTGTTTTGAAAAATACCCAATCAAATCATCATTTATAAGTAGAGTTACTTGAAAAGCATTCAAACTTTTGGAGAAACTCCCAAGGACCTTGGAATTTGAAAACACAATAAATATTCTGCCGCGGGTAAGGCACATTTGAAATGGAATCAAGCATGATAATGCAACGAAGCTGCGAAGGAAGGCCCGTGCTTGTTTCTCTGCCAAGTCAAAACTTCATCGCTCATGATTCAGTGGCCTCACACTTTTCAGCTCCCTTTCAGCCTCTGGAAAAATGGCATTTGCAGCTGTCTCCCTGACCTCAGGGCGAGGAGAGGAAGAAGGACCCGGAACCCTCGCCTGCCCAGGAACAGGGGGAGGCTGCCACGTTCTGTGCCCTTATTGCTAACTCCCGGCTGCCCACTATGCACCCTGACAAAGCCTCTGCTGGCTCATGTTTCCCGTTTTTGGAGCTACCAAGAAATCTCCCTTTGCTTTGTCTCCATTTCCAGAGTCCGTCTTCAACTTCCCCGAGACGCTTTCAGGGCCAGGGCAGGGGTCAGGAACCAGGCAGCCTCGGTGGGTGCTTCAGCCCTGACCCAGGCCTCAGAGCCGTCAGGGCACCAGCAGCTCCCCTCTGTAAACCTCTCCATGGGGAATTTTAACCTAAAATAATTTTCTCTCTTTCTCTCTTTACAACTGAAGAAAAGTACTTCTTAGAGCGAGCTTAACTACCTACCTTTAATGTTTTACAGTCAGGGAAAGCAGTACAAAGCAACGTGTTCAAGTAGTTCCTTTACTAGCGTTGATAGAATCCTAAAATCTCAAGGGCCTCTGGTGAGGAATGAAATCGTATCTCTGCTAAGGCTCGTGTGTTTTACCAGTTGATGGGTCCAGGCAATGCCATGGTCAGCACCACGGGGCACCCTGCAGGGCCGGGGGAGTGGGGATGAGGGGCGCAGTGAGGAACGAATGGGGAGCCGCCCGGGCCGAGGCCAGGTGCCCTTCCGGTCAGTCCTCCAGGAGCTGGTTGACTTCTCAGCATCCTGATTCTTTGGAAAGACAGTTTAAAAAGTTGTTTAGTTTCCTAGGACATTCTCGCTGCGACTGTTGAAAGTCGGACAGCACCCGCCTTGTGCTCACCCCGCCGGGATACACGGGGACGGTTCCTTTCCAAGGAGGCCCGGGGCCGCCTCTGCGCCGGGACAGCCTGGGAAGCCGCGCAGGCCTGGCCGACTTCCCCTTCCCAGCCCCGCTGCGCCCTGCGGGGCCCTGTCGGCGGTGGGGGCTGCGGACCCGGGAGCGCGCGGCCGCGCTGCACGTGCAGGGACCGGTAGGCGCCGGGGTCAGCGCCAGC
This sequence comes from Homo sapiens, assembly GCF_000001405.40. Lineage (NCBI taxonomy): Eukaryota > Metazoa > Chordata > Mammalia > Primates > Hominidae > Homo > Homo sapiens. The sequence goes on from NC_000018.10 coordinate 75,455,706, forward strand.
GTTTGATGTGCGGCGGGGAGCGGGCCGAGCCCCGGGAGGCCGCTTCGCACCTCCCAGTGTGTCCGGGTTGAGCGCGAGGTCAGGAGGGGACGCAGAGTTCACGGCGAAGACGGATCGCGGGGGCTCGTCCCGCCCGGGTTGCGCGCAGCGGGGGCCGCGTGATGGATGGGCCGGGCCGGGCACCCGGGAACCCGCGAGCGCGGGGCTGGGCTCTGGGCTGCGTCCGGGGGCCCCGACTTGGTTATTGATCGGCCCAAGCGCAGGAGAACTGACTCTATAATGCATCGCCTGACCAGGAAAAGTGTTTGCTTTTGTGGGAGCAAAAGACAACTTTCTGCCCCGCCAGAGCGTTGCTAAGTGAGCGGTAATGACCACGCTAGAAATTTCATAGGGAGAGGCTAATGGCAGGCTGACTCTAAAAGTGCTTTTAAGTGCAACTTCTGTCTAATCCCTTGAGGGGGAAGAAAACATCGGCGACTAAGAAAGTTCAAGTTGTACAGGACCCGGGTTTTTGGGGTCGGGGTCACTTCTGCTCTGCGTGACTTTGAAGAGGAAGACCTGCGGTTTTTTCCAGTGGATTTTCACACGTGTTTTAAAGAGAACTCCCGGCTCCTGAAATGAAAGGCCCGCCTGTAGGGTTTTGCTGCCTCCCCTCTGCCCACGCCCCACCCCCACAGCCTGGATCAAAGCGATCAGACAAATTATTCAGAAGTAACACAGCCCTGAAATGTTCCTAAACGTGACTATTTGAGGCGATGAATCAAGCGTGTTCCCTCCGCCCCCAACCCACCCCCAGACCGAAAATGTGACTCTGGAAACGGACTTGCAGAGCTGGCTTCGGTTTATATGCGGTTCTGACCCCTGTTGACTTTAGGACAAGCCTTCCTGTTTCCAGTACTGCAGCATCGCCAGACAGCCTCGCCATGCAATCGGCTTTCCAGATACGATTTCACTCCTCACCAAAGACACTTCTTTAGGGCGATTTTAGGATTCTATCAACGCTAGTAAAGGAACTACTTAAACACGTTGATTTGTATCGCCTTCCCTGACTATGAAACATTGAAGGTAGGTAGTTAAAGCGTGCTCTAAGGAGTACTTTTCTTCAGTTGTAAAGAGAGAAAGAGAGAAAATTATTTTAGGTTAAAAATTTCCACAGAGAGGTTTACAGAGGGGAGCTGCTGGTGCCCTGACGACTTTGGGGCCTGGGTCAGGGCTGAAGCTTTGAAGCTGCCTGGCTCCTGACCCCTTTCCTGCCCCTGAAAGCATCTCCTGGGAAGTTGAAGAGGGACTCTCAGGGCTGCTGTGGTCAGGCCTGAGGCTGCCCTCTGAGTCTCCTGGGCAGAAGGGCTTTTTGCCAAGAGCACGTCTAGGCGAGCATGGTGCTAGGCACTGTTGCCAGGGCAGAGCCTGAGGGGCTGCAGAGCCTCAGAACGCCCACGTACTCCATAGGAGGACTCTCGTAGGAGAGCTTACAACTTCTAGGAAATGAAATTTCTGCATAAAAATAAAACCATCACACCAAAGCTACTAGTGCAGCATGATTGATATATGCATTGGTGTATACTAATCACTGACAGGCTGCCTTAAACCACTGCTAACATGTGGATTCTAGAGTCATTTCATAATTTAGTTTCCATAAATGTGAGCATATTTCAGTCCCCTTAAGGTCTCAACTTATGATAATATTATAAGTTACATTATACTCTATTTGCTCTGTTATAACCATTGTGAATGTAGGTATATTGGGGACATAATTAGTCTTTAGTGCTTTCTAGCTCAGTATTTATAATTAAATAGTTTGACATAGGTATAAAATATAGCTTCATATTTTTCTATCCACGTGTTGCATTCCAGTTCAAATTTACGAAAGAACAAAATATAAACTTCATTAATTTGATTATTGTTGTTTAAAAAATTATTCGTTTTGAGTCATTGGTGGCTAGCAATATAGTATTTTAAATACATAAATATATTTGAATTTCACAATCTTCCTAGAATAGATTGAACCTCACAGTCTTCCTAGATCTAAATTGAAAAAGGATAGGCTCTTCCTTAAGCTTAAACTATCTGTGCTTTAAAATGAAAACATAAACAAGATCCTGCTTTAGGATTTTACTTGTGGTTCTATCTTAGGCATAGAAGGATTTATTAAAAGGCGAAGAAATCCTCATATAGGCTAAAGTGAAAAAGACCAACAGTGTCAAATGTTGGTGGGAATATGGAGCAACTGGAACTCTCATACCTGACTGGTGGGAGTGTGAAATTGTGCATTCACTTGATGAAACTGCTGCAGTTTCTTAACAAGTTAACCATACTTATGTTTTATACCTTATGGCCCAGCAATTCCACTTGTAGGTATTTATCCAAGAGCAATAAAAACGTATGTCCACAAAAGGCCTTATATCAAAATGTTCACAGCAGCTTTATGCATAATAACAGAAAATGGAATCAAACCAGCTATCTAAAAACAGGAGAAAAGATAATCCAATTTTGTTTATCCATCCAGTGGAATACTACTCATCAATAAAAAAAATATAAACTCCTGATACACCTCATGGATGGATGCATAGATGGATGGATGGATCTGAAAAACATCGTGCTGAATAAAAGAAGCCAGACATGAAAGAGTACGTACAATATGATTTCTTTTATCTGAAGTTCTGGAACAGGTAAAATTAATCTATGGTAACTTAAGTCAGAACTGGGAGTACTTCTGGTGGGAGGATTTAGTGGGAAGGGGCATAAAAGATCTTCCTGTGTCTTGATAGAAGTGTGGGTTTTACAAGTGTATGCATTTGTAAAACTCATTGAACTGCATGCTTAATATTCGTGCATTTCACTGTATGTAAGCCATTCTTCAGTAAGATACATGAAAAAAGAAAGTCATATAAAAGTCATAATATAACAGAAGAGGAATTCTGGAGTTCTTGTGGAATATGCTATGTCAGAAAACTGCTAAAGAATAAGTGGAGTGATTTTTTAAAGACAAGGAATCAGATAAATGTAAGAATTTCAAAATCAAAGAATGTGTTTAGTGGCAGAATTGCAATATTAATTATTCCTTAGAGTTACATTCCCCACAATGTGTTGTTTGGCATATTAAAAGGCATTCTATTCAAAACGATTCTATAGTCATAAATTTGGGAAGCTGTAGGTTAAACGGAGTTATATAGGATTTCTTCCCTAGTACTTCTCAGACTCTTTAAAATGCGCATCCTTAGTGTGGGCCTTGTTATGGGTTGAATTCTACCTCCCCAAAAAGGTAGGTTGAAGTCCTCATACCTGTTGATATGATTTTAATTGGATATAAGGGTTTTGCAGATGTAATTAATTAAGGTCATACTGGATTTACGGTGGGCCCTTCATCCTATATGACTGGTGTCCTTGTAAGAGTAGGACAGAGACAGAGAGAGGGGGCGGGGGAGAGAGAGAGAGAGAGGGAGAGACCAGGGAGAGGATGCCCATGTGATGATGGAGGCAGAGATGGGAGTGATGCATCTATAAGCCAAGGAGGGCCAAGAACAGCTGGCAAACACCAGAGGCTGAAAGAGACGAGGAAGGATTCCTCTATAGGTTTCTATATCAGTTCCTTCTCATGCTACTAATGAAAGACATACCTGAGACTGGGAAATTTATAAGGGAAAGAGGTTTAATTGACTCACAGTTCAGGAAACTTACAATCATGGTGGACGGGGAAGCAAGCATGTCCTTCTTTACATGATGGCAGGAAGGAGAAGTGCAGAGAGAAGGGGGGAAAGCCCCTTATAAAACCATCAGATCTCATGAGAACACACTCACTATCACCAGAAAAGCATGAAGGCAATCACCCCCATGATTCAATTACCTCTCATTGGGTCCCTCCCACCACAGGTAGGAATTATGTGAATTACACTTCAGTATGAGATTTGGGTGGGGACAGCCAAACAAACCACATCAGCTTCAGATGGAGCTGGGCTCTGTTGACATCTTGACCTCTGATCTCAGACTTCTAGCCTGCAGAACTGTGAGAGAATAAATTTCTATTGTTTCAAGCCGCCTGTCTGTGGTACTTTGTTAGAGCAGACACAGGAACCATACAAACCTCTAGGAAAAAGATGTGATGATCTCACGTTTCCCAGATTGGTCTGATCATACAATCTTCTGCACTTTCCATGGCATGTCTGGAGAGTGTTTGGCCCGCCCAGTGTGGTAATCCCTGCCTGCTGGGACGGCCTTTCCTTCAACTATTCATGTTATTCTTGCTTACCTTAAGAGCAGTGTGGTATGCAGAATGATGGCCCCCAAAGATGTCCACATCCTAGTCCTGGAATGTGGGAATATGTGAGTTACATGGCAAAGAGGAATTAAGGGAGCACATGGAGTTAAGCTTGCTAATCAGTGGACTTTAAAATACGGAGGCTATCCAGTTGGGTCTAGTGTAATCATGAGAGTTCTTAAAAGTAGAAGAGGGTAGTTAAAGAGATTGACAGGGTACTTAAATCAGAAGACAGGATTGCAGATGGAGGAAGGGGCTGCCAACCAAAGATGGTGGGTGACCTCTAGAAGCTGGAAAAGGAAGGAATGGATTCTCCTCTCCAGCAAACAAAGAAACACACCCTGCCTACAGCTGGATCTTAGCTCAGGGAGACCCGTGTTTGATTTCTGACCCACGGTACAGCAAGATGATAACTCTGTGCTGTTTCAAGTCTGTAGGTTTGTGGTAATTTGTTGTAGTAGTAATAGAAAGCCAACATAAGCACTAAGTGAAATAATTCTTTCTTCATTTTTTAGAACATTTGACTTTTGATGTCAAAAACTAGAATTTTACATTTTTTAGAATTTTGTTCCAGAATGTTGTCCATATTGCATAAAGTTGTGTCATTTCCTACTCAAACAAAGACTATCTACCTGAATGCTTGCAACACGACAAGAATAATAACAGGTAAAACCATATTTCCCCTGGTGGCTTTTTTTCTTTTCCTGGAAAATATTTCATATATCTGTGGTATGGTTGTAATCTTCCTGTTTTAGATCAACACTTGTGTTCATGCTGCTATTTTCAGAAGCTTGAGATCATCTAAATCATTTAATGTTATTGGAAGTGTAGTGATGTAGACATGGTGTTGCCTCCCTCTAACTCATCCTGAATTTGCAGCATGATCGTGTTAGAGCTCTTGCTCCGCTAGTCTCCCTTTTCCACCCTCCCCTCCCTCTGCTCCAGGTTCCTTATGATTTGAGCTCCTGGGTTTCCTGGTCTATACAAACTTCAGCATCTCTGTCTACCAGTCGTAGGATATAATGACCCCTGTCTTAGTCCATTTGGGCTGCTATAACAAAAGGCCATAGGTTGTGTGGCTTATAACCTACAGAAATTTATTTCTTACAATTCTGGAGGCTGGGTACAGTGCCTGGTGAGGCCCTGCTTCCTCACTGTGTCTTCACATGGCAAAAGGGGTGAAGGGGCTCTCTGGTGTCTTTTTATAAGGACAGGAATTCCAATTATGAGGGCTTCACCCTCATGACCTAATCACCTCGCAAAGGTCCCGCCTCCTAATAAGATCACATTAGGGTTAGGATTTCAACATATGAATTTTGGGGGGACACATTCAGCCCATTATAGGGATTTGATAGTCCCCATGGTTAGTATCTTACCTAATCAATCTTACCTAATTACCCCTAGATGCAAGATACCAAGGCATTTAAATATGTCTCACAGAGTTGGGTTTGACAGTCAAATAAAACCATTAGATTTGTAAGTTAAGTGTTAGAAAATTATAACAACTATTCCCCACCTTCCTTCATGAAGGTAGTGGAAAACAGAAGCAAGTCCAAGTCACCTTGTCCTAAATGCAAATGAATTTCTCAGAAAATTGAAGAGGATGAGAATAATGCTGTGAACTGAGATGCTTCTCAACCTTCCCTCCCTCCCTCCCTCCCTCCCTCCCTCCTTTCTTCCTACCCTCCTCATGGCAAAGGAGAGAGTAATTGCCCAGCATATGCAAGCAAAGCCCATGGCAGCCCGGAAAATGAAGATTTTTTTTTTTTGGCACAAAATTCATAGCGATTTGACATCAGGATTCCAACATGTCTAGCTGTATTTTAACAAAAAAATAAAGATTCAAGTAACTCATTAGCTAACTGGCCTGACCTCCTAGCCCTTCATCATGTTATCTGTGTGGCTTGGTTTTCCAGCCTGCAGGTGAGGCTCACCACGTGGCAGCTCCTCTTAGATAAACTATCAGCCAGGCACCCAATAAGCATGCAATTGAGGTCATTGAGAAAGTAGGGAACATGGACACATGGACACATATGCAACCATCCACACATGCACACATATGCAACAACCTACACATGTACACGATACACAGGCAATGCAAAGTGGCCTATGCATGCACACATAGATGCCCTTGGCTCCACTGGTTGGAGGAGTAGCTACACTGTGAAAGGCAAAAGAAAAACATTTAGTTGCCCTCAGGCAGGGAAGCAGAGTTAACTTGATTGGAGCTCCCCTCTACCTGAGACTCTGGGGAAGGTCAGATACACACACCCATGTTTACTGTGCAGATCCACCGTCACTTTTCCCATTGAGGGTGATGCCAGTGGGCCAGTGTTGTTGTTCTTCATTGTTTTTCCATGCTTCGGTGGTAGATGGGGTGGAGCCACCCCTCTGGGGAAGCCCAGTGTGCTTAGACATGGCGGGAGCAATCTCTTCCTGGGCAAGAGGGCGCTGTTACTACGGGATTAGCCTGTCTATTATTTTTGGGTGTGCACAGGGTGACAAATTAGGAAGGGTGTGCTCAAAGGTTATTCAAATATTTCAAATAAAGCATATTTGAGCACGGAAAGGCCAGGGAACATTAATCAAATGTCAGCACCAAGACACTTTGTAGGCTATTTCTGGTATGTGTTTGCTGAGCGGCAGTCTGGCTTAGGCTCTGTGGGACATGTGATCACCCCAGTGTGAAGAAACGTGGAGCATTATGCATGGGAGGCCCTGGAAGCACTGGGAATTTGCAGATGGAGTGCAGTGGACAGGATGTGTTCCGAAACAGCCCGGAGTCATTCCTCTGAAGCAGATACAAAGGGATGTAGGATTGTGTTGACTGACAAGGCCAGAGTCTATTTCCATTCCTGCCCCTCTTGGGAAGTTAGATTAAAGGGGGAAATATTTTGCATAAAAGTGATTTTAACAGAGTAATGACTGAAATGATAATATGCCGGCGATGGGCATCCATCACAGTAATGAAATAGCCTCCTATAGGAGTCCTGCAACTGGCCGTTTCCCCCCAGAAGCAGTGTTCCCTCTCCACATCACCCTCTTGGATCCTTTCTGATCTGCCTCACTGAGGCTTCCTTCTTCAGAAAGCCAAGCGAGCAAGCAATATTGCCTTTCTCTCCTTCAGCTCCTATCAAAACAGTGCAGCAGCCCCAGTCACAAACTCAAGAGTCTTTTGACAGCAGCAATTAAGCAACTTAATTAATGAGTGAATAAAAACGATAATATTTACTGAATGGGAGCATCCTGTTTTGCATTTTTATTCAAACTCTGCACCTGAAGAACACCACTAAGGAAAGCTCCCCATCCCCCTGTTGTAGAGACAACCCCCTCTCTGTCTCTCTCTCTCTCTCTCTCTCTCTCTCTCTCTCTCTCTTCCTTTGCTCTGTCTCTCTCTCTCTTGCTTCCTTTGGTTCTGGCCTCATAAACACCCCAAGGGTAAAACACACACAGTGTAAGATTCACACAAGGCTAATCCCTGTCCTCTTTCCGGGGGAATGCACTTCTATCTTTGTCATGGTCTTTGTTCACCCCTAAAAATCCTCATTCATACATGAAGGACAATTTCATGATACTTTTCTGAGGCTGAACTTTACATCAAAGTGGGTGATTAATTACTGATAAGGGTATAATAAAACATTAATGCATTTTGTAATTAACCAGCTTAGGAATGACATCTCCCATCGCTTCATGAGTGACATGTTCACACACACACACATACACACACAGAACTTTTTTTAAAAAATTCTTTATTTGGCTATTAATCTCAGCAGTGCCCTCAATACATTACATTCTTTTTAAAAGCCACATATATTTTCCTCAATGAAATATCTAATCCATCTTGAGTGTAAGGAAAGCCCATACATAATTATTCCGTCGTGACAGACAGTGAGCTTTCTCGCTATTATTTTTGATGGTGCTGTCATGGATGCCAAATGTATGTTGTGGTGGGAGCCAGCCAGAGTCGGGAACCCACCTGGAGAGCGGCTCCTTTCTTCTCTCAGGAAAGGTTCCCCACGCCTGACAGCCCCACCATTCTGGTTAAGCTTAATTAGTCAAGAGAGAAAAAGAACTGACTTCGGAGTGTTGTGTTACGTTTGGGGCTCCCCCCTTTTTTTCCCCTTTCCACTCAAAATTTGACATTCTTTGGAGAAGATGAAGTTCCAAGTGGGATCTGTGTTGGCACTTCCCACCCTCTCGTCATCCTCACGTGGGACCCGCTTCTCACGGCCCATCTTTTGTCTACCAGGGGCCTCGCAGGACTCTGCACAGCCCGCACAAAGGACGTAGGATTCTGCACTGGCAGAACTGGATGTAATGTTGCCCTGAGAAACATTCATTTATTTCAGAGTGAAACCCGTTAAAATGGAAGTGTGTAGGATTTGGGTTGGCTGGATGCAAGCTTCCCTCTGCAGCGGGATGAGGTACGCTGGGTCCCCGACATTCACAGCCTCCCACTTTCATGCCCCTTGGCTTCTCAGGCCTGTGCCTTCCCGCATGCACACTGGCCTTGGGCAAGCGACTTGTCCTGGCCAAGGGGACGGGAGTCACATCCATACTTGCCGGCTTTAAAAATGTGCTTTTGTGTTTCCGCTTGCTGTCCTGGAGGCTGCCACTACCAGGAGCACGCTGGCCTGCCGGCGGGAGGAACAGATGCCAGAGGAGACCTGACTGTGTCCTCAAGGCCATGCCCCATCAGCCATCCCAGCAGAGCCCACAGCCACCCACAGAGGAATGAGGATCCCCATCCAGGATCACCGGAACTGCACAACTGACTCACAAACGTGTGAAGAGTAATGGGTAACGTGTTGAACTGTGAGCCTTTGAGCCTGGGGAGGTTTGTGATGCAGCAGTAGCTCCCAGACCCTTGAGGCTCTTCGGCACGAAGGTGCTGAGCCATGCACCTATGCAAAGCCAAACTCTGCACTAGGCCTACTGGGGTGTGCAGAGAGAGAGGGCTGAACAAACTGCGGTTCCACCCAGAAGACCCAGAAGAACATTTACGGAGGAGTCAGTGCAAGAGGCGAGAGAGCATGCGTGAAGAGGCTCGTTCTTGTGGTGTAGAAAAGGAGGCCAGAGTCTCCCAGACCACGATTCTTTTCCTTTAGGTGTTTCTTGGGCATTTTCAATCTTAAATCTCTTCCCATGTTATTGAGATTTCTGATTGAATGTCCCCATTTTCCCTCAGACAGCAGGCCGTGTGTGAGTCACCACCTCCATCTTTCTATGTCCTGGGTGTGGGCCCAGTGAAGGACAGTTATGGAAATTTAGAGAGAAGAGGTCGCAGGTGTGGTGGGGGTGGTGAAGCTTCAGAAGAGAAAAGAAGCATGGTGGAGAGGGTGGACTCTGGAGGCTACTGCAGAGCTCTCCCCCAGGCTATGAGGGGGCATGATGGTCCCAATAGCCTGAGTCTGTGTTCATTTCAACTGGCTACCTTGTGACGAGGAAGATGGCCCAGGTTCCCAGTGGGAAATCTATGGTTATCATTAAGAACGCAGGGCCTGAGATGAAACCTGGCAGGTGAAAGGCACCTGGTTTTATGCAACCTGGTTTTGCAGAAGCCTGTGGGAGGGGGCCCAGGGGGGAAGGGAGCAGAGGGCAGTGTTGGCTCTGGTTCCCCCACCAGGCAGGTGGGCTAGCACCTGGGTAAGGGGCTTTGCATCTGGAGCTGGTCATGCCTCAGTCCAGATCCTGCCTTTATCAGTTGATGGGCTGTTACCTGCCAGTGGTTATGGTGAGGACTAAATTACGGAAAGTCATCAAGGATCTTCATTCATTGCCCACCACAGAGCAGGCACTCAATGGAGAACACTCACCACCATCTATGTTGTTAATGTTGCATCTGCAGCCCTTGGTTTCCTGGAAAGACTCTACAGTACAGGGGCAGGTTAGGGGCCACAACCAGGAAACAAGACACATCTGAGAGAATGCATGGGAGCTTATGGAAGGATGTACAAGGCTGGGTGTGGGAATCCCGGCACTTCGGGAGGCTAAGGTGGAAGGATCACTTGCATCCAGGATTCAAGCCTAGCCTGGCCACGTAGTGAGACCCCAGCTCTACAAAAAATCAAAAATCAACTGGGCATGGTGGCATGTGCCTCTAATCCAAGCTACTCAGGAAGCAGAGATGGGAGGATCGCTTGAGCCCAGGAGGTTGAGGCTGCAGTGAGCTGAGATCATACCACTGCACTCATTCTGGGCAACAGAGTGAAACCCTGTCTCAAAAATATAAATAAATAAATAAATAAATAAATAAATAAAGAAAGAAAGAAAGAAAGAAAGAATTTACAAGAGGGGAGTTTTAGTGGTTGAAAAATCATTCACTCATTCCAGGAGCAAGAGCCTTGTGGGTTTTCTTCCTGTTCTTGCCTGGGTTATCTCTACTGAACCAAAGAATCCTTGTTAGGAATGCTCTGGTGGTGTCAATCAATGCGTTTATAAATCATTTGCTTTTACCATGGAAAAAGATATCACAAAACAACACAGCTGTAGTGCAGGTGCAGATGACCATGGAACGGCAGCCTGGCGTTTTCAGTAGAGCACTGGGCAGCAGAGTCCCTGGGCCTCGGAACCCCGGCCTGTTACCACCCAACACCATCCCTGGGCAAAATGCGAAACTCCCATCAGATCCATGAATGGAAAATGGGCGTAATTATAATTGCACCCCACTCTCTACCTCTCAGCTAAGGTGAGAAATGAATATGAGGATGCTCAGTGAAAATGCTTTGAAGTCTGTGAAATGCGAAGCAAATGTGAAGCGAGAGGAATAATAAGGTTCTAAGGACCCACACTTGGGCGTTTGCTCTGAGCTGGCCCCTGTCCTCCACACTGAACCTACAGCCTCTCCTCTCACCTAATCTGCACAAAAATCTTACGAAGCAGACACACTTACCATGCTGGCCTTTCCGTGAAATTTCAGGTCTTAGTGTCGCCCATTACTGGTGGCATTTCATGCCACAAGTTGGGCCATCTGCACCTCCAAGCACAGGGTCACAGAAGACTTTATCCCGTCCCTTGGGCTGACTGAATGGTTGGTTTGTGTCAACCCCTGTTGTCCCTTTGAGCAACTCGGGGGCAATGGTTATGGGTAGGGCTTAAAAAACCGTCTGGCTGCAAACCCAGTGCTGATACGAACAAGGCCTAGTCAGGCACTAAGTGTTTTGTGTTCCCCAAAGAGATCTTAATGAAATCCCAGCATGCCACTCACTCCTACACTTAAAATACCTTTTAAGTGTAGGAAAGAAAGTGCTTTCAACCCCACCCCAGCCATTTGGATTCGGAGACTCCATTTAAGATGCACAGCTTTCCTCCAGCACAGGGGCTGGGTATCCAAACGCAGAGCCTCCCCCAGACTCTCTCTAGGCTTAGCCTGGCTTGGTGGGCTCAGGAGGGATTCAAGATTATTTCATCCTTTATGTCCATTCGATGACAGTTTATCATCATTGCCACCTCATACTCTATTGTAGCCAAACATCATAACCAGCACCATGTGAACTACGTCACTGACGCCACATTCTTTTTCTCGGCTGTCACTAGGCTCAGGTCAGGACAGCCCTCCCGGCTGACTTCCGCGATACTTTCTGTATCTCCTTTTCAGTCTGCCCTAAAATGACAGCTGGACTTCCGACAGTGGTTTCTTATGTGGGACACATGGCTCTTATACTCTGGGTGGCACGGATTCCTTTATTGCCAGTGGCTTAATTTTCCCAGATCTATTTCCATGCAGACAGTGTGAGGTTGGACTTCATGCCTCATGCTCCTGATTGGGGCTCGGAAGTCTAACCCAGCTTCCTGCAGTGCCGCCCCCAGCTTATTCAATGCCCAACCTGCAGGTCCTAAGTTGAACCCGCACACTGCACGCTCACCTGGTCTGTGCTGCCAGCTGCATTGGAAATGGAAGCATTAAACACCGTTCTCCACTGTCAGCCACCTGCTAGCTAATGAGTGACATCATTTAACACTGTTTTGAAAAGAGAGATTTAAAGTTGTTTTGAAAACTGAAGGAAAAATACAAATGTTTGAGTGTTAAACATTTTGCCCAAATACTAAAATGTGAATGTCTTTTTATTGTGACAGTTCACAGGAAAGCGGGCTATAGCATGCCTGTGCTTGTCAATGAAAATCTTAGCACTGAGTTTGGTAAACATTCTGGCAGTCGGGAAGCCACTTAAAAATAAAGTTTAAAGAAAAGAAAGAGAAGTGTTCACTTTCCTTCTAATTTTCCCAGATACGCTCAATATTCTGCTTTATTTTTTAGTATTTTAACTAAAATAAGAAAACTCGGATTCTACCTCTATGTGTCCTATGATTGTTGTTGTTTTCTCTGATTATAAAATACAGGTTTGCAGCAGAAAACTTGGCAAAACAGAGATATGAAGAATAAAATAAAAATCACCTGTAGTTCTAAGCCATGAGAATAATCATATATATATTCCCTAGGTATTCTGAAGCATATGTATTACAGTCCAAATATTTAAAAACAAAATTTGGGTAATACTTTAGATAGAGAGTTGTATTCTGATTTTTTCTATTAATATTATAACTTTGAAACGAGGGACTTCACCATTGCTTTTATTTTTCTTTGCTATGTAAGTACTTATGTTCTTTATGAGGAAAATAAAAACTATAGAAAAGAAAGATAAGAAAATAAAATCAGTAATAATCCCCTCACTTACAAATGACTGCTGTTAACATTTTAGTTTTTTGGTTTCTATCTATTTATGTGAAATTTGAATGAAAATAGTATAATTTCGCTGTCTCTATATTGCTTGGTAACATAATGATTTAACTGTATAATAAATAGTATATTACATGAATATTTTGAGTAATAGTCTGTGTGATAATTTTTATTCGGTGTGTGGTGTTCCACTACATAAATGTATTATAGTTTATTTCACAAATAAACTCTTATCAGAAACTTATGTTGTCGTTAATCTGTGATTTATAATGAAGCTATAAACATAACTTTTAGCTAAATATTTATGGATACCCTTCATTATTTATTTCCTAAATAGTAGAAGTAGAATTTTATGGTCAAATGATAAAGACATGATTTTCTTACATTCAGGAGATATTCTATTATATGGCTCTACCATAATTTATTTATTTATTTTTTATTTTTTTTTTAGTTGAGACAGAGTATTGCTCTGTCACCCAGGCTGGAGTGCAGTGGTGTGATCTCAGCTCACTGCAACCTCCACCCACCAGGTTCAAGCAATTCTCCTGCCTCAGTCTCCCGAGTAGCTGGGACTACAAGCACATGCCACCACACCCAGCTAATTTTTGTATTTTTAGTAGAGATGGGGTTTCTCCATGTTGGCCAGGCTGGTCTGGAACTCCTGACCTCAAGTGATCCACCTGCCTCAGCCTCCCAAAATGCAGGCATGAGCCACCATGCTTGGCCTTACCATAATTTATTTAACCATCTTTTCATCTTCTGACATTTAATATATTGCAATGAACATCCTTGTACCAAATTTTGGTACTGATTATAGATTGTAAGTGTAGTTTTCTTGAAGGGAATTATAGGGCCAAAGAAGAAGAAATGAAAGGTTAAAGTGGAAATTGCCAGGTTGCCTCCCTGTAGAATGGGAGTAATCATACAACTTATGGTAGCATTGCTGTCCAGACGAGGGCCTGGCACACAGTGTGTTCTTGTAAATGCTGTACTCGGGTTCTCATCCTCACAGCTGCACCTAGAGCCCTGCTTCATGCAGTGCCAAGTTGCTGTTTTACTGGGACTTGGAAGCGCCAAGAGAATAAATGAAAGAAAATAGCTGGTATCTCAAAACGAAATCAGACTATGCACAGAAGTCGGGCTTGCAATGTGGAGCCATCAGAGTTTTGAATCACAGTCCCAGAGCTGCCACTCCTCAGCTCACTAGCCATTTTTTCCCCTTCTATAAAATAAAGGGCTTGTGATAAAGAATTTGAGGTGCCCTTTGGCTCAGGAATTCTACCTTCCCATGAGTTGTGAATGCTTTTTAAAGACCTCCTGGGTGTCCAGGCGTCTCAGTAAATAGAGTGATCATCTGGGTCTGATGAAATAAAAATAAGTTATTTCAGTATTTTTACCTTTTTTTCTGTTTTAGTGAGAAGTACTAGCTATCAAAGATGCCATCCTACTGATTGTATGAAATAGAATGAATGGCTTGGAGAGTACCTGATTAAACAATAGGTGGGTGGGCTGGTGATGAAGATCAACAGAAGGGAGAAGAGAAATAAAAAAGGGTGTTCCATGGAGAAAGGTGAGGTGATAAAAGAAACTGCTTGACACAAAGAGTCTTCTTTTGTTACCATGGTCATCAGTCTTCATTTGAGCCCCAGTGTTAGTGAGTTGTACTCACAGCACTTTTAGGTCACATTCTCATCAGAACCACACACAAGTTGACTTGTGGAATTTAAAGTAAACATTTAGGTGCAAAAGAAGCAGAAGCAAAGTGAAAGTTGCTGCACTGACACAGAGCGTCCACATCATCAATGCTGCGGCTCAGGCATCTTATGACCTCCTTCACCCAGGCCATCCAATTCTGTGGCCTGCTGGGGACTGGGAACCTGGGAATTTAACGGAATGCTCTGGGGACTTTGCAGGACAGTGATGCTATCAATGATGAGAGTTTGGCATCTTCACAAAAGAAAAGGTCTCACAAGAAGTCATAAGGTACTGAAAAACCATGCCAATAAACACCAGGGTGTGGCATGTTCTGGCTCTTTGGCATTCCTCTTCCTCAGATGTAGCTTCCTCAGCACAGCTTAACCAAGTGCAAGAACGGGTTGTGTGGCAGGCTCTGCTGTCAGACGCTGGCCAGGTTTTAAGACAGACAGAGAACTGTGACCTCAAGAAGCTCCATGCTTAGTAGGGAGGTAGACACGTCAACTGATAATTGCACGATCACATTTCATCTAGTGGATGCGTATAGATAGGATGATAGCTAATCTTTTGACTTGATCCTCTCATGGTAACTTCGATGCTTGAAAACACGATCTGCAAGGCCAAACAATGACAGCTCTCTGGAGGATTTGGAATTTGCCAAAGTCCCTTCTGTGGGTTTTCTCTGAAGGATGATGTTTTCTCCCTGGATCTCTGTGGTGGGCTTCTAACATGCCTTTCAGGAGAAGGTCTGAGAGTTTTAAAACTCTGCAAAGGAAAGAGCAGACACTGTCCCACCTTTCCTTTCTCCATGGTGTAGGCTGGGTGGGGCTGGGTGGGGCTGTGGGCTGGGGACAAAGGCAAAGGAATCCCGTCCTTTGCGTAGGTCGCTTCACTCTGGCAGAAACATCACATCCTGCCCTTGTCACCAGACGTCTCTGTCCACAATTACTCATCATCTGTGGATAGACAGCCCTGGAGGAGATCATCAATTGCCAATGCAATTCAGCAGATACACTTCATAAATTTTAATTACATTCCCACTGAAAATGAATGGTCAGAAAATATAAAACATCTGCCATCCAGATCATTTACATTTTTCATACAATAAATCATCAACAACATCCAAAACCATGGCTTAAATCATGTGAGTGTGGTAGGTCATGAAGAAGGAGCGCCATCCATCGTGCGATAACTATTTGGATCTCAGCCCTTCCTCGGATGTGGGAAGCGGGGCAAGGAGGGGGAGACCCAACGACTTATTGATGAGGGGGGAGAGAATTTTAGCCTAGCTCTGAAAAATATAAGTCCCCAGGTCTTATCTCAAACCTGCTAATTGATCTATTTACTATTATTTTGGCCATAGTAAAATAGGGGCCAAAATAAGTAAAAGAATATTTGGCCAATTATAACTGCGAAGAGCAGGCATTTATCACCCATGTGGCTTATTTATCTAACCTGCAAGTAGTATAAGAAAGATGCTTCGTTTTCAAAAATCAATTTTTATTAACATTATATTCATAGAATTCCCATTTGGCTCTAAGCATCTTCCGCGTCCTAAAGCATGGTGTGGGCATTCACATGCTGCTGGCCTCCCTCGAATTCCTTGGGAAGACAGGCATCTGTGCTAAGGACAGAGGGGCCTCTGAGGGACCTAGCAGCCCAGCCAAGGGGGCCTGAATCACACAGGTTGTGGACAGGACACACCGGCAGTGGAACCCCGTGCAAGCGGCCTCGGTGTCCTGAGTGGGGGCCTGTACAGCCGCCTCAGGAGTCATTCAGGGCTTTTCTCCATGCATTGTTGAGTTTTCCTTTCTCTGTCTCTTTTCTAAACACTTCCACCTCTATCGACTGAGAAGTGTGATTGGGAGCCCTCACTCTCCTCCCTAAGGCTCTTTTGCTGGAGTCTGGAGAAAGCCTTCTCACATGCAGTCAGGGACGTGCTGTGCAACTAGAGAAAGTGCGTGGTGAGCAGGGGCTCAGCAGCTGAGTCCGAGGAGTGAGTGCAGATGAAGGCCGCTGGCTTTCTGGGATTCTTGATATGAAATTCCACAAGAATAACGAAGACGATGACCTTTTTAAGGTCAAAGAGATATTAATTCAATGTTTTCATTTTACTGTTGAAGACACTGGGACCCACAGAGGTGAAGTGACCTGCCCACAATCCTGCTGCAGTCACCAGCACTCTGTGGTCAGAAGCTGTCCCTGGCGGCTGGGGGACGCACCTGCTCTTACTCTCCTTCTGCACTGGTCCAGCTGCCATCGGTTCTTCTGGCTAAACTGTGTCTTAACCACAAAGCGTTCATGTCTGTGTGGTGCAGAGTTGAACTGAGAAATATAGGAAAGTGATGTAAGATATGGTCCACCTGTCAGTAAAACAACCAGAACTGTCTGTGGAATGGTGCACCATGGAAACCAGAGAACGAAAAACAGAATCCTACCGTGAGTGCTATTTAGAGGTGCCAGGCGCTGGGCTGGCAGCACGAGGGGCTGCATATCCACCCTGTGGACTCCTCCTCACCCTGCCACAGTGCCCTCTGGTCTTCTACAGAAGGACGCCACAGACGTGCATCTCCCCACTGTCCCTTTGACTGTTTGGGACCATGCTGTCCAAAATTTAACACACAATTGAGCTCTTTTCCTGTCTCCTCAAATTCTGACTCTGCATCCTAGATCTGGCCAGCGTTTCTCTCCCCTGCAGGGTACATCTCCTTTGGGCGTGGCCTCAGGATCCCCACACAGGAGGACTGACCTTGCCAAAGGCCTGGCAAGGTGTGTTCCTGGGTCTCTGCCCAGAGGCATGTTAGACCCAGCCCCTTCCTCCAGGTCCACTCAGAGGTCAGGTCGTCGATCTAGACACGCCTTTCACAAGCTACTTCTGCCTCTCCCTCTAAATATAAGCTGAGATGCCTAGTGGTTTCAAACAATAGAGATGATTTCATACACATGAAAACTTGATAAAATCATTAGAAGATGTCATTCAAAGTTAATGGGCAATTTTTCTCTCTAGGGTAGGTAATTATTTTGGTAGGCATTTTTTGAAAAATAAAATCTTAAGGTTTACTGACCAATTTTTTTGTTGTTGTTATATTCTATTTCCAGTAAGGATGCTCTGGCTGACTAACGTTCTCTTTTCGGATTCAATTGGACATGGTTCTCCAGTGCTTCTTGGCTCTAATTACGGCGGAATGTGCCTGTGAGTTGTCCAACAGCTGCCACATCCTTGTTAAGGTTAGCTGCTTTTGAAAGTTAGTCCAAAGTTATATATCTTCAGAAAAAGTGAGCAGGAAGTTGCCATATTTGTCTAGATAATTAAGAATGAGATGTGGTAAAAGTGGGTCTGAATTTCAGATAGAGATTTCCTTTCCTGCTTGAATGGAATTGAAAAGAATGCAATTGATTTGGCATTAACATATTTTTGCTTCCTGGAAAAAAAAAGTTTTCCACTGTAACCGTTTCTGACAGTTCTTGAATTCTCTAGAAGACCAAGAGTCCTATATGCCTAACAGACAAATATATTCAACATACACGTAGAATGTAATATTGAGGGTTAATATTTTCACTCCTATTCAATTTAATAGATGTTTCTGGCATGATGGAATTGTGAAACTTTATTTCTCTCTCAATGTTTTCTAAAAACAAAGAAAAGAAAAGAAAAATAAATGAAAGTAAATGAATTCTTAGGAAAAATATTTCCATATTTTCCATCTTCTCCCAAAACTTCATTTTTGGAAAATTCTAAAACAAATCTATTTAATTTTATTACACTTCAAAGCTAAATTTTAAAAACTCTACAAGAAATTAAGATACATTTTGGTTAAGTGAAAAAATTAACTGTTAAAACTTTTCCTGGTTTAGACATTAATGAGAGAAGATCTTGTGAGAATTGAAGGAAAATAGAAAAAAAATATTGCAGTTGCAAGAGAAGAATGATGCCTGCTCCGTGGGAATAGTCAAGCCATGAAAAACCAGCCACCTCATTTCTTCCCCAGAAGACCATAAGCACATGGCATCTCACTTTGAGGGGCAAATTCTGAGTTTGGCACTTTATTTATATTTTATTAATGTAAACAATAACAAAACACGTTCAATCACAAGCACTCTACTCAGCCAGCTTTATGTCTACCTCTGAATCGAGGCACTTCTGAGATGCTTCTCAGTGTTAGGGAATGCTGGCCTGGAAGGCTTAGGAGCCAACTGGCAAGCTCATTAGAGGACCAAGAATTGCATCATAAAACAGTGGGACCAAATGTGTGGGCAGTTATTTTAAAACATTATAAAAACCCACCACTGTGTATTTTTCTATGAATTGTTGACAAATGTGCTTAGTAATAGGATAAGTGAAGAAAAATGAATGAATTAGTTGAGATTTACTTACATTTTAACATTAATAATAAAATACATGATGTTAGATGAATAAAATAATCAATATAGACACCTTTATATAGACATCCTTATCCCAGAACTCTTTGTAAAGGACATGTAATGATCATAACCATAACAGCAGCAGCAACTCAACAACAAGAGTGGCCCCACAGGTTCATGGAGAACGTGGGCCACACAGACACTATGCTTGACCCATGAACGCGATTGCATTCAACCTCTCCTTAGGAGAGACTTGGCTACCAGATCACGGAACTGTTAAAGATGTAGAGGCCCCCTGGATGGGGTCAACTGGATGTGTCATTTTTCTGTTTAATTTCTAGGATGGAGTCCTAATGCCTTTGAAATAAGACGTAATTATGTGAACATCATATAAGAAATTTATACCTATGATGACGTCTTACTCTATGTGTCTAAGACAAAAAAATTATGTCTGCTCTTATTCTTCCTACCACATAGCTCTGTGTTTATTGCTTCCTGAAAATTAATGTTTTTATTGATCACTCTTAAAAAAAAAAAAACAGGGTGAGAGGAAACTACTAAGTTGATTAAACTGGTAACCAGTTCTGCGATTTCTTCACCAGCCTGCTTTATCATGATGATAAGACTTTGGTCTTATTTTCCAAATATCTGTAATGCCTCAAAATGAACCAATGATGTTTTAACCCAATAACTCAGCTTTTTTTTTCTTAAAGAATCTTGCTGAGTCACTTTCCTAATACCATTCTCCAGTCATGGAAGTCAGCCAGCTTTGTAATACTGTCTTACAGATGCTCTTCAACTTTTATTGGTCACGATTTGTTTCCCTAAGATTTGTATGCCTTTCAAATCTTCAAAGTTAGTGAAGCTTTCTTCAGCCAGGATTCATCTGTTTATAGAGCAGAGTGGGTGGCTTTTGGAAAATACTTGACATGTTATAATATTGGGCTGAGGAGTCACACGCCACTATCCAAGTTGTCATTGAATGTGCATTTCCTCTTGGGAATGGAGTCCTTAAAACTTTGAGTCCTTTACCAATAGCAAAAATTAGCATCCCTTAACATTTTCACCTGCCTTAACATTGTGGCCTCTGTTCTGCAGACTTCAGCTATTAAGTCAGTTTATTTTTCCCCGACATTATAAGCTACACGCTTCCCACTCACTTCTATCCTGTCTAGCAAACACACTAGTCTTTTCGGTTACTACTTTAAATCACAATGAAAACTATGGTTGTGTATTCACATGCAACTATGGCGTGTGAGTTGATCCCATCCTCTGAGCCCAATCTGTGTGAAGGAAAATGTTTCTCATTAGGAAACCACTTCGTTGTGATCCTTTGGAACCATTTCTAGCTTGTACAAATTATTCAAAATAGACATCTTTCCTTTCCCTGGACTCCACCCCGGCCTTGTCTAGCTTTCTGGTGCTTCCAGAAGTTAAACAAGCAGATGTTATAAACAAAAACAAACAAACAAACAAAAAGCAAAACAAACAAAAAAATAAAAAATAAAAAACATGAAAGACAAAAACAAAAAGAAAACCACTACCATGAATAAATTTCATCTTCTGTGCATTTCTGTTAAAATTTATAAATTTTATATTCTCCATTAAATCTGTGAAGATAATACCCAACTATGTAAACACATTGATATTCGTGGATTTTAAAGAAAATTCTAACAGTACTGACTACTTAAAGTACAGACTTAAAACTGTAAAATTATCCTGACACTTGAGGCTAAAGAACATCTTAGTAAGTGATTTGCTGTGTCTGTTAACATTTTGTGAAAATTTGTAGATGTGTACACTATGTTTGGGTTTGAAGCACTTTCTCACCTCTAACTTTTTTCCTTCTTCACCCCCTTAATCACAGACACAGGAATGCAGCTGCCCTGTGTGTGTCTCCTTCATCCTGCTGGGGACAGGCACGGGCAAGGAGAGCTCAGGGGTAACACACGGGCATAATTGGGGTCTGATGAAATAGGCTAATCATGGATCCACTAAGCAAATATTAATTTTCATTGGAAGCCCTGCCATTTTGTGAACTTATAAGAAATAAACAGAAGTATTGTTAGCCTCAGGATGTATCTCTTTTCTTTAAGAAAAAAGAAACCCATTGATAAATGTCTCTGAAAGGCTAACTCTCACCACTTCATGCTCTTCTAATGCTTCTGCACTGTCCTATGTGAGGCTTGAGTGATGTGGGTGTGCCACTGAAGGGCCGTGGGTAGGAGCGGTGTGTTTTCTGAACACCTGTTACACCTTTATTACCCAGTTCTATGAAAACATGTATAACATAGAAGCAAAGCACTCATGCTAAAGATCGCTTCTGCTGATCCTTGCTGCCAAGATCTCCCTTACGGTCCTCAGCGTCTCTTCCCTTGACCAGGTTCTTCCTGTCTTCTTGGGCTGCTTTCTCTGTATTATTTTTCTCTTCTTCTTCCAGCTTATGGAAACCATTCCTACCACAATTTTCTCTTCTAAATTTGGTTTGATAAAACCAAATACTTTTCATTGTTTCACCTGCAGTGATCTTTTTCTTAGACTTTTGCATTTTGCATTCTTTTAGTTTTAGTATCTGTACTGGCATTTCTTATATAGAGGTCCTGTTCACACCATGCCCACATTCTACAGTGGATTATACACTTTGAATATCAAGCTCCAGCTATATGAGGTAGTTTGGGATTATTGAAAGGACACCAAGAGGCAGAATGGCCATGTAAGTTATTGTTCAAGTCAGGATACTTTTGAGAGTTAAAAAAGGCAAGTTAACAACATCACACCACGGATGTAACTGGGACAATTCCAGCCAAGAACTGAGATGGTCCTTTCTTTCCTCCTCTCCCACCCCATTCTCCTCCTTGTCCTCCTTCTTCTTCCTCCTCTTCCCCATCCTCCTCTACTGCCTGTTCATAGGGGAAATATACGTCTGTCTGTCTGTCTATCTATCTATCTATCTATCTTTCTATCTATTATCTATCCATCTCCCAAATGCAAACACTGAATCACTAGTCAATAAGTCTCATTATAAATGTTTGATGCTAGCCCAATGCTGGGCTCACTTTCTAAACTCCTAGGTAATTCCACAACAGAAAGAAATAAGATTTCAGGTATTATTTTATGTTTCTTATAATATTATCAGTATAGGATACTAGTTAAACTGTGGAGACACAGAGACAAATGGAGACTAGTCTGAATAACCTGGAGACAGTCCTCTCTCACAGCAAAGTAAAATCTGGTTTGGTGGTTCTGCTTTGCAAAGTTATGACGGGCTCAAGCTCTTCCTACCTTTTTGCCTCACTCTCCTGACCTGTTGTCCTCTCCACATAGCCCCAGATGACTCACCATCATATCCACATTCTAGCCAGTGGGAAGGGGAAATGGAGTTGGTAAAAGCATGTTCCTCTTTCTCTTGTGCACTGCAACTCTGCACAGTCCATCTGTTCTTACCCCATTGGCCAGAATGCAGTCACCTTGCTTCTACTGGCTGCAAGGAAGGATGGGGATTGTAGTTTTTCCCATGAGAACTCATATACCCAGACTAAAATTGGTAACTGTATTATCAAGAGAGAGTGGGAGCAACTTGGGGACATTGACAGTTTCTGTCACACTTAGCAATATGATGTACTCATAGAGGGATACACAATTCTTGCTGTTGTTGCCTATTGATAACTTCACTGTGTATTTTCTGGTCTTCAGTTTACCATATTGTGATATATACTGTGTACATGTATAGGGACTTCATTACTTTCACTCAAAAGCTCCAATAAAGAATCATGCAGTCTAGGTGCAGTGGCTCACACTTGTAATCCCAACACTTTGGGAGGTCAAGGCAGGAGGATCGCTTGAGGCCAGGAGTTTGAGACCAGCCTGGGCAACATAGGGAGACCCAATCTTTACAGAAAATAATAATAAAAAGAATCATGCAAATCTCTAATTGTGGAAGTGTTATTTTAGCAAACTACATGAAAAGCTTACGGGTTATACCATTCATTTCCTTACCATGACATTTTATTTAATTTAACTACAAAATCTCAAAGAGTCTAATACTTTCTGATGCTCTTTTCATTTTGTGCCTTTCACATTATAATTTATAGCTTAAAGCCACCTTTCTCAAAGTCTAAAAATCTGTTAGTCAATTTTTCCCTTTTTATAACCTTTCCATATATTCTGTCATATTAAAGAGATGATGAAGCCCATTATGGCCATTAGAATTCTGATGCAATTAAGTTTTATTCCACTATAAGTGACAGGTACTTGATTCCTTCTTGGAATGGGATAATTTTCTACAGGCCTGCAACTCTTACACCCTCGTTAATTTGCAAGGCTGTTTTAGAAAATATGTTGTCAGTGCTGAATGAGGTACATCTCTAACTTTGAACAAATCATTGTCTTAATGTTCTTCAGGTTATAACATCCATTTAAAGAAAAACCTCACCATTGTCCCCAGGAGAGTCAATAAAAATGCTTCTGTGCTTTGTTTGTGGACACTTAAATAATAGGAGAGCTCCCCCTACTGATTGACGTTAGGGAATTATGGAGGAGGGGCTAATCTCAGGCCTTTCGCTCTTGTTAATTTCTCTAATGCTCATGCACAGACCAAGATGAAAATCAAAAGCAAGCCTGTTTGACACTGGCTTTTGAAATGCTTAAAAACATCAGCATTTGTCAAGTGGAAAGATTTTCATTTCAAAGTTCTAACAGGTTATTATTATTCCAAGCAATGGAGAGTTAAAAAAGGTTGAACAACTATAATAATGGTGGCATCTAAGTGTGGGGAGTGATCAGGTGTTATTGTTTGTTTGCATAAAATGATATCACCTAGCTTTGTGTTGGGTTTGTTTAAGAAATGTAGGCTAATTAGGCCATACAAGTAACTTTGTTTTCTGAAAATTAATTAAGCTTTTGTGGCCTTACCAGGTTACAGGGCCAGGCTCACCTCCCACACAGTTGCTCTGGAGCTATGTAGGAGGCAAGCCTGTCTCACGCTGAACTGCCAGGTGATGCCGTCACGGGAAGAATGGAGTTTAGTAATGCTGCATTTGAAGTCTTGTTCAAGTCGTAAAATGTTGGATTCTATTTTTATTAAATCGCTTAAACTTTCAACATAGTGAAAAAGATTTATTTAACATACATTTCACAGGCCTTTTTGAATGCATATTTTTTGGGAAAAAATACAGCAGAGGACATTTCTATAACTAAAGCTACTGTCCTGAAGGGACAAAACAAGCGCGTTAACTATTGAGGTCCTATTGTTTCATCAGGCCATCGGCAGAAACATTGAAAATGTTGTATTTGTAGGGTTATGAGGGAGCTCTACCCATCTCCTTCAAGTAAGACAGACATAAATCCTCTTTATGATTCGAGAATATCGTATAGAATCTACATAAAGTCTTAGAGGCTGTAGAGAAATAGGTTTTATTGTAAGAACCCCCAAGTAGAGAAACCAAACCAAGCATCTGGAGAAGCATATGATGTAGTGAGCTTGACAAAAAAATGCCTCATCTATAGGAAGAAGGACTGTTTTTAGCAACCTCCTTTTTGTATCTGAACACTTTTTTAAAACAGCTCTATTGAGATGTAATTTACATACCATAAAATTCTCCCATTTAAATTATACAGTTCAATGCTTTTAATATATTTACAGAGTTGTGTAACAATCATGATCTGATTTTGGAACATTTTTCATCACCTCCAAAAGAAACCCCATGTCTATGAGGTGTCACTTCTTATCACCCCCTCAATCTTCAACCCCGTACCCATTAAAAGTCACTCCCTATCACCCCCCTCAATCTTCAACCCCAGCCTCTGAAAGTCACTTATCTGCTTTTGCCTCCATGAATTTACCTCTTCTGGACATTTAATATAAATGGAATAATAATATTTGATCTTTTGTGATTGGCTTTGTTTCATGGCATAATATTTGAGGTTTATCCTTGTTTTAGCATGTATAAGTAATTCATCTTTTTTTGCCAAATAGTATTCCATTGTATGGGCATACCACATTTTGTTTATCCATTTATCAGCTGAAGGACATTTGGGTTGTTTACACTTTTTGGCTGTTACGAGCAGTAGCTGCCCTCGGTCTTCATCCAGAAGTCTTTGCAGGGACATATGTTCTCATTTTCCTTGGGTAGTTACTTAGGAGTGGAATTTCTGGGACATATGGTGACTCTATATTTAACATATTGAGGAACTGCCCAAATGTTCTCCAGTGTTTCTGCACCTTTTTACATTCCCACCAGTAAGGTGGGTTCCAATTTCATCACATCCTTACCAACCTTTATTATTGGCTTTTTGATTATAGCTATTCTATTGGATGTGCAGTGGAATCTTATTGTAGTTTTGATTTGCATTTCCCTAATGAGTAAGGACATTGAATATCTTTTCATGTGCTTTTTCGCCATTTGTATATCTTCTTTGGAGAAATGTCTGTTCAAATCATTTGCCTGTTTTATGACTGGGTTATTCTTATCATTATTGTGTTATGTGAAGTTGCTTTTATATACTTTGGATACAGGTCTTTTATCAGATATATAATATTTTCTCTAATTTTATGGGCTGATATTCCAATTACTTGATGATGTTGTTTGACTCATAAAAGTTTTTAATTTTGATGAAGTCTAATTCATCAATTTTGCCTTTTATTGTTTCTGCTTTTGGTGTCACATTTAAGCAATCACTGCCTAACCTAAAGTTCCAACAGGTCACAGAGATTTACTTCTAAGTCTTTTTACAAGACATAGAAATTGGTTTAGTTTTTACAGTTAGGTCTATGATCCATTTTGAGTTTAGTTTGTATATGGCATAAGGGAGGGGGCTAAATAAAGCCTTATGCATGTGGATATTCAGTAATCTCAGCACATTTATTGAGGGGACTGTTTACCCCCATTGGCATCTTTATGGAAAATTAATTGACTATAAGTGTAAGTTTTTCTTTCTGGACTTTTAACTTTATTCCATTCATCAATGTGTCTATCTTCATGCCAGTACCACACTGCTTTAATTATTATAGCTTTGTAATAGGTTTTAAAATGGGAGAATGTGAGTCTTCTTTGTCTTTTTTTTTTTTTTTTTTTTTTAGCATTGATTTAGCTATTCTTGGTCCTTTGCATTTCTATAGGAATTTTAAGGTCAACGTATCAATTTCTGCAAAAAGAAAAATGGCCCCTTTTATTGATATTCCCTCTGTAGGGGTTTGGTATACCTCTCAGAGTCATATGCAATTTCCCCACCTCTGTCTCCTGCTAACTCAGCCCACTAAACTTATGCTGTAAGAACCCTCTGGTACATGGGGGACACCAGGGTTAGAATACCTTTTACCACCTTGTGTGTCCCTGTGAAATCATCTGAACTTTTCAGCCTCAGTTTCCTCATTCATAATATGAGAATGAGAATGCTTAATTCATGGGATGATTGTGAGAATAGAAAGTGATTCTGGATCTTCTGGATTCTGGCTTGGCATATGAGGAGCTTGAAAGTCGTCACTCCATTCTAACAATAAGTAAGAAGCTGAACAAATGGCACAGTCAATGATTCATTAGATCTGTTGGAAAAGTGAGGTAACTGAGCAAACAGCCTGCCTCCAAAGTAGAGAGACAGACAGGTAAATACAGAGAATCATGTGAGTAAAGCAGAAACCCATCAGCAGAAACCTCCATGGGAACCAGAGCCCAGGAAGGGAAACTTAACCTGCAATTGAAAAAGTGTTGGAGGCTCAATGTGGACAAGGCTGAGAGTTAAAAACTCCAGGGGGACCCAGTAATAAAGAATGCCCCTTCTCCTGATACTTGTGAGGTTTACCTCCAGGAACTTGATTGGGCTTTCACAGAAAAATCCTTTTGTGCTCCCGGCAGGGGGAGAAGAAAAGTAACCGTTTTGAAATATGTCAGAACATTCTGTTCTTAACAAGGACTGCCCTCAAGAGAGACAATTTTACAAGAGCCTAAACTACTGTGGTTTTTCTTTTTTTCATCTTTTTTGTTTTTGATTTTTTAGACCTTAGCCACTCTTGGGGAAAAAAAAATGCCCAACTCTATCTCCCATTAGCCTTCCATGTGAAGAAGAAAAATACCCAACGAACTCACTCACCATCCTGTCTCACATGGCCAGGAGGTGGGGGGCTACTAAGAAACACTTGTGAAGTTTACAGTCTAGAGACCTAAGCTGGCTAAAAGACTGAGACTTAATCATAGGACTATAGAATACTTCACCTCCCCCCCACACCTTACCACCACATTACTAAAGGCTTATTTATTTACCATAGATCCTTTTAATTAGAACATCATGTCTGGCTATCAAGAAAAAAAATTACAAGGCATACTAAAAGGCAGAAAAATACAGTTTGAAGAGACAAAGCAAGCATCAGAGCCCAATTCAGATAAGGCAGGGATGTTGGAATTATTAAAGCAGGCATTTAAAACAACTATGACTAATATGATAAGGGATGTGATAGATAAAGCAGACAGCATGCAAGAGCAGATGGGAAATGTAAACAGAGAGACAGAAATTCTAAAAATGAAATACCAGAGGTCAAAAAACACTATAACAGAAATGAAGAATGCTTTTGATGGGCTCATTAGTAGACTGAACATGGCTGAAGGAAACAATGTTTGAGCTTGAAAATGTCAACAGAAACTTCCAAAATGAGAGAGTGAGAGAGGAGGCAGTTAGAAGCCAGCTAGGTGGATATAGAGGGAGGGTCTCTGGAGAGGAAAAACACTCACAGGACCACATCTGCACCTCCCCTGCAGCTAGAAGAAAGAAATGTGGTAAAGAGCTTCCCCTAACGCCAGGATGTTTGCTCAGAAGGGACGGTCTCAACCCAGGTGCGGGTGCAATAAATCAACTTAAATATCCTTAACCTAGCTCATTATAATATCATTAACAAGAAATTAGCATTGTAGTTTTAGCCCTGCTGCGGGTTTCACTTAGGCACTCATGGGTAGTAACCAAGACAGAGTAGCTACGACCAACCCCAGGCATGTGCAGAGGCAACTTTACCCCTCCCCTTAGGGTAGAACCCACAGGAGCCTTCCTTGTCTTTGCCACATAAAAGATCGAGAACTTGCCTCATTTCTGGCAACCCTCTTCAGGTCTCCTCTCATTGCTGAGAGCTTTTCTGTTGCTTAATAAAACCCTGCTCTGCCTTAGCCACTCTCCAGTGTCTGTGTGCCTTATTCTTCTTGGTCGTGGGACAAGAACTCACACTTAGCTGAACTAAGGAACAAGAAAACTGCAACAGTAGCAAAGAGAAAAAAAGACTGGGAAAGAATTAGAGCACAATGTCCGGGAACTGTGTGGGCAACTACAGAAGAAGTAGCATGTGTGTAATGGAAATACCAGAAGCAGAAGAAAGAGAGAAAGAAACAGAAGAAATACTTGAAGAAATTCAACGCAGAATCTTCCTAAATTAATGTCAGAGAGGAAACCACAGATTCAGAAAGTTCAGAGAAGACAAAGCAGGCTAAATGCTCCCAAAAACTACACCTAAATATACCATATTCAAACTGCAGAAAATCAAAAGTGAATAACAAATCTTGTAAGAAGCTGGAGGAAAAAGGCACCTTAGTAAAGATAAGAAATACTTTCAGCAGTACCCTAATACCAAAAGCAGACAAAGACATTATAAGAAAATAAAACAGACATTATAAGAAAAGACATTATAAGAAAATAAAACAGACCAATATATGTTCTGAACATAGATACAAAAATCCTCAGTAAAATATTTGCAAAGCAAATCCAACAATATATAGAAAGAATTACACACCACAACCAAGTGGGGTTTATCCCAGGTAGAAAGGCTTGTTCAGCATTTGAAAATCAACCAATTTAATCCGTCACATCAATAGGCTATAAAAGCAAAATCACATGATCATATTAGTAGATGCCAAAAAGCTATTTGACAAAATCCAACACTCATGATAAAAAAGAAAGAAACCTCTCAGCAAACTAGAAATAGAAGGAAACTTTCTCACCTTGATAAAGAACATCTACAGAAAACCTACAGAGAACATACTTAATGGTGAGAAACGTACTTAACGGTGAGAAAATTTCACACTAAGATCAGGAACAAGGCAAGGATGTTCCCTCTCACTACTTTTTTCTTTTTCTTTTTTTTTTTTTTAAAGATGGAGTCTTGCTCTTGTTGCCCAGGCTGGAGTGCAATGGCGTGATTTTAGCTCACTGTAACCTCCAGCTCCTGGGTTCAAGCGATTCTCTTGCCTCAGCCTCCCAAGTAGCTGAGATTACAGGTGCCCGCCACCATGCCCAACTAATTTTTGTATTTTTAGTAGAGACGAGGTTTCACTATGTTGGCCAGGCTGGTCTCAAACTCCTGACCTCAGGTGATCCACCCGCCTCAGCTTCCAAAAGTTCTGGGATTACAGGCATAAGCCACGGCACCCAGCCGTCTTTTTAAGTATCATTCTGAGAGTTGTAGCTAATGCAAAAAGACAAAAATAAAAAAGGAAATAAAAGTTCTACTGATTGGGAAGAAAGAAAGAAGAACTATCTTGTTTGCAAACAACATGATTATCTATGCAGAAAATCCAAAGGAATCAACAACAACAACAAAACTCTTGGAACTAATAAGCAATTATACAGCAAGTTTGTAGGATACAAGGTTAACAAGAAAGTTGATCACTCTCCTATATGTCAGCAATGAACAACTGGAATTTGAAATTAAAAACATGGTACCATTTACATCACCACCCCTCAAAATAAAATGCTTATGTATAAACCTAATGAACTATGTGCTAGATCTTTATGAAGAAAACTACAAAACTCTGATGAAAGAAATCAAAGAAGAACTAAATAAATGGAGAGATATTTCATGTTATTGGATAGGAATACTCAATAATGTCAAAATGTCAGTTCTTCCTAATTTGATCTTTAGATTCAATGTAATCCGAATCAAAATTCTGCAAGTTATTTTGTGAATGTTGACACAAACTGATTCTGAAATTTTTATGGTTACTGTATGTCGTATCATAATTTGAAGTCAGGTAACATGATGCCTCCAGCTTTGTTATTCATGCTTAGTATTGCCTTGGCTATTGGAGCTTTGAGCTCTTTTTTTGGTTCTATATGTATTTTAAAATAGTTTTTTTTTCTAATTTTGTGAAGAATTTCATTGTTAGTTTGATAGGAATAGTACTGAATATTTAAATTGCTTTGGGCAGGATCACCATGATAGCAATATTGATTCTTCCTGTTTATGAGCATGGATATCCATTTGTTTGTGTCATCTCCAATTTCTTTGAGCAGTGTTTGTAATTTTTTTTTTTTTTTTTTTGGTAAAGATCTTTCACCTCCCTGGTTAGCTGTATTCCTAGGTATTTTATTCTTTCTGTGGATTGTGAATGGGATTGCATTCTTGATTTGGCTCTCAGCTTGGAGGTTGTTGGTGTGTAGAAATGCCATTGATTTTTGTACATTAATTTTGTATCCTGAAAATTTGTTGAAGTTGTTTATCAGACCGAGGAGCTTTTGGACAGAGGTTGTGGGTTTTCTAGGTATAGAATCATATTGCCTGCAAAAAGAGATAATTTGACTTCCTCTCTTCCTGTTTGGATGCCTTTTATTTTTTTCTCTTGCCTGATTGCTCTGGCTAGGACTTCCAGTACTATGGTGAATAGGAGTGGTGAGAGGGGGCATCCTTGTCTTGTTCCGGTTTTCGAGGATGATACTTCTGGCTTCTGTCCCTTCAGCATGATGTTGGCTGTTGGCTGTCATAGATGGCTCTTATTATTTTGAGGTATGTTCCTTCAATGCCTAGTTTGTTGAGGGTTTTTAACATGAAGGGATGCTGAATTTTATTGAAAGCCTTTCCTATATCTGTTGAATGATCATGTGTTTTTGTTTTTAGTTCTGTTTATATAATGAATCATATTTATTGATTTGTGTATGTTGAACCAACTTTGCACCCCAGAGATAAAGCCTACTTGATCATGGTGTATTAGCTTTTTGATGTGCTACTGGATTCAGTTTGCTGTATTTTGTTGAGGATTTCTGCATCTATGTTTATCAAATACATTGGCTTGAAGTCTTCTTTTATTTCTATGTCCTACCAGGTTTTGGTATCAAGATGATGCTGGCCTCATAGAATGAGTTAGGAAGGAGTCCCTCCTCCTCAATTTTGGAAGAATATTCCATACTTATCGATAGGAGAAACCAATATTTTTTAAATGGCCATACTGTTTAAAAGAAATGTACAGATTCAATGCGATTCCTATCAAACTAACAATGACATTCTTCACAAAATTAGAAAAAAAGCTAGTTTAAAATACATATGGAATCAAAAAAGAACTTGAATAGCCAAGGCAGTCCTAAGAATAAAAAATAAAGCTGGAGGCATCATGTTGCCCAACTTCAAACCATACTACAAGGCTACAGTAACCATAAAAAATTTAGAATCATTTGTCCAACCCCATAGAACGTATAAGAGTGAACTCTAATGTAAACCATGGACTTTGCATGACAATGATGTGTCAATGTACATTCATTGACTATGACAAATATACCGCTCCAGTTTGGGATGCTGACTAGGGGCAGCCTATGTATATGCAGGAGGAGTGGGTATACACAAAATCTCTCTACATTCTGTTCAATGTTCAGTGTTGCTGTGGTAGCATGTGGTGATGTCCCATATGTGAATCTCCCTTCAGAATCCTGATGAAGTCGGAAGTTGATTCCACTCCTGCTGGGGGTCCATTTCTCCCATAACCTGAACAAAGAGAGCTTGAGCAAGGAATTAAGCTGAAACACCTGGGCTTGTAGCAATGAACCTATTCTTCCTTTATTTCTT
This sequence comes from Homo sapiens, assembly GCF_000001405.40. Classification (NCBI taxonomy): domain Eukaryota; kingdom Metazoa; phylum Chordata; class Mammalia; order Primates; family Hominidae; genus Homo; species Homo sapiens. Next base: position 75,487,497 of record NC_000018.10, read on the forward strand.
CTATACATCCTTTCTCGTAATACATCCACTTAGATGTATTTTTTTTCGGTTATCTCTTCTATTTAGTCAGCCATTTCCCTGACTTCAGCCCACTGGAAATCATTCCTATACAATTAATGACGATATATTTTAGCCATATAAATGAAATCACATTTTTGTTTTGTTTTTCTTTTTGTCTGGGGATATTAAAATATCCCCAGTCGACTATTCAATAGTCGACTGAAGCATCAGAAATCAATTTGCATTAGTCAGGATACTGTGAGAGTGTTTGGGTATAGCTGTTGACAAAATTTATGTCAAATAGCAAGATAGGAATTATGATACCTGCATTTATTTCTGTTCCAGTCATTATTGAATAGTGATATGACAAATATGCTGCCGAACTTTTCCTACAACTGATAATAACCCAAGTAGCTAATGATATCAAAAGTGCCCACTAGCATTCATAGCTTATAGACGTGGGGTTCCAGGCTCATTCTCTTCTGATAATGGGATAGGTAAAGAATAGATCAAGAGGCCAAGTTAGATAATTTTAAGGAGCATTTGGTTTACATGTGGTTGAAGTACACAACCAGGTTAAAATCCTGATAACAACAACAATAGTAACATCCAGAACAATAATGGATGTAACAAAAAAAATTATGACCTGAGCCAGACATTCCTTTCCCTGTGGTACATCATGTAATTCTCACATTCTCAAAGGTCTGTGTCTAGGCAGGAACCAATGTGGCTGGGCTCCATTCATTCCCAGTAACGCAGACACCCCTGCAGGGAGTGGGACCTCGCACAGTGATAGATCCTGGGGTGCTGGGTGATGGATCTATTACTTTGGTACAATCTAAGTGATTGATTTTAAGTTAGATTGATTTAGATTGATTCCCACGGTCTTCACCCCCACCCCGCCCCCCAACAAGCTTTTTTTTTTCTTGTCACTGTTGGGTTTCATTATTACTATTTGATATTTTAATGTTTGAAGTCATCATGGAACCTACAGTCTTGTGGGGCAAGAGTGACCAGTATGTAAACAAATGCATAAGACAAGGTTAATGACAAGAGTGACACTGAAGCCGGACACATTTCTCCACAGCCTACTCTTGCTCTCCCAACAGCTACTTCTGTGTTTGGATCAAGGCAAACAAGAGAAGTATCTTTGAAGACTTTTCTTTAATGTAGTATGGGCTGTAACTCTCTTTGCCTCTGCCTTCTCTGTCTTTTTTTTTGTTAGTTTTGTGATAACATTTATTGTGTGTGACTTTGATGCTGTCTCCAGAAAAATGTGCCAAAATTTATGGCTTGCTAGTGATGTCTCTGTTCTCTATCTTGTTTTGAATTTGGTGGGATATTGGGCGAAAAGGGTAAAAAATGAGTGCACTTACTCTGCTATTTTGATCCAGATGGGGTACATCCATCTTTGCATTCTTATCAATTTTTCCCCCTTAGGATCAATTACTAAAAATGGAATTTCCAGGTCAAAGGGATGAGCTCTCTAAAAGTGTTTGATACATATTGCTAAAATGTTCTCCATAAAGGTTATATCAATTTATTTTCTCGAGGTATGATGTGGTATGAAGTATGATTTCTTACACTTCTGCATCAACGCCGTGTGTTCTCTTAAAAAGGGTTTTCACCAAACTCTTACGTAAATATCTCGTTATTATCTGCATTTATTTCATTGTTTGTGAAATTGATCACATGTAACATATTTTAAAATCATTTATAAATGTCCTTTTCATATTATTTGCACATTAAAAAATTATGGCTTAGTGGACTAAAATAAAAATTGTATTGTCACAAAATGTTTTTCTGGGTTTGAAGTTCACTCTTAAAGTTTCTTTGGATGGATTATTTTGTCATTCATTTATTTAAAAGTACTTATTGGTCTCCTTCTGAATGGAAGCAGAATGCTAAGATGCCCCCAGCATCCCCACCCTCTAGACAGGTTCTGGATAATCGTCTCCCCTGGAGTGTGGGTGGAGCTTGTCACCCTCACATAATTTTGCTCCCGTAAATATTTTATGGCAAAGTGAAGGGCTTTTGCAGATGTATTTAAGGTTCTTAATTAGTTGACTCAGTCTGGGTTGGCCTGACATAATCAGGTAAATCCTTTAAAAGAGAGCTCAGGCCTTCCCTGAAGAGAGATTCTAAGTAATAGATTCTCCTGCGGCCTTGAAGAAGCAAACAGCCGTGTTTGAATTGTCTGCAGAGAGGGACACGTAGTGAGGACCTGAGAGAGACTCCTGGGAAGCGAGGGGTTCCTAGATGACAGCTGGTAAGAAAATGGGGGCCTTGGCTAGACGACAGGGATGTGAATTCTGCCAACCATCTGCGGGAACTTAGAAGTGGGTCTTTTTTCTAGTGCAGCTTCAGGATGAGGATCAGCCAGGCAACACCAAGATTTCAGCCTGGGGAAATGCTGAGCGGAGGCCCTAAGTGGAATGCATCAAATTCATGACTCACAAAAATCGTGAGATAGTAAATTTTTGTTCTTTTAAGGCATTCAGTCTGTGGTAATGTGTTACTCAGCAGTGGAAAATGAACACACCCTGTATGACAAGCACCAGTGGTACTCCCCGACTTGAAAGAGATGCGTCTCATCGGAGCCATGGCCTTTACGGCTTTGGCTTTGATGTCATGTTTGAAGACACTTTGTCCTCACTCCAAACTTTTGTAATTATTTACCCCATAATTTATTATTATTTTTATAGTTTCACTTTTACATGAATATCTTAAAATTCAACTGGAACTTATTTTCCTTGAAGGTATAAGACATCTAACGTTTTTTTTCCCTTTGCAATTAGTCTGTTGTCTGAAGAACATTTTTTGAATAAACCACCTACTCCTCATTGATTTGGCAAGTATCTTGGTTTAGAAGTACAGTCACTTATTTCTAGTAAGATATTATTTATGAAATACCAATTTGGGCCATGGGTTAAGAACGGTTTAGTGCTGATTACTTCATTATTATAAATTATGACCCAAGAGACAATGCAAGGAGCATAAAGATATAGTCATATTATCCCTTGCATTTGACATCTTGCTTTTTTTGTCCAGGTAACCATATATTTGAAATGGTTTTGTATGAACCAACTAACTAAAATAAAACACTTTTAACCATTGGCTAAAGTGATTTCAATTGTATAGGTTGCTTACATTTTCTAAAAAAGACGTTTTCCTTCAAATCAACAGCAAGAATGATTAAAACCTGGTGTATATTTTTAATAATGTGTGACTAGACTATAAATTCTTTGAGGACAAGGACTATGTCTGAATCATGCATTTGTTTCTAGTATCTAGTACAACCATGTTTAATAGTATTAGCTTAATAATTTCTAAATGACTGAATTATTTTAGCTATACTAATGCTGCTATGAATTTTATAGTGCTGGTGTATGCATTATTTTCTGTTAATCAGTGATGGTAAGAATGCAACCAAGTAAAACAGTCAATTTGGACTTTAATCATTAAAAATAAATACATTTGTTTAAAATTAAATTTAAGCATTCTTGTACAAAATAATTCTTAGAGCTCTTTAAGATAGTCTTTGATACTTTTTGTTTTGTCAATGAGTAGATCTCACCGTTGTCTAGCATATCAAACTCACCTTCCTTACCTTACGTGGCTCTAATTCTTTCCTACATTGCTTATCATTATCTCTATCCCCTTTCTTTGTCTCTGTCTGTCTTTAATCAATCTAGTCTTCAGTATTGTCTTGGTGGGAAAATTCTCCGAAATATTATCCTGAAAACTTTTAGAATCAAGAGATTTTACAATGTACACTCTGTAAACAAAAACAGTATGATGAATTATATATTCTGAATACCAATGGGCTGACATTTCCAAAACAAATATTAAAATATTAATGGAGCTGTGTTTTGTGTCTTCCTCTATATCAAATGCAATTGTGTTTTTGTTGGACACTACTCTTTATTTTCCTGCGCAAGTCATCTTTTATCTTTGCAGGGCTGAATATGAGTCTAAAGGTGTCCACTTGCTTATTAATGAGGAAAATGTACTGAGAAAGAGGAAGAAGCATTCAAAATTTTGGGAATGTTTTGTGGTTTGTGGTGGGGCATGATGCTGGTGAGGAGGAGCGACCAAAGGAATGAGCATTCGTTGAAGATGCCTTCAGATGGCTTATGATTTTACTTTCTTTTTTATCTGTGCCAAATAAATACGTGTATTATTTATGGGGAAAAGTGGGAAAATGGGGACAGGTTCAAAAATATGTTCGATTACTTACTTTGCTTTTTTTTGTAAGCACAAAAGTCATTAAGTAGGCTGGCATTGGTTGTTGTGGAATATTGGCCCTACAAGTAAGTGGGATGGTTTAGAATACACATTAGTAATAAACCTAGGTTTGTTACAGTCAGCATTTCTCAAGCCTGTTTGACCACAGACCATATATTTTTCAACACATCTGTTAGTATTCTCTGGGTCCAGTGTTCCAGGATATATAACTTCCTGGAATGCAGGTATACAGCAGACCTGCACCAAACTCAGAGTCCATCCCTGATAATGCAGTTTCCCTTGTGTGTGCACAGCGTATACAGACATGTACACACCTCTCACGAGGAGAGTTTGGAGTCCTGTTTTAAATACTTCTTAGTAAATAATTTTCTCTGGCTTTTATTTTTGAAATATTTCCACAAATGTCCTTATATTTGCAAAATTGTCCTCGACAGACATCCTCACTCTATTTGATCACCCCTTTTTCACCCTGTTGTGGGAGAAAGGATCCCCCACTCTAAACAGTAGGAGATGGCTGGACACATGACACCCAAGACCCGATGGGGAAAATTAAACAGAAGTTTATTAATTAAACCTACTCAGGGCCCCAGGAGAAGACATTGCACACAACACAGGGCCACGCAGGGACTGCACTCAACAGCAGAGACTCCAGCAGAACAAGCAGGGGCTTTGTAGTAACAAGAGGTGGGGTGCCCCCTGGTTTCCGTGGGGAGGTGGGATTGTGTGCAGAACTCTGTGCACTGGCAGGGAAGTGAAACCTGTTAGTTCAGTGGGGGGACCAGTGGGGTGGGGCTCTTTCAGTTGACAGGGGAATTAGTTGGATGGGGTCTTTCTCATTGTGTGGGGGCCTTTCTGGCCAGAGCAGGGATGCTCATGGTTAAGCTTCTGGGGCCCCAGGAGGCTTAGAGATGCCAGGGCAGCACATGAATTCTAGGCCTTCCAACGCCACCTCCTGCAAGTGCCTCAAGGTCTGTGTTTGGTGTGTTCTGGGTGCGGCTGGGCAGCTCGCCTCTCCTTATCCATGGCAGATGCCTCTGACCCATGGCGTCAGCTTCTCTCCGTATCAGATCTCAGTGTCGATTCACTTGGTATTCAAAGCCAGATTGATTTTTATCCAACATAGCATTCTGGTACTCCCCTGGTGTGGCTCCTTGCTATTGCAATTGATGGTGGCTATTATACTTGATTCATTACATGCCATTGATCTTCGAAATTTTGATTAATGACAGGGAAACCTAAAAAGTTCAGAGTTTGGCTTTGGTTCAAATGAGCACCCGGAAGTTCAAATGCTTAATTCAAACTAAGACTCTTGGATAAGTAAATGTGGTTATGCAAAATTAGTCTGAAAAATCTCCTGGAAACAGTCCCTCTCTTGGAAATTTCTGGTATTTCCTTCTACTTAGGCCATGGACCATAAATACTATGAAGACTTTTTCTTTCTTTTGTTCTGCTCACTTACTGCTGGCCATAGCCCAGGTTCTTAGGTTTTTGGGAATAGGTAGCAAATCATGGGGAGAGTTCAGGGTGGCATTGTTAGATCACCAGCAGTGCATGCATTTCCCATGCACCTGGGCATACAGAGACACAAGCCCATCAGGTCCCAGGGTTCAGAGTAGAGATACCTGTTTTTCCCTGGAAAACTGACTTCTTTTTCAGATCCATGAGAGCATGCTAATACCATGTGAATAAACAAGTGTCACCTAGACAAAGCAACGAGTTGACAAATGACAGTGGGAGAAATTCCCTCCAAAACGTACAGTTAACTCTTCTCAGCTCTCCTTGCTTAATTCAGCCAGGCAGCCCTGAGTAACAGAGGGTCTGAGGGCTGCACTAAAGGCCGGTGGAGATGCTAGCTCTCAGGTCCACAGGGAAAGACTCTCCAGAGAAAGGGCTCTTGAATGAGGACATTCGAGGACCTTACCTACTCCAACCTTACCTCCCAATACAGTCCCTCTAAATTCAGTCTGAGGGTTCACTTGGCATGCTGACAGTTTTGGGAGGTACCAGGCTAGATATGGCAGAATACAGTTCCATGAGGCTCATCCGGAACTGATGCCAATCTATGGTTTGTTTCTAGTCAGTGACTCATTTCAATTTCTTTGAGAACACAATGTATAAAACAATGTGTTCATTATAATGAGAGATTCTATTTGGATTTGGATTATCCTGAGAATATTTAGAAAAACCAAATTAAAACTTCTGACATTGGATGTGTGCATGTGTTTTAGGTAAGTTGCAGATCCCAGGAAACATTAAAATAAGCACTGAGCATCAACTCTGCAGCTCAGAATTCTGGGAGAGATTTCGCTCAGGTCTTCACTCTGGGCGGACAGCTCATCTGGATGTTAATGATGGCTTGTTCACACCTGGACATAGCATAAGAGACCTGCTAATTATTCATGCTGTCCCAAATTACAAAACTATTGTAAGTAAAACAAAACCCAAAGCCTCCAGTGTCTGAAGAGTGAAAAAGGAGACCCCATTCGAACAGCACACATTATTATGGTATTTATAATATTGTTACATAATAACCAAGTTAGGGTTCAAATTTTTAATTAAACAATAAAACATAGTAACTTTGGATTTTAGTTACATGTTCTTTTAGTAGAAAAGACACAAATGTATTACTCCACTATCAATTCGTAAATTGATTGACTAGAGAGTTATTATGAAAGACCAGTAGAAAATTTTGTTACATTGACTTTATTTAATAACTTAGTTTTAATAGTTTTGAATTTAAAAGTTAATGTTTAAAAGCCATATATTTCTAGTTTATTATTTTTATAAGCATAACGATTTAGAATTTTCTTTCTCAATATATATTATATGTTTATTTTGTATGAAAGTATAATAATTTTTAAGTATAAGGGCTTCGGAAGTTAACACACGGGCAAGCACCTAAATAGAGATTTCCATGCTACTTATTCGGTGGGTTCTGTTCAATTATGTTGATATCATTTTGATTAATTTATTAGACTTTTCCTTTTTCTTAGGTCTTTCCATGGTAGAATTTATTTCAGTAAGTGGATTCTTACTAGATTGACATGTAGCCATTTTTTACACAAAATTCTGCCCTATCAGGTGCTAATATGGAACGTGGATAGTAAATATTAATGTTTTCTAAAACTCTCATCTCTGTCTCTCTACATCTGAACCTTTAAGATGCATTGGTGTCAGTGGAGGAATTGTGTGACCTTACTTGCTTTCGTTTAGAACGCTTGTTTCCCTACCTAACACGACTCACAGTGGCCTTGTGATTAGCACTTGCATGTGTATCTGCAGTGAGTTCAGGCAGGTCCCCTGGTGCTCAGGAAAGCTTGCTTTGCCTTGCACCCATGCAGGGGTCTCGCTTCAGCCAATTGCCCTTTGGCCCTGCCTTTCTTGCTGACTTTTCCGGGTACTGACCTGGCAAGCAGTGGACGTCCAGGCAGGAAAGAAGCTGCGAGAAAAACACACAGGAAGGAGCCCTCTGGGTGGAGGCAATGTCACCAAATACGAGTAGCCCCTTTAAAATGGAAAATGTGGTTTCTCCAATGTAACTTTCAGAGTAAAATTTAAACGTGAAGAAATAGATGGCTTAGATAGCAACTACATCCTTGTTTCCAAGCTATTCCCTGGAAGTACCGATGGCTTTTAAAAAAGTATATTTTTATTTTTGCCTCTGAAAAGCCACTTCTTATTCCGGCAGTGCATAAAAGTCACAGATTACATTTGGAAAAGAAAAATGAAATTTGAAAAAGAGGTTTTTTTTAAGCTGTCACAGCCAAATAGAGGCCACATGCGTTTACACAAGGGAGTGAATCATTTTATTTTCACAAACACAATTACTATTTTTGTTTGTTTGAGATGGAGTCTTACTCTGTTACCCAGGCTGGAGTGCAGTGGCACAATCTCGGCTCACTGCAACCTCCACCTCCTGGGTTCAAGCGATTCTCCTGCCTCAGCCTCCTGAGTAGCTGGGATTACAGGCGCCCGTGACCACGCCTGACTAATTTTTGTATTTTGAGTAGAGACAGGGTTTCACCATGTCGGCCAGGCTGGTCTCAAACTCCTGACTTCAGATGATCTGCCTGCCTTGGCCTCCCTAAGTGCTGGGATTACAGGCATGAGCCACCACACCCGGCCCACAATTACTATTTTGAAAACAGCATCGTGTAGACCACCATTGCACTAAATCAAGTGACACTCCTGAAATACATGATGGGTGAGTCTGTAGCAGCTTTGTTTGTGCAATGCTGCGTTAAAAGAGCTGTAGCTCACACAGTGAGCTTTTTATATTCTCCTGGAGGGTCTCTAAAGAGAGGAAAAATAGAATTGATCAAGAATTTGGTGTCTAAATATTTTAACTCTTTGTAGAAGCCAACGTAGTATGAATATTCTTAACTTTGGTAATTCGGTAAAAACATTTGGTAATAGTTTCCAGGAAACTTAAAGTGTTTTCAGAAAACGTAGATGCCAGTAATGGGGAATTGATTAGATAGCTGAGGAGCCACACTCAAGAAATGGTTCTAGGTGCCACGAAAGCCATAATTTTACAGATGATTTACAGCCTAAGAAGCAGGAAGATGGTATACCGGATGACTTCAGCTCCTTTCAACCATGACTGTGGGAGGGAATTCAGCAGAAAAGGCTTCCAGGGGCAGAAAGCAGGCATGGAAAGGCTGAGCCTCTCCCTCCTCCCAGCTCTCCTTTCCTCTCCACCCCTTCGACGCCCCACCTCCCACCTGATGCACCGTTGAAATGTACGTCTGTTTTGACACTTCTGGAGTCATTGCTACAACTTTAACCCTGACTGTCATTCCAAAGCTCAAAAAATGTGTTTATCCACTGATTCTGGGTTGAGACTGTGAGTTTGGATTAACAGCAATAGGAGATGAATGAGCGACATCTCTAAACCTCACAGCACCCTAAGGCGCTCCATGTATTCATATTTCTAATGACCAGTGTATATGTGGTTTTGTCTAATAAAATACTTACCTATATCTTTCCATAAACAGCTGTTTTGCTTCTAAAAAGGTGTGGTAGAAATGAAAAACCCAGCTCCCCTTGACGGGATGGCTGGCCTAGTGTAAAGCAGTCCCTGGCTAGCTTAGTCTCTGAGCAATGGGTCTCCATTAGTGTTTTCTGTGATTCTAAGGATTTGGCTCATGCTGTGTGTTTCTTAACTGACATTAGTCACATCTACCCTTACACAGTGAGTCTGTTTTATGTAATTTCACATTAAAAATTCAGGGTGCTAGAAGGAATTGTCTTGGTTTGGTTTCCTGATCATCATGGATTCTCCCAGAATTTCTCCTCTCCCTTTCAACTACTATATAAAAGTTTCTTTTTCCAGCATCAGTGTGACAGTGAACTCTGCCACAGAATGATTTGCATAGGAATTATTACACTCAAACCTTGAAACAAAGCTGAGGGAGCTTAAAATATCACTTCCAGTACCTGCTATCACATGTATATAATTAAAAACCAAACATTTCTTTTTTTCATATCACTGATAGAACAAAACAACATAGTGTAGATCCAGTTTGTTAGAAACCGCAGAAGATGGTCACACACCATTGCATTAAGCCTTTGTCCTGCTAAGAAAACTTTATATATAATAAATATAAAGTATAAAAGACAACCTGGGTTAAAGAAACAAATCCAGGAGCTGTTTTCCAAAGTCATCTGGGCCATATTCCTGCAGACAGGAGGGTCTCCCTCTCAAGCTGGTATTTCTGTCTCCAAGGAAGAAATGCCCCTCCACATATTTGAGAGTGCATTTAGGTGCAATAACCTGGACTAGATAGCCCTTGGATGAAGGATAATGGAATTGTTTTGTATGATCTGAATTTAGAAAAAGGACCACATACCTCATCTTTAATAAGAAGAAAAGCAACGATAGGTTTAGTTTTGTACTACAACGTAACAGAAAGATCTTCTAACAATGTCCTGCGGCTTTCTGGTTTCTCCAAGCAGGAAGTGTTGTCTGGGAATGAGAGCTACTCTGGACATTGCATTTGACTCATTTAGGCTGCTACCCACTTAAAGCATCTTTCTAATCAAAGCAGAGTCTGGGATTAAAGGGACTAAAAAAGCCATCAGTCCACCTGACTCAGTGTCTGAATCCACAGAAAAATTTGCCAAGTTTAGATACTAGAGCAGAGATTGTTTATACATTACAAGTTGTCTGAATTGATAAGTTATAAAGGAATTAGTAAGATGTAAACAACTTCACTCAGGTTCCCCCTCCCACCTCACTGAATACGTAGTGAAGATTGAATCGTCGTAAGTTGTCTCAAGAATAGATTTCATTACAATGTGAATTTGAATGGTGTGACTGATTTATGGTACTGCTGATTTAGAGCTTTTTTATATTGCTCGGGTGGTCCGTCTGGCTAGCTTTCAAATTCAAAGTTTTATCTTTACTTTGGTTTGTGTGAGCTACTTTATTCCTGGAACATCAAAGGTAACATTTTAATCAAAAATAAAGGAAAACAGTATCATGTGATTTCTATACAAATAAAAAAAAGAAAGAAAGGCATATTCATCAACATAAAAGTCAATACTAAGAGAAAACTGGAACTTCCTAGCATTCACGCATTTTAAGAGAAAAAGAGAAGACTTTTAGAAAGAAAAGCTTTATGAAATAAACATACTTGAGAATATTAAAGAAACAAAGCTTTACCAATGAGCTAGGAAAAATTTAAGATTATAAATAAAATATATTTTGTGAAACTGAGATTAAGAAAGTAGAATGTGACTTTATTCACTTTTCTAGGTCTTTCAAATACTAAGCAAATTTTATTTCTATATTCATTCATATAAGGTCAATATTAAATTATATTCTATTTTCAATTCATTTATGAGTGTGTGAGTGTGTTTCGTGGGTAAAATGTGGTATTGCCAATATTGAACTCATGTAATTCCTTTAGTGGTTTTGGAAGTTTGGGACGGATAAAGTAATTGCTACTTTAAAATTGAATTTAAAACTTAAATTTGCTTGAATTTAAAATTGCTTGGTGCAGTGTCTTCCTTTAGAAATGGCTTTCTAACTAGAGTTGTTGTCATCCAAAAAAGAAGGTGCGCAATGCCATATTCGAGTGTTTGAGGCTGCAGAAATTCACAAAATATTGGCCTGAGGTTTGAATTAATAAGACCAGTGAACACATTTTTAATCACATTATTTGCCTGACCTTGGGTAACAGATTCCTAAAAACATAGCCTTAATGTTAAGTTTGTTTCTACTTGGGGGAATAGAAAAAAAAAGTTAGCATTTACACTTTTTATGAAAAATCCAATGTAAATCATTTTGAAACAAAAAGTGGGATAAAGACTTACAGTTAAATGAGGCGATGCTTGCATAACATTTCATAAATGTCACGTCTTTATTCTCATGAATGACCTTCTAATCAATAGGTTTACAGTTCTGACCAGTTTATAGATTCCACATTTTTCTGCTGGGGAGCTTCATGAATTGATGATGGGTGACCTAGTTTTTTATAAGAAGATCCAGGGGGCTCCCTTTGTGCTCCCATCCAGAGGCTGTGAGCCTCTGAGCCACTCAAGTACTCATACCAGTACGGTCAGCTGCAAATTGTAATTGGTAATTTACACACTGATATCTCCAGAAAAAGTACTGACAAGAGGTTTTAAATCCAAAATATTAATACTTCCTTGCTGATAAAAGCACTAAGAGGAAGAGGAGAAGAAGATGATGAAGAAACAAGAGGAGGATGAAGAGGATGAGGAGGAGGAGGTGGAGGAGGAGGAGAGGATGAAGCAGAAGAAAGAGGAGGAGGAAGAGAGGGAAGATGAAGGAGTAGGAGAAGGAGAAGGGAGACGATGTAAACCTTTCTGAATGTCATGTAAGATTCTACTTGGCTTTCAGTGAAAAACATTGTATGTTAATTTTGCTAGGTGAATAAACATAGCTTTGCTTACATGTGTCTTTTCATCTAGTTATAGAGTGTCACTTCTTGAAGGAGGTGAAGAGATGAATAAGGAACTTCACACAATTGAGGTCCTAGAACCAAATAACACCATTAAACTGTGCAATTGCAAAAGCTGCTTATAATGCTTTCTGTAAGTTATGCTTCTAAAAATATATTTTGCAGATGTCTCCAGGTATTGTATTCTTTATAATAGCAGTCATAACTCTTTTCTTCTATATCTAAATCATTACATCAAGGATGTAGTTACCATTGAGCTTTGGGGAGCACTGAGGGGTCCAATGCTTTGCTACTCAAAGAGTGGTCATTGGACCAGCAGCAGCAGCAGCAGCAGCAGCATCCAGGAGCTTGTTAAAAACAGAGACTGTTAGGCCCTTCCTTTCTCTGTGGAAACAGAATATGTGTTTTAACAGGGTTCCTTTTGGGTGATTCATGAGCTCATCAATGTTTCAGAAACACTGATTTTACTTTCTTCTGTATCTTCCCAAGCAGGAATATATCCATGCATAGATAGGCATTAATAATGAGAGTTTAAATGAAGAAACCAAGCCATCTTATTGGAGTGTTTAAGATGCACATGCTCTGTTTCCAAGTCATGAGGTTGTTTTGTTATTTATGTGGAGCCATAAAACACAATAGGATTTTAAAGTCTATTTATATGCATAAAGCTGGCATACATAGTCTCAAATCAATGCATTTATTTTCATTATCCTTGCATAATAGCCAATAACCCATAAATTATCAATCCTGTCATCACAACTTTTGCAAATCCTAAAATTGAGCATAATAAACTTTTTGGATGATTAAAATGTTACCCTAATTATTTATAACAATTAATTTTATCTCCAGCTCTTGGATTCTATTTGATCTGCCTTTACACATAGTTGTTAAGAAAATCATGCCAGTATGTTTGCACATGAACATCTGAATCAGAATATATCCAAATCCACTGGATTATTTCAACTCTTGACAATAAATCCCAGTTTCTGTGTGTGTTACATAGCAATTCCTATGACTCAGAAAGGCGATTTGACTAGATCTGCTGTTACAGCAGAGACCTAGCAAGAAGACGAGAAAGCTCAGTGGTGGAAATGTAAACACATTGTTGATGAGGTTACATTAGGCTATTTAAAACATTATTTAAGTACAGAGAAGAGATATCTGCCATACTGCAAGACAACTGAAAATTCTTATTGATGGATGACTTGAAAGAAAGCATGGACTGAAACCAGGGATCAGAAAGTCAAAGCTATAAGGATCCACTTAAGTTAAAACAACTGCATATTTACAACAGTCCTTCTCTCTCCTCATATATGCAAGAGCACTAATGGGATCTGAGACCTTTTTTTTCATGGCCAATTGTCTTTCAGAATTGCCAGATTTTTAATTCTCTGAGATAGTTTAGACATAAGCCTACATTAAATAAAAAATGGCAATCCAATTAAAATATGTAAACTATTTGTAAATGTTTATTTCTTTTTGCTAAATTTAATCAATGTACTACCAAAATAACTGGTCATTGATGTATTGCAAAGTAGAGAAAGAATAAGGCATTGGGTGTGTATTTATTTTTGCTGTTGTTCAAAGGGTGGCTCTTTAAGAAGCTAAGATTGTAAGAGCAGGTAGAAAAAAGGTGAACAATGTTTAATTGTCTTCTTGTTTTCTTTTTAGAATTGAGCAAATAGCTGGCATTCAATCATTAGCTATTAATTGGACTACACCTCTTAGCCTAGTTCCTACTGTTGCTAAATAGCCACAGAAGTCCACTGGACAGGGAAGGCAATGCAGCTTAATGCCTAATTATGCAGGTCATTTTTGTCCAAATGCTAGCTTCTGTGCTGTGGGAATAGGAAACAGCTTCTTGCATTCTGTAAGCCATATTTTTTCTCTCATCTGTAAGATGGGCTTACACCTACGTCAAAGGGTTATTTTATTTTAAGAATTAAAAATTACGTGTAAGAGTACTGAATATGATGCCTGGGATGCAGAAGGCCTCAATATACAACAATGCTTTTATTATTGCCGAGGTTGCAATGGAAAACTACCAGTACTATCTTTCCCTTCTCAGTGCTCAAGGTGCTGGGAGTAGCAAAGACAGATAGATGGTGGAGAGGGGAAGCTGCATGGATAAAGGTACCATAACTGTTGCTCCAGAAGTAAACCCTTGCCTTTATTATTTGTTCACATGCTCCCAGCATGTATGGGTCAGCAAGGGAAACTGCATGTAAACATGTTGCTGTCTCTTTGTAACCCCAGGAGCCACATCATATGCCACCTTCCATTAAGGTTTACTTTCAATAGCTAAATTCTGGCATCCTCTAGCTACATTAAGAGTAAATAGGGTCCTTGAGGTTCATCCATATTGTTGCAAATGTCAGGATTTCCTTTCTTTGATAAGGTTGAGTAGTATTCCGTTGTATGTATACACCATGTCTTGTTTATCCATTCATCTGTTGGGCATTTAGGTGGATTCCATATTCAGGCTGTTGTAAATAGCGCTGCAGTAACATGGGAGTACAGATATCTCTTCAACATACTGATTTCATTTCCTTTGGGTTTATACACAGCAGTGGGATTGCTGGATCATATGGTAGTTCTATTTTTAATTTTTCGAGGAACCTCCATACTGTTTTCCATAATGGTTGCACTAATTTATGTTTCAACCAACCCTGTAAAGGTTCTCTTTATTTCTACAGCTTCACCAACGTTTGTTTTCTTTTGTCTTTTTGATAACAGCCATAGTAACTGGAGTGAGGTGATATCTCATTGTGGTTTTGATTTGCATGCTTCTGGTGACTAATGACGTTGAGTATTTTTTGATATACTTGTTGGCCATTTCTGTGTCTTCTTTTGAGAAATGTCTGTTTAGGTCTTTTGCCCATTTTTTTAAATCATGTTAAGTGAAATAAGCCAGACACGGAAAGATAAATACCACATGATCTCACCCATATGTGGAATCTTAAAAAAAAAACTGATATAATAGAAACAGAGTAGTACAGTGGTTATCAGAGTATGGGGAAGGAAGGGAGGAGCGAAGGATGGGGAAAGGTTGGTCAATGGCTACAAAGTTACAGTTCGATAAGAGGAACAAGTTCTGATGTTCTATTGCACAGTAGGGTGACAATGGTGAACAGTAAGGTACTGTACGTTACAAAATAGCTAGAAGAGAGGCTTGTGAATGCTCTAACCACAAAGAAATGATAAACACATGAGGTGATGGATATATTAACTACCCTGACTGGGTCATTATACAACATATATGTATCAAAACCCCAAACTGTACCCTCATTCACATGTATGATCACAATGTGTCAATTTGAATGGATGCATGAAAAGAGTAAACAGTGTCATCACAAGGTACCTGAATATTAAGCAAATCCCAAGGATGTGCCCAGCCCCTGCTCCAAGTTCAGTTCCATTTTCTGGAATGTTCAAGAAAACCACTCTGACTAATGTTCAAGTCCTTTGGTTTCCTCAGTTGAGTAAAATAAAGAATGATTTCACAGAAAATACTTGGATGAATTTTTTAAAAAGCTGAAGGTTTGAGTGAAAAGAGGGAAAGGAAGGAGAATGTGTTTACTGCTGTTGGAAGAGCACATGACCTTTGCTTTATCACCCTGAAAAGTGGAACCCATCTATCAACTATCGAAAATGTCATTCAGTGACACACTTCTGCTTTCTTCTTTATTTTAGGTGATGGCCCTGTGAGGTGCAATTATCTGTAGTTTAAACCTCAGGGAATTACATTTAAGACTCTCAAAATGGTACATTTGGCAAATCATGAAACTTTTACATTGTATTACCCCATCATTGACCTGTTTTGAATTGTGAAGATAATTTTAGCTCGTTTCTGTCAGCCATATTTAAGACACCATGCATATACTTGTGTGAAGCTTGTAGAATGAAAATAAAGCTGCTTGGGATGATTATGTTGACATATGAATGTTAGCATGTGGCTCTGTTCTCCTGCACCCTTACATCGTCATCTGGTAGCATTCCAGCAAAATCATTCCAATTCATCATGTATTGTCTTTTTCCTCTTACTATTTCATGATGAAAGTTTTCAATACTAATGCTGCAAAGTGGGTATTATGTTGATCTATGCTAATCAGTTTCATGGATGCTGTCATATTACATTGTTAAGCAATGACACTGGTGAAATATTCTTGCATCTACTGTTATTGTGCAGACAGGCCAGTAGTGCCAAAGTGAAACATTCAGGCACCTGCCACCTTTGCTTTTTGATGGTTTCTGTCCGGCATGGATTTGCTAAGAATAGTGAGAAGGGAGGCAGAGAGGGTTTTGTCTGTGCTGTTATATGTCATCTTAAAGAAAGAAACACTGTAGAAAAAGGGTTTTTTTTTTTGTACACATACAATGTATTGTGTGTGCATGTGAGTGCCTGTGAATTTATAGTGACTTCATTGGCACGTATTATTTTCATGGCAGTACTTCTGTAAATGGTGTGTTAGTATCTCCTAGAGGAGCTGCTGGCTTTAGGATTTTACCACTAGCTCATAAAACAGTGAAGCTCTACTGTTAAAGCTAAAGCTTCGGGAGGCAGTTTTCAGAGATAAGTTTATTTTAAAAGAAAAGTCTACAAGGGGAGATTGATTTGGCGGTTTTAAATGCTGCTTCTGCAAACCTTTTTGAGCTGTGTTTTCGCCTCTGAACATCTGAAGCCACTTTATAGGGAACTAGAGAATTGCATGGACAGAGGTATTCTTCCCAGTAATAAAGATATACTGCCAATAGAGTCAGCTCATGAGGAGCTGTTGGGTCGGCAAGGTTTGTCTTTATTGCCCCTCTGCCTGTGGGCAGAGCCTGCCCCACTTCCGGAGTCTTGGGAAGTCCCCAGGGTCCTGGGCCCGCTGTTCTGGAACTCTTCACACAGGCCACTCTCCCTACTCATTGTACCTGTGCCATCCACTTGGGATGCACTTGAGTGTTGGCTATTGAATCGAGTAAGGTAATTCAAAAGAAGTATTTTGATTGTCAACAGTTTTATGTGCTGCCACTCAAAGATGTCATGTGCCTTTCGACTGCATTCCAACGTCCTTAGAAGTGTGGTAAGATCTGGGAGAGCAAAACGATTGTACTGCCTTCTTAAGTTCCCCAACACTGCTCACGTGTTCTGTAGGTGACCTGCTGTCTCATCTGTACCTAAAAGTCCTCCCTTCCTGTCCAGGTGAACATTATCACGCCGGGACGGTGGCTGATTACCCACAATGTGCAAAGCATTGTTGCAGGAACTGTGAATTCAAGAAGAAATGAGAAACAGTCCTGGTCTCTGAGGCACTGACACCCAGAAGGTTATTGAATGTTATTGTAATTGTTGAATAACGTTTGTGTACATGTGTGTGTGTGTCTGTGTGTGAATGCCTCTGTGTGTGTGCATGCCTGTGTGTGTGTGTGTGTGCCTGCAGGATTGAACTGTGTTTTATTTTTCTCCGTATCACAGGAGCCTCTATCCAAAGCTTTTGGCAAAATAGATACTTTATGTGAGTTAATTAAGAACTGATAATGGTGTAAAGAAAACTGTAATTACTGTGAAACATAAGTACTGGTGAGCTTCTTGCAGATCCACAAAACATGTGTAAATACCTAAAGGAGGGACCTGTGTTCTTTTACAACAATGGCTGAACAGATGCCAAAGGGTAGCACATAACATGATTTCATGGGAAAGTCTGGTCCATGATCTTTAAAAACTAATCACCAAGAAGGAGCTCCTCTTGGGGTCTTGTCTTCCACTTCAATATTTAGCAATCATTTTCACACAGATCTGTTAAAGCAGAAGAGTCCTGCTTTGGCCTTCCCACCTGTTGTGAAGTGTCACCTCAAAGCCTAGATTTTAGCTCAGCTATTTCTCAACGAAAGCAACTGGAGATTAATTATACACACGAAGCTTGCTCCTGAGCTCTCTTTTTGATCACTATGTTAATTTAACAGGAGAGCTTCTATCTAAAGCAAAAGGAACACTAGTCCCCTGGAAGTGGAGCATGCAATAAAGGCTGTGAAATGCTACCTCTGGGGAGGAAGTGTGGCCTGAAGACGCAGCCAGATACCCAGGTCCCTCCACACCTGCCCTGCTACAGAGAAAGAAGGAAGCACTAGGCCACTCCACTTCTGACAACGTTATTTAAAAAGTGAGCTGGGTTTAACCAAAGGAATTCATTGATCATTTAATAGCGAGGACTTAGCCTTGGAAAAATAAATGTCACGTCACTGACAGTAATCCACTAGGAAAAAATAAATGACAAACAGTGTGAGGGCACCCTTTCCACTCGGATTCCTTCCTTCTGCTATGCTATTTGCCCCTAGCTCGTGTTTAGACTCTAAGTTAGAATAATCACGATGCCAAGTACCAACTAGAAATTATCACACTACTTTTCTTTTGACATTCATGATTTATTTTCCTAAAGAGTGTCTATATGTGTGGTTTGTAGGGCTTGGGGGTGTGGGGAGATGGAGAAGGAGATCTGGTATTTACCTCACGAGGAGTGTTATTCAAAGACCAGGAAAGAAACCCGATGTTTGCTGCAGCTAAATGACAGTATTTATTATGTACTCACAAAAGGGTAAAAAACGCTCCTGTTGATTATTTTGACATTAAATTGCTTGCAATACATGAGGGATTAATTATGACATGGCACACTTCATTCTGCAACCTGAATTAGCTGGAGTTTTAAAGAAGGGTCCACGTTCGCAGTCTCATTTGTCACACGGTAAGAATATGGGTTTCTCTGTGCTCTATTCTTTACGAGGAGGTTTGATCATAAACTCAGTGGCCTCATTGAATGCACGCATTTCTTACTCAGATCAAACAAAGGTATACAGCCAGTCTTTATGTATCATCCTCTTTCATGCAGCCAGGCTTTTATTGACTTGACTTTTAACTGAGGTGTATGTTGAGAAGGTTCCATCTTGTCATCTGCCTGGAAGGTGGTTACAAAGCCTTGCAGCCAGCCAGTCTCCCCAGATACATATGTGGACATATAGAATATGACCTCCTGCTGGTTCTCAAATAGACGACTGTTGAGTTCTGTGGGTAGAAGGGATGAGGTCCAGTCATGCATGTGTACCTACAGGAACGGAGGTTGAGAGGAAAGTGTACCAGATAACAGCAGATGATGACATGGGAAGACCCTTTATGCCCTATGTTGTTGGATGACCAGGACAACTCTTGCCTCATCTTGCTGAATGAACAGGGAAGGAGATTTTCTAGTCCAAAGCCACTGGAACGGAATGCAGCTCTTCGACGCAAGTGCAGATCGCTCTGTCGTGCTTATTACTCCTAGTTCCCAGGCTAGAAGTAGAAAACCCCAGGCCTGGCAGAAGACTGCAGTCATCCCTGAGAGAGGAAGGAACTGCCATGTGGAATGGAGAGAACAGGGCTGGTGCTTCCCTTTCTGTGCCAGAATCTGCATCACCTGCAGGCATGGAAATGAAAACGCCCAGGCAGCTGTAGGGAGAAGTGTGGTTGAGGGAGCGGGGAGGAGGGCAGCCCAGGAGCTTCCTTTGTTATCATGAGGGCCTGATGGTTTCTGACCACTAGTTTTATGGGCTATTCTATATGGAATCCCAGTGAATACATCCCTAGGTAATTAAGAGAGCCCAGTTATTGAAACAAACACAAAACCCTCCTAAACTGCTGAACTGTAAAGAATAAATGTGATGAGGGGCTTGGCTGGTAGTGGTGGCTTGAAATTTTCATCCGTGGCTTTTAGAGCACTTTTATATTTGAAAAATATTTTTCAATCATTCTGAGCAGTTTTTGCTTGTGATGATTCAGCAAGGTCACCTGAGATTGCCTGAGTGATAGATGACAACACCTGGGTGAGGTGATTTTCAAGGTCATAGAACAGGTGCCTAGACAGATGCAGGACCAGGCTCACAGACTGCCGGACCCCAAATGTGCCACGCCCCATGGAATCCAAGGTCCCTTCTAAGGAGGCCCAGGATGAGGAGCTGGGAAAAGCAGGCCCCGGCTCTTTCCACCCACCACACGCTCCTGTTTGTAGCCAACTGGAAGACATCCCTGTGTGTCAGGAGTTTGTGTATTCTGATCTCAGAAGCCAATGAGTGAGATACATGGGGAGAATCCAGCTCAGATAAGGGACTTGGAGCTACAGGATCAGAGAAGTCATAGGATTCTGCTGAGGGCAAAATTCCTTCACAAGAAAGAACTTGAGCCTACAGGTCACGCTGGGGGATCTCTGTGGTTTGTTCATTCCACCCACAGGAACTTTAGGTCTTGTGAAAAATGTACGCGTCATAACTGTGCAATATAATTTATTTAGCCAGAAAAATGATCTTTTATTTACAAACTTGTACTGCTTTGACAGAAATGCCAGAGTCTCTTACCTTGAGATCCACAACAACTGTGATTCTTGAAGGAATTTTCTCGTCCCACTCTGTTTGTCTGTCCTATTTCTATATCTAACATAAAAGAAAAATCCAATAGCATTGAAGTTAAATAATACATTTTCCCCTCCTAGAACCAATAAATCTGTTTAAAGATGCATTACTACTTTTCTGGAGGGATAATTTAGACTATGTATCAAAAAGGAAAATCAATAGTTTTCTTCTATTACAAATAATTGCCTGTTTGACTCTTTTCCACTTTTTCTTTTTTATTTATTTTGGCTTCAGAATATTTCTACTGAGAACATCTCATGCTTTAAGCCTAAACTAATAAGGGTTCTTACAAGACAATGTCTTCCATCAGAGGAGCCCCTCTTCTCCTGAATTTGTAGAGCTTCCCATATTCCATAAGAGGGGAAATCAGAATAGGCCAGGCTCTCATGGGAACAGTTTGAGCTGTAACCGTAAACTAACAGACCTTGCCCACAGCAGGCAAAGCTGCAGTGAGTGGGAATAGCTCCCAAGAGCAGGCAGAAAAGAATGCCCACTGTCTGGCTGATGCCAGGGTAGAGGGCTCAAGGCAGATCTGCTGGCCCCAAGAGCATGAGTGAGAGTTATCTTTCCTACCTAGGTTTAAGCTAGTTAATTACAAAACTTCTTGTATAAACTGTGGCCTGGAAGCCTCCATCCAAGGCCCCTCTTTAAGCAGTTAGACTGTGATCAGATAGCTATCTGAGACTTCTCTGTCCAAAGAATATCTGGTGGGAAATACCTAATAAGGATGATAAGAAGATGGCAGATAGGAGACAACATTAACTGCAGCTCCCATTTGGATGGACAGAACAGTGTTTGGAGATTCACATCACAAACTCTTGCTCCAAGAACCATGGCAGGAAAACCGAGAGAATTCACAGATCCCTTGAAAGAAGTGGCATAGCACTGCAAATTCCATGAGACAGGTGGAAAACTGTGAGTCCCCACCCAAACTGTGAGAGGGGAAAACATGCCTCCGAACACACATCGCCACTGGGGAATCTGAACATCCAGATCAAGGGAGAAGGATTTAACCTTACCTGGAGGTGAAATGGATTTAGAGAGCTGTGCAAAATATAAAAGTAGCAGCAGCAGCAGCAGCGGGCAGAGCCTTATAGGCTCTCCCAGTCTCCGCTTGAGCCCAGAGAAGCCATCCCTGGCTATACCTCACAGGGGCCTTCAGAAAAGGCACCAAGCAGAATTGGGGAAGGGTCACTGGCTGTAAGAAGCTTGCAACTGAATTTTGCATTAATTCTGACTGGACATTAACTTTTTGTAGCAGAATCTGGGGGTGATTGGGATCTGCTGCAGATAGGAGATAGGAGGGCAGGAGCCGCAGCCGACATAGTAGGCAGATAGGGAGGACTTACTTGCTTAGTGGAGTAGCTTATGGCCTGGGGCAAGGTCTGAGTGTCCCCCCCGCTAACAACCCCCCAACACACAGGCTGCCTGGAGATAAACTCAGTGCTGTTAGTTGGGAATGGTGGGAGCGAGGCTGGCCTTGCCAACTGTGTGGGAGGTGGGAGAAGCCTTTCAATGCTGACTTTCCTCACTTCCCTGGTGAACCATACTGCTAAGCAGAGGTAGCTATGCTCCCCTCTGGAACATAACCCCACTGGCCTGAGAACCACCCCCACATCCCCAACACTGACTGCGACAATTCCCTCCCAAGGAGACTCTGAGCCCAGACCCACCAAACCCTGCCCCCATCTGACGGTTTTTCTCTACCTGTCCTGGTAGCTGAACACAAAAGACAAACACTCTTGGGAGCTTTATGACCCCAACCATTACCTGAATAACCAGAATACTCACCCTGGCCAACTTAGCACAAGCTTATATCCCCCTTCTATTACTGCAGTTGGTGCTCTCTTGCAAGTGCCACCTCCTGGCTAGAGGCCAAACACCTCAGGCCATTACAGTAACTCATGACAGAGTAACCCTGCTCCAAGGAAGGAGAAAACAACAGTTAATCCCACCGCCTGCAACATTCTGGCTAACCAGAGGCCCTGAGTCTGATCACATGGCAACTTCACTAATTTTATTACCAGCATTTAAGAAAGCCAGCACACAAAAACATATCTACAACCAGGGCCTCTCCTCTGCCACCTCCATCAGAGCAGGTGCTGGTATCCATGGCTGGGAGACCAGAACATGGACCACATCACGGGATGCTTTGCAGACCCCCCCCCAGCACTAGCCTGGAGCTTGGTAGCCCTTCTGGGTGGCTAGATCCAGAAGAGCAATAACAACCACTGCAGCCTGGCTCTTAGGAAGCCCCATCCCTAGGGGAAGGAGGAGAGCACCTCATCAAGCACCACATCTGTAAGACAAAAGAATCTGAACAGCAGTACTTGAGTTCCAGATCTTTCTGCTGGGGTGTAGTTTCTCACAGCAGAGACACAATTGCAGTGCTTGATGCTATAGGGAAAGTCTGCACCTATACCCCAACAGACAGGCAGCCTCTGTGATCATGAAGGGACTTGGAGAAGGTGTCCTTGTTCCCCTCTGGTACTCTCGTGAAGATATAGCTGGGGCTTCTCCCACAGGAATGCAGCATGGAGGCACCTATAGACAGGCTTTCTGGAACAGTCCAAATTGAGTGCAGTCCTACAGGAGGACCATGCTCCAGATTCAGGCCTGCACGAGAGGCAGAGTCACAATTCCTCCCTACTTGGAGCATCAACATTCCTATAGATGAAAAGAGGTGCCTATCTGATCTGAATAGCTAAAACACCAGGACAGGAGCAAGGCTGTTAGGTGAATAGCTTTGCTGCTGACCTGGGAGGGGAACTGAGGTAGGTCTCACTCTTCACCATGATAAAACCTCAGCATATCTGGTTGAGTGCTTCTCCAGCCACCCTCATCAAGGCTGGGGCCTCGGCCTACTGCTGGCTGTTACATCTACCCACCTGCCTTAGCGACAATGGGTGCCTACCCAGGGTTACCTCCTTGATCGGCCTGAAGCCTGAATCATCAATACAGTAAATAAAACACCAGGAAAAAACTAAGTATATAGATAAAGTATACACCATGAGAGAATGGGATAAGTTTCAAGAGATCCCTGCCATTCCAGCTCCATTGGAGACAGTGAACTCACCCACACATCAAGAATGTAACTACTACAAAGAGCATCAGGGAAAACCAGTGCACAAAAACTCCGTAACTAAGGATCTCATACAGAGTCTTTACCCCTGCAATCACCAAGAATCAAATTCGGATAAAATAAACATTAAAGTCTGATCCTTGAGAGGGAAAAAAGAAAGAAAACAAAAACAAAAAAACACAGTCCAATGAGAAATAAATTCAAGAACAATTTTAAGAAATAGTCTACTCAAACGACAAGGAACCAGAGAAGTAATTCTGGTAATATGATGAAACGGGGTTCTATAACACCCTCGAAAGATCACACTAGCTTCCCAGCAGTGGATCAAAACCAAGAAGCAATCTCTGAATTACCAGATAAAGAATTCAGAGGGTTGATTATTAAGCTACTCAAGGAGATGCCAAAGAAAGGTGAAAACCAACTTAACAAAATTTAAAAAACAGAATATGGATGAAAAATTCTCCAGAGAAATAAATATCATAAAGAAAAAAACAATAACAACTTCTGGAAATGAAACACAACTAAAGAAATACAAAATGCGGTGGAAAGTTTCAACAAGACTAGAACAAGTAGAAGAAAGAACTTAAGAGCTCAAAGACAAAGCTTTTGAATTAACCCAATCAGACACAGACAAAGAAAAAAGCATAAAAAAATGAACAAAGTCTCCAAGAAATTTGGGATTATGCTAACTGGCCAAACTTAAGAATAACTGGTGGCCGGGCGCGGTGGCTCACGCCTGTAATCCCAGCACTTTGGGAGGCCGAGGCGGGTGGATCATGAGGTCAGGAGATCGAGACCATCCTGGCTAACAAGGTGAAACCCCGTCTCTACTAAAAATACAAAAAATTAGCCGGGCGCGGTGGTGGGCGCCTGTAGTCCCAGCTACTCGAGAGGCTGAGGCAGGAGAATGGCGTGAACCTGGGAAGCGGAGCTTGCAGTGAGCCGAGATTGCACCACTGCAGTCCGCAGTCCTGCCTGGGTGACAGAGCGAGACTCTGTCTCAAAAAAAAAAAAAAAAAAAAAAAAAAGAATAACTGGTGTTCCTGAGGAAGAAGGGAAATATAAAAGTTTGGAAAACTTATTTGAGGGAATAATTGGGGAAAACTTCCTTCTCTGGCCTTGCTACAAGAAGCTCAAAGAACTTCTGGGAAATTCATCACAAAACATCATCACCCAGGTACATAGTCATCAGGTTATCTAAAGTCCAAACGAAGGAATCTTAAGAGCTGTGAGACAAAAGCATCAGGTAACCTATAAAGGAAAACCTATCAGATTAACAGCTGATTTCTCAGCAGAGACCTTACAAGCCAGAAGGGGTTGTAAGAAAGAGATTGGGGTCCTATCTTCAGCCTCCTTAAACAAAATAATTGTCAGCTAAAAATATTGAATCCAGCAAAACTAAGCTTCATAAATGATGGAGAGATAAGGTCGTTTTCAGACAAACAAATGCTGAGACAATTCACCATTACCAAGTCTACACCACAAGAACTGCTAAAAGGAGTTCTAAATCTTGAAACAAAACCTAAAAATACACCAAAACAGAACCTCCTTAAAGCATAAATCTCACAGGGCCTATAAACCAATAACACAATGAAAAAAACGAGATATTTAGGCAAAAACTAGCATGATGAATAGAACAGTACCTCACATCTCAATAGTAATATTGAATGTAAATGGCTAAATGCTCCACTTAAAAGCTACAGAATAGCAGAATGGATAAAAATCCACCAACCAAGTATGTGCTGTTTTCAAGAGCCTCATCTAACACATAGAGACTCACATAAACTTAAGGTAAAGGGGTAGCAAAAAATATTTCATGCAAATGGGAACCAAAAGTGAGCAGGAGTAGCTATTCTTATATCAGGCAAAACAGACTTTAAAGCAACAACAGTTAAAAAAAAAAAAAGAAAAAGAGAGATGTTATATAATGATAAACATAATGATTTCTTGTCCAATAAGAAAATATCACAATCCTAAATATATATGCACCTAACTCCCAAGCTCCCGAATTCATAAAACAATTACTACTAAACCAAAGAAATGAGATAGATGACAACACAATAATAGTGGGGGACTTCAATACTCCACTGACAGCACTACAGAGGTCATCAAGACAGAAAGTCAACAAAGAAACAATGGACTTAAATTATACCCTAGAACAAATAGACTTAACAGATATTCACATAATATTCTACCCCCAAACTGCAGAATATGCATTCTTTCCATCAGCACATGGAATATTCTCCAAGATAGACCATATGATAGGCCAGAAAACAAGGAACGATGTCCAAGTCCCTGACTTTATGATGAGAAGGAGTGAGATGGAGCTGGGGCTCATGACAAGGGTGGAGGGAGGGTTTTTAAAAAAGAATGAAATGTCCTCAGGCTCAAGGGCTTTAAGAAAGCAGACCATAGAGAGGAAAAAAATCAGATATAAGAACTCCCTCATGGAGCAACATCTAAGATGGAAACAAAGGGCGGGGGTCACAGGCACAGTGGAGGATTGGCTTTGAATAGGAGAAGGGGTGGTCCTTCATATGTGACTCCTCACATATAATTTCATTGTGAGAATGTCTGGCCCGTATCTCAGATTTTATGAAGATTATTGTAAGTACTGTGTGCCCAGGAACATCCCAGAACATTACTGGGGAAATCTGGAGCCTCCTCTGGGAGGTAGAAAAGAGCTGCAAACACAGGCATTTGGAGGAATGGCAGGTGGGCTGGGGGCAGAATTCAGGGCTGATTTGCTCATTTTCTTAGAGATGTGACAGCCTGGTCATTTTCTGGGGGTCCAGAATTGACAGCCTAATGAGGATGTCACTGGAAGCATGCTGCAGCCGCTGCACCATGTGCATTCCCATCAACAGCCCCAGGAGCCCGGCAGGGAAAAGAAGAAGACTCGCTTAATGCAAGACTGAGATTTGGGGGGTATTGGCGGTGATAGCAAGCTTGGCCCTCCACTGAGCAAGGGGCCCAGGTCTCAGAGTTAGAGCGTGGTCAGATGGAAGTTCATTTCTTCCAAGTTGTGGTCAGACCCTGATGTACTGGAGCTGCCCATTCCAGAGATTTGCAAAACAGAGAAGCAACCCCAGCGCTAAGCAGCTCCAGTGGGCAGAGGCTCCCGATTTCTCCAGTAATGTTCCGGGATGTTCCTGGGACACAGATCTTGTAATAATCTTCATAAAATCTAAGATATGGACCAGACATTCTTACAATGAAATTATATGTGAGGAGTTACATATGCACATTGAAATATTAAGAAGGTGCGCTAAATAGAGATTGTAGGACTTCCTGGCCTGTCAGCATAATTTCTGTCACCAGCACCTGTTGATGCTTTGCTCCAAGGACCACAAACTCAGATCCCTTCCAGGGCCTGAGAGGTCACAGAAAGGAGGAATGGGTGGGGGTGAGCAATAGCGAAGAGTGGGGCCTGAGGGAAGTTGGGAAGCGATGGATGCGCTGCTGGAAGGCATCAGAGCCGAAGCCATTGCCTCACTGCACCTGCCCAGCCACGTGTCTCCAGCCAGGGAGTGCTGCTTTCCCGGTTGGTGTGCGAGCCTCTGTCCTCCGGGCTCTCCCTGGACTCATGGTACCATGGGATGGCTTCCACTCCCTGTGAGACCACCCTGAGTGTATCTTCATCAGAAAAATTGCCTCCCCGCAGCCACCAGAAATATCTTGTTCACAAAGAACGTGCACCACATGTTTTTGAAGCATCCAGGAAAAACCTCTTCCATCCACACCGGTGCAGCGGTGAATCGAAGGGAGTGATTTTACCCCCAGGGAACATCTAGCAATAGCTGGAGGCATTTTCGGTTGTCAAAAGTCTTTGGGGACAGGTGTGCTGCTGGCATCTGTTGGGTAGAGGCCAGGGATGCTGCCATATATCTTACAATGTGTGAGATAGCGTCCCCAACATAAGGAAGTATCCAACCCCAAATTTCAATTGTGCCGATGATGAAAACCTGGCGCCAGTGGGCAACCATTTCTCTACTGTCCACCATTCAAAAGCCATGAGCCCTGCGGTGGCTGCTGACCTGCTTGGTCCCCTAGTTCCACCTCCCCAGATCTACCAAGGATGACAACTAAATCTGTTGCACCAATGGTCACCATATTTTCATTTCTGTTCTCCTACCTCGTGGGGTTTCCTCTCGTCTTTTTCTGTTCCTCCAGTCTTTTCCAGGCCACACTTCCCAGAAGCCTCCCTTCCTAGAAGGCACCACTATAGCCTTGGTTCACAAAAATCACCCTGGGAATAAAGCAGGCAGAGTGGTTTTCACTGGAGGCTGGTGGACCAGATAGAAGCTTCATTGTGGTACGAAGCAAAACCAGCCAGACCACAGAGAAGCTGGGTAACTTGAAAACTTCTCCTTTAGTCCTTCCTCCTACCAGCCATGCCATGGAGATTACAGAATTAGACAGCTTGGATAATGATTGCAGATTATCTATTATCCAAAGCAAAATTCGGTGGTCCTTAAAAATGGAACCCATCCATTTGTGAAAATAAGCATGGCCAGGTGCGGTGCCTGATCCTGAGAGTGCCAAGTCGAATAAGACAAGATTCCTGCCCTTCAAGGCTCTCATGTGGAGGAGAACATAGATCCACAAACACACCAGGATTCAAATGTGATAAGGACAAGTCAGAGATACTTAAATTGTCACTGAAGAAAGGGATGAATCCCTGGAAGAGCCTTGGGGTGGGTGAGGAAGAGTGGCGTCAGCGTGAAATCTTAGAACAAAGGTTTAAGAGAAATTTCTTTAAAATTTTCATAAAGTGGAAGAAAAAACTTACATTTCTTTAAAAACAGTTTATATTAAATGCCTACCAAGAGCTACACACTTTTTAGGTGTTTAAAATACAAAACTAAGCAGGAATGAAAGGGTTCCCCCTCCCACTGAGGCCACCTTCCACTGTGAGAAGAAGACAAAGGCTCAGGCAGCATGGCTTCCACTCAGATACTGACTGACGCTCTGACATGGAAATAAGGCCAGTGGCTGGGGACAGGCAAACACAACATCAGGCAGCCAGGGAAAGGCTCTGTTGGCGATGCGTATTTAAACTGAAATCCACAGGGTGAGAAGGACTGGCCGCCAAGGTGTGGGGCGAGAGTGCCCCCGGCAGAGGGAACAGCAAGTGCGAAGGCCTGAGGTGGGAACAGCAAGTGCGAAGGCCTGAGGCAGGAGCAGCCCAGGCTTCCTGGAGGAAGAGGGTGGAGCCAGCATGGCTGAGTGCAACATGCGAGGTGCTTGGGGGTAGGATACGGGGTGCCAGGGACGGCGAAGACCAACCATCTCAGGGTGTTTGGATTTTATTCTAAGTACAATGAGGAGCCATCAGAGGGTTTGAAACAGGGCAGTAACATGATCCGATTGTGCTTGTAAAGACCCCTATGACTGCTTTGGTAGAAAGAAAGCAGCGAGAGAGCCAGGTGTCCAAATGAGACATGATGGCAACCAGGCGATCCTGGATGAAGTCGTGGAACGTATTAGTTAGGATCAGGGTCAGCCGCAAGTGACCCAAAACCCCAAGTAAAAGCAGGGTTTAAAGGAGATGGAAGTTCATTTCTCCCACAGAATTCTAGGTATGCAGTCCAGAGCTGGTAGGGTGCTCCACCGTACAAAAGACCCAGGATTTTCTATCTTGTCCCACCATGCATGGCCTTCATTCTGAAGCTTACCTTATTGTCCAAGAAGGCTGCTTTAGATCTAGCCATCAGGTTTGCATTCCAATTCGAAGCAAAGTATGAAGAGAAGGAGAAATGCGTGCCCCCTTCCTTTAAGGACATTTTTTGGAAGTTCACACACTGTCTAATTACATCCTATTGGTCATGGCGGGCTGCAAGGAAGATTGGGAAACGAAATATTCTTGCACCCAGCTAAAATTCCCAAGTTCTATTACTGAAGAAGATGAGGTGGATAGATGGTGGGGGACAGTGATTGCATAAATGGATTTAAAATGTGTTTCAGATGTAAAGCCCACAAGACTTGCTGATGGGTTAAATATCAGTTTTTATTGCAACAAGTGCCTGGGATGAAGGAAATATATGATTTTCAGGGTGTGTGTGTAAAGAAATAAGACCAGATGATACAGAAAAAGAGATTTAAGGATATATTTTCCCAGAAGAGAGTAAACTTTTTATAGGAAAGCTATGGTGATATGCCCACTGCTACACCCATAAGAGGGTAGGATCACTTAATCTCTAAGGTCACGATTCATTGTTGATCTGTTAGCAAAGAAGGAGGGTTTCTAGTCCAGCACTATGACCAAGGCCATGTCTGCCTGTGTAAGCCTGTGGTGCCCTGTGGACAGCTGAAGCAAGAGTCATCATGACCTCCACGCATTGTTCTAAGCATATCCCCTGAATTGGCCTATGCTCTGAAAACTGAGGGCCACACCAGCCTGTGGATGTGGGCACAGGCAGGGCTTGCATTCTGCGTGCCTATGTCTTGCTCTTCTCTTTTTTTTTTTTTTCTTTTTGACAGGACCTCACTCACTCTGTTGCCCAGGCTGGAGTGCAGCTGCACTGTCTGGCTCACTGCAACCTCCGCCTCCTGGGTTCAAGCAATTCTCCTGCCTCAGCCTCCTGAGTAGTTGGGATTACAGGAGTGCGCCACCACACCTGGCTAATTTTTGTATTTTTAGTAGAGATGGGGTTTCACCATGTTGGCCAGGCTGGTCTTGAACTCCTGACTTCGTGGTCCGCCCGCCTTGGCTTCCCAAAGTGCTGGGACTGCAGCGCTGCCTTGTTCTTTTCTACTTGAAACTTAAAGAGAAGAGCTATTGGAGAAGCATTGCTGACTGCAGACCCTCTGGCACTAGCTGAAAATGTGGTTCACAGAAATGCACCGTGGATCTGCCACACGGTCTTACATGCTTCACTTTCTCAGAATTACCTGGCTATGGCTGTGGGCTCAGATCTGGCTTTGACAGCCCTAGAGAAAGGGCTGCTGACCAGGCACTGTGGCTGCAGACAGGGCAGTGGCCCTCCTGAGGCTGCGCCAATGCCCTCAGGGTGAGACTGTGGGTGGGTTCAGGAGGTGTTCCCTTTCTGCAGCAGGACAAACAGCTGCTCCAATGCTGTCTCTTGTCTCTGGTTCTTCCAGGACTCTGGTGAGGAGTGACATGAGGGTCATTCATTCTGAGATGTGCCTAGTCATAATGCAAAACCTAGAGTCTCCTTGGAAATATGAGAACAGTCTAATTTTCCCAGTATACACACTTTAAAAAAAAAAAAAAAAGACCACTCATGCACAAATTGACTACTTTGAAACAAAGTCTGGGATTTTTCTATTTTCCTAAATGTAATAGAGTTTTGTTTACAGTACAACAAGTCCCACATTGAAAAACAGATTTAGGTATTCCAGCAGGCCACGTAGGGGAATTTTTGAAAATTCTTTGTTTTTAGGGATGAAATTGAAAACCTAATTCTGAACTGCGGGACATTCCACCTAGTACCCCAATAGCACGGAATGTGTATTGGTCCCTGTGATGGGGTGGGGGGGTTCCGAGCCAGTCCCAGAATTATCACACGAATGGTTCACAAAGACAGGAGGAGGATACATATATTTGTTTTCAAGGTCTGCTCAAGAGCCCTGATGGGGAAAGTCTCCTGGAAATAGATGATACTTTATTGTGGCCGAAACGTCTAATACTTTCTAGATAACCCACGGGAATATATGTTTTACAAGAGAGATGAATATTATCTCACAATCTGCCACAATACCTAATATCTATCACATTTCAAAATGAATAAAATTACTACATAAATCTCAGCATTGGCAATTTTCCTCTCTCTCTGGAAATGTTTTTTAATTGAGAGCATTTTAAGGTTTGAGAGAAAATCCACCAGTTATTTCCATTAGATACTTTAAGTGTATTTGGTTACTTGGGAATGAAATAGCTCCTCCTTCAAAGAAAAAATATTCTTTAGGCTTCTGTGACAACTGCATTCAGCAGAACAATGAGCTGGTGTTGCCTTTACTGGAGTTTACAGATTGAGTGAACGATAGGACAATCTATGTAAGAAGATGCATGCATGCAACTTCTCCAAAAGAATTTCTTTTACTATTTTGAGAGCAAAAGCATTCACATAGAAAAATATCTACATAGGTATGCTTTTTTCCTCATATCATAGCCACACAATGCTAGAAACCTTGAAGAAATACTAATAAAATAAATTTCACTGTGTATTAGTCTGTTTTCATGCTGCTAATAAAGACATACCTGAGGCTGGGCAATTCACAAAAGAAAGAGGTTTAATGGACTTACAGTTCCATGTAGCTGGAGAGGCCCCACAATCATAGCAGAAGGCAAGGAGAAGCAAGTTACATCTTACATGGATGGCAGCAGGCAAAAAAAAAAAAAAAAAAAAAAGGTTATGCAGGGAAACTTCTCCTTCTAGAACCATCAGATCTTCTGAGACTTATTCACTATCATGAGAATAGCACGGGAAAATCTGCCCCCATGATTCAGTTACCTCCCACTGGGTCCCTCCCACAACATGTGGGAATTCAAGATGAGATTTGAGTGGGGACATGGCCAAACCATACCACACTATTAGCCATTAACTTCCTATGTGAGAGCTTACCTTTTGGATAAAGATTTAACTCTAGCTTTCTTCAATGGATTGGCTGATAATATAGAATTATCCAACTTAGCAGTGAGGAAATTCAATTCTTGCCTCTATCCCAACATTCGCTATATTTTCTTTCAACCAGAGTGGAAATGTACTTTTCTTTGAAAATTGCAAATTACTCAAATTGTAAAACTATAAAAGCTGTTGAGGTATCACTTTTTTCCTACAGGAAGATAACATTCAGGATACACAAAGCACTGCCATAAGTTAGACACCTCAATTGAAATTTCAGGTGACAAAACGAGCTCGCAATTTTAGCTGTTACTGTGATTTTAGCAGTTACTCTTGAAATCACTGTGAATTCTTTGCTCTTCCATAGTGGATAAACAATCAATCCCCATTGTACTGGGGATACTATTTTGATTCATAATAACTGCACCTCTGGCCCTGTGGAGACTTTAAACCCCAGGTGTAAATGGAAAAGAAGAGAGACCTGAGTCATGCTGGTGGAGGTGGCTGTGTTCCTGGAACCGGATGCAGAGACCAGCAAACGCAGCTGAGGAACAGGCAAGTCTAAAACCCCTTCCCTCATTTTTTCTCCCTCATGTCACTTTCTTTCTCTTTGATGAAGCATTTCTTCATTGATTCTTAACACCAAAAATACTTTCAGAGGAATAGTTTGAGGATTTCAGTTCAAATATCATCATCAAAATCCTGGAAGATCTCTGTGAGATTTGGAGGACTTGAGATTTACCATCAGAGAGACATGGGTAGAAATGCTGGTCTACCAGTTTCATTTGCTACAATTTATTAGCAATGTTGGCAGGTTTCTAGGATTTTTTGACTTTAAATTGCTCCAACTATAAAGTGGAAATTATAAAATATACTTTTCAAAGATTTTTGAAGATTAAGTGAACTAGTATGCGATATACCAGATATTAGCAGAATTATTTTTGGAACTTAATAAAAATAAATCAAAAGTGCAGCTGGAAGAAAAATAATAGATATTCTCATTATTTGAAATACTTCCATAAATCAAAAATTAACATTACAATAGAAATATAATTTTTTGTAAAAGATAAAAAAAGCACTGAAACTTGAGAAGTTTAAATGAAGATCTAAAATGTGATAAAGGATGCATTATAAAAGAAGTGAAAAGAGGTGTTATCCAACAAATAGCATTGGAAGAATGGCTACTCAGGGGAAACAAATAGAGATTGCATTCTCTTCTTTCCATTAACTATGTTCCAAAAACATTCCTGATGAATTTAGGGATAAAAGTAAAAAAAGGAAGCCATTAAAAATATTAGAAAAATATGCTAGCTATTTAAGTGTGTCCAGGGTAGAGCAGGACTTTCTATCATACAATAAAATGATACAATCAAAGAGAATGACTGATCATTTGACTGTATGAAGGTTAAAATATTTTATATGCCAAAAATCATAAACAAAACTAAATGGCAAAAGACAAATGAAAAAAAGACCTGCAACAAATGTGAAACTGAAAGGTAAATATCCTTAACACGCAGATGGCAATCCATATGAGAAACACTACCATTACAATGCTTTAAAGCAAGGAGACATAGAAAGATGGTTTGCTTAGGAAGAATATGAAAATTGATCAATATGTGAGAAAACCATTTTTTTAGTATACAAAAATGGAAATTAAAACAACATGCCATTTAGACAGCATCAGATTGGCAAAGATAAAACACTAGAAATAGTGCATTGCCCTTGGAGAAAATGCTGCTGTCCGGCTAAGACACCACCTCCCATCTGAGCTGCTGGCTCTAACCCCGAGGGGCACCGTGGCGTCTGTCTCAGGAGGCCACTGTGTGCCCCCTGGTATCCTGCCTGGGCTGCTCAAAATAAAATATTTAAATATCTTCAAGTTTCTAAAAATCCGGGAGGCTAACAGGGACACAGGGGCGGGGGCATGGGCACTTTCACACTTCGATGGTGGGGTGTAAATTGAGGCTGTGCTCCTGGAAACCACGTTGGCGGGATGTATTCGAGCCCCGACAGAGTTCATACCTGCAGATCCAGTCCTGCAGTTAGTTCCTCAGGTAGACCAACTCTCCCAGCCAGTTCTCACCAGCCACCCAAACAGGAGTAACTCTTGCCCCGTCTGCCCACGCACGACCTCCAGCCCTGCCGCAGCACCTTCCTCCTGCAATTATTTCTTAAACACTCAGAAAACCTGCACCAAACCAAGTAAGAGCCACAGTTACAGTTACCATGGAAACCAGAATGCCTTCGCTTTCTCCTGTGCGGCAAGCACCTTGAGGAGCCTGGCCTGCCCTGACGCAGCAGCCACCCAGAGGACGTTGCTGTCCTGCTGAGTACACTGTCTCCACGATCTCCTCTCCACGCTGCCAGCTCTGACCCTGAGGGGCACCGGGGCCTGTGTCTCAGGAGGCCCTGAAAATAGCATTCTGTTTCGACAACAGCCTTTTTCCCCATGGGGCTCGAAGTCCACGGGCCAGGTGGTTAGGAGAGATCCTTTCCAAACCATCTACCCATTCTCAGAAATGCAACGGGAAAATACCTCCCTTGTGTCTGCACTCAGCACCTTATCTCCAGCACTCAGCAGGCTCAGCATAGGTTCAGGCTGTGACCTCCGCTACAAGGCCTTGATGTATTAGTTGCAATGTCAAAAATGCCAGATAAATGACTAACAAGAGAGGAAGGTCTAAACCAATGGTAATATGCACCTATGTGTGTTTACAATCCCACATTTTCCTCTCTCCATAACCCTCTGTTTCCTTGTTTCCCACTGTTAGCTCTAGGGCTTAGCCGAGGACCTGGCCTACAGTGAACATTTAGGAAATATTTGCTTACTGCGTTAATGAATACATCTATTAGATGGAATACTATACAGCATTACAAAAGCATTTAAAAATAATGTTTAATAATGTTAGGCAATGCTCAAAAGAAAATGTTAACTTTCAAAAGCAGAATAAAAACTAGATGTATTAATCTAATTTCATGAAGGAAATTTAAAAAATTGATGCATGCAAAAAAACTGGAAGGAAATGCACACAAATGTTAAAGGTAATTATGTGTCGTAAATGAAGCTGCAGGCAACATTTGTATTTTATAGTTTATAATTTTCTGTATTTCTTTTTTAACAATAAGCATGTGTTACTTTTACAGGCAGTAAGAATTGCATCTGTGTTTATGTAAAGCGTATGGATTCATCCACAAAGCTTACGAGGTGCACCTGAGGTCACAGGTAAGTGGCAGAATCAAGATCAGGACGTTCTTCCACTAACATCTTTGCCAAGTTTCTTTTCTTCTCTGGGAAGCTGCCTTGTCATCCTCACCAAATAATCTTCTATGCTATTTACTTACTGGACCACCATTGGCTCATTTTAGTTCCTTTCATCTACCTAAATGCACCTGATTTGTAAAGATAATCATATGTTCCTTCCAGGTCAACTCTATTAAATGGTATTTTAATGTGGAAGTCATTGTGTTTGTACCTTAATTCAATTCCTATTGTTAATGAATGCCTGGTACAATGCCAGGTGCTGGAAAGTCGGCGTGAAGAAATCCTTTCTTGTCTTCCAGAGTTTACAATACAGGAAAAAGCACACATTAGAAAGCAGCTACACATAAAGATCAAGGCATAATTGAGGCATACAATTCTTACCTTTCAGTGGCCCCTTTACATGGTGTTTGCTTATCCATTATCTTACATTGTTTTGAGGTTTCCTATAAGGTTATCCACACAATGTGCATGCTGCTGTGATTCCTTTTCCATCACCAACTGTTATATATTAATTTTGCATCAAATATTCCACACACGCCTCATCATTCTAAGGCCTTTACATTTCCCTGGCTCTCCTCATCTTCTTTCCCACTAAATCCCACAATGCTGACATCTGAGATGGAGAGGTTTCCTACTCTTGATCATTCTTCCTATTTTGTACTATTTTTTATTTCTTACTTTTTGAACTGGAATTTGCTCATCTTTCAAACACCACTGCCAATGTTTTTGGCTTCTGAAAAACTGATTTCTGCTGTTCCCATAGTGTCAACAGAAAGGGTGCTCTCTCCCACCTTGAGCATCTCAACCCTCCCTCCAGGCACATAAATCCCCGACTCTGCTGGCCTCGCCCTCTTTCCCGGTTGGAGTCCCAGCTCTTCAATTGCTTCCTTCTGCCTGCAGCTCTAGAGGTGGAGAGGAAGGTGCTGTGAGCTCAGAGCCCCGGGGCTGGTGGGCACACTGCCCTTTGCTGCAGAACCACAACCACAGCTGACCAGGAGGGAGAGGCCCCAGGTGCTGGCCTTGCCCATGAGGCCCATTTTATTCAGCCTGGGTTTCTATAGAGACTGCAGTGCACTTTGCATCTCCAAATACCCCCTTTATCCCTAAGTGAATGATGTACCTACTGCACTCTGTTCATCTACTCGCTTCCACAGTCGCTCCACACATGTCTGCTGAACCAGGGATTGCTGAAGGCACAGATATGGTAGGGAAGGCGGGCTGTACGCAGAAGCAAGCTTAGCCTGCTGTGGCAAATGCTTTCATCAACTCATCCTTAACTTGCTGTGGGTACACAGAATAGAAGAACTCATTCTGTGTAGGATTTGGGAGATGGCTAAGCTGGACGGGGCCTTAGAGGATGGATAGGAGTTCGCCAGGCAGTGGGGAGAAGCATGTCACGGTGGAGGAAAATGTATTTGCAAGTGACATTAGAGGGAAGTAACAGAATCATCAGCGATGCCAATGGGGTAAGCTCCAACTCATGGGTCTGCCCATTCCTGGGACACCAGATCCCCCTGCTAGGATGTAGGCCCCATGAAGGCAGAGTCCTGCGTGGTTCTGCAGTGGCACAGCATATCCTAGTGTCCTCTGCAGTGCCTAGTGCATTGGAGGAACATCCATCGCTGGATCTCCTTGACCCTCACAGCTGGGACACACCAGATCCTTTGGTCTAGAGGTGCCTGGCTGTCTCTTGTCTCTGGAATTGCCCTTCTACTCCCTGTACCTGGATTTCCCAATGTTTCCTTCTTCCTTAATCCTCACTTATACTTCAAAATATAATCAGACAGAATATATGACCCTCCCAGCGACTAGCTGGTCAGGAGATCCTTCCATCTCTGCCTGTTGTCCTCCTCCATCCCACCGAGGCTTTGCCTGGTAATTTGTCTCACTGTTCACAAGTGGAGGGCTGACCAGGGTCCTTGATCTGCCATTCCCCCAGGCCTGGCAAAGAGTTGGCCCTCAGAGGTTGCCTGGTAAGTGCTGTTGGTCAACTATCAAGTGCGACGGGCTGGCCCCTGCATGATGGTGGCCACAGGTCAGGACGAGTCCAGAGAGAGTCTGACTTTAGCTTGGCCCCCACAGATGTGGAATTCCTCTCCTGCCCTCTGCCTGTCTCTCAGGAGCCGTAACGCCCCTCATCTGTCATGGATGGGTCTCCTACTCTTTGACATAAAGCTTCCATTTCAGTGGGCAGAGCAACTTCCTCGCAGTCTCACCTGCTGTATGGGCTTGCTCAGGTTGCACTGATAACACAGCATCACAGGCCAGGAGGCCTCAATGGCAGACACTTGCTGTCTCGCAGCTCTGGAGGCCAGAAGCCCAAGATCAAAGCGTTGGCAGGGATGGTTTCTCCTGAAGCCTCTCTCCCTGGCTTAGATGCCACCTTCTCTCTGTCATCTCATGGTTGTCCGTCTGTGCGTGTCTGTGGCCTAATCTCTTTTTAAAAGGACACCAGTCATGTCGGATTAAGACCCACCCTAATGACCTCATTTTAACTTAACAACTGCTTTAAGGACTCTGCCTCCGAATACAACCACATTCTGAAATACTGAGGGTTGGCACTTCAACACATGAATTTTGGGGCATGTGATTCAGCCCTTAACACCTGCCATTAGTTGTTTCTGCTTTTGCTTTTCGAGTTATTCCCATTCCTTGCTTTGTGGACTTCGGTGAAAGTAATTTCTTTTTGAGTCAAGCCTCCTTGAGTCTGACTGTATCTGACTTCCACATCCCGTGTTTGGCCACATGTAGCTATGCTGCTTTTGTTTGATTTTTTTTTCTTGAGTCCACAGTTTCAATTCCACCCCCGACCCCCATCTTTCTGAATCCCTGTGTCATTGCTTCCTCTCCTCTCATGGCCCAGGTGAGTTCCCTTCATTTATTTATCGTGGCAGGTGTTACCAGTGTCTTCCTTTTATTTCCCCCTTGTCTCTGGCACTTCACACGGGGCCATCTGTGCCAGTCGAACTTATTATTTAATCTGCCACATCTTTCCCGGGCACCTACTATGTGTCAGGCACTGTGCTGGGGAGGTCCTGGCCGCTAAAAGTGAAGAAGACCCATGCTGCCCTCCAGGGTCCAGGATTTGGTTGCAGGGCTTTGCTCTGTAGCCAAGCCCAGGTAAGACTCTCCTACCATGAGCACTTTGCAGGGTTCTCAGCATCTGTTGCAGGGGCCACTTGCAGATGTGTGGCCTGGGGTGCTCAGAAAACACACACTCAGTGCATGAGCAGTCCTGGGGCAGAACCCAGGCATCGGCACTTCGTGCAAGAACCACATGAATTGCTGAGCACAGTAAATGTTGAATGCGGCTTCAACAATTAATATGATCATTGTACGGCAGTGGTAATGTCTAGAGTAGTGCAAAGAGAACGTGATGTGGAAGCATGGCCTTCAAGGATGAGCAGTGGCTCACCAGAGTGGCAATGGGTGGGAAAAACTCCATTAAAATAATATTCTAATAGAATGATAGAATTAGCAGAAACACGACGGAATGGAAGTACATGGCAAGCTCACGGACCATGGGGGGACACAACCAAGTAGAGTCTGGGGAGGTTGGCTGGACGGGGCTGGGAAATGATAGAATTAGCAGAAACACGATGGAATGGAAGTACATGGCAAGCTCACGGACCATGGGGGGACACAACCAAGTAGAGTCTGGGGAGGTTGGCTGGACGGGGCTGGGAAGAGAACCCGTACGGTAGGTGCTGAGAGGGATGGGACGGCTGTCAGGCATCTCAAGTAGGCATGCATACCGCGCTTGGATCCAGTTCTGGCTTCTGTACCCTACCCACATGGTATTGCTGCTTATAGAGCAAATTTTTAGAAAGGAAAACATCCAGGGTTCCATCTCCAGGAATCCTGACTCAGTGGATCTGCAGTGGACCCAGGTAGCTGCGCTTGAGTATCCTTTACAAAAGACGCTGATAAAGAGCAATAATTGAGCACCACTGAATTACGTCGGCTCCCACTAAGTGATCCCCATCTGTCCCTCTTTTATCCCTAGTGACGCTCACAGAAGATTGGCCCTGAGGGATTACTGGGCTGTCCTCCGTCCACCCCAAGGCTGGATCACCCTCTCTCCCTCCTGTCTTTCTGTCCCGGTGCAGCAAAGAGGAAACAGTGGACACCATGAGGAGCATGCAGACACTTGACTCTGGTAAGTTTGGGTGCAGATCCCTGCACCCCCTGAAAAGGAGGAAGTGTGTAGTCTTCCTAACCCTCTGACATAAGAACAATGACACCTGCCTGAAAGTTCATCTGTGTCCCCTGTCTCTGTTCTTTTTCCCTCCACCCCGAACACTCTGGTTCTTCACTGAGTCTTTTCCCATCGGTATTTCCAGGAATACTGGGTCCTCAGCCTCACTCTTCCCCAGCCGTAGCCTGGGAGGAATGTTTACTTTGCCTTGACATGAGTCAGGTACCGTCACTCCTGTCACTTTGGAGGCCAGTTCACTTGCAAGTTCTGCACACCATCATCTAGACATGCCCTGCTCTTCCCACAGTGGAACTTTCCTTCCTCTTCCTCCCCAACTGCTGTGGGTGTGAGGTTTATGCAGCTCATTTGGTCATCGACTGCCATAAGAAAGAAGTGAATAACCATGATTTCCCTGTTTTAAAAATGGAGAAACTGAATCAGTATGTCCAATGGATTGACCCAAGACTGCACAGGAAGATATTCCTCCTTTCCTAGCTCGGGGCTCCCAGAGAGAGTTCAACATTTTTCTTTTCAATTTATAGCAGTTTTCTAGAGGATATTAGCCACTGGCACTGTTGCCGAAATGGAAATCATAGCAGGGGATGGGGAGGGATGCTGATATTTGTTTTCTTTTCTTTGAGAGTATTCATATTATGAGTGGTGCATGGGAGAACAGGGGAGGCAGCAACAGACCCAGATGGCTTGTGTCGATTTAGTCACAACTGAGTTAGGAGACAGCCCTGGCCAGCCCAGAAAGTGCCTGGCATCCTGGTGGCCCTTGCAGAGCCCCAAGAAGAGAGAGCAGGGATCTGATGTGCTGTTAGCCCAAGCACCTGACCCAGGATGGTTGGGTAAACCCCCCCTTCCTGGTGGGAGCAGCATCATCCTGTTGGAGGTGATGCATCTGGAACCACACATTTCAGCACATCTGGAGAGCAGAGAAAAAATAACCCAGAAGCAAAGCACTGCTAAATGTCAGCTGTTTATTGACTTTCTTCTTTAGAAGCAAAATACTAAGCAAAACAAGGAGTTCAACCCTGGAAGCCCTCCACTGATGGCTGAGGGGGTGGAAAAGTGGCCCAATCTCAGAATGTGTGTCACCTGGGCCAGTGAGCATTTTCTGAGAGCTCTTCTTCCCCACACGAGCAGTGCTGCAGAACCCTGCTGTAATGAACTCATTGCTATTGTTACACTAAACACCAACAGTACGGGTTATTTTAATGGACATATTGCTTTAAACTGAGCGTTCACCATCTGTTCAGTCCCTAATTTTGAATGCAAAAAGAACATATTTCACAATTACATCTGTAAGTAATGATATAAGTAATTTAAATGCATGTATATGTTCACACAATGCAGTAGACAGCTGGGATTTTTTTTTTCCTCGACTCGTATGTTTCAGGCACAAATCAAGGGAAAATATTCACTTCTTCCTTATATAGTGCATTTTCCCATTTATGTGAAGTTGTTTTTGCAGGAAACAAGGTTTTCTGCCCCAACCATACCTAGGAGTTCAAGGCGAGCTCAATAAACTAGATCACAAAGTCATTTTTACAACGCTTGCCTTGTCTTCCTCCAAATCCCCCCTGGCTTGAATGACAGCTTGGCAGATGCGAGGCATTAGATCCATCAGTTTCAATAGATGTTCGTGAGAGGCCCAGTCGGCCTGTGTGGGCCAGCAGTTCTTTCAGCTCCCCCAACGGAGACAGGAATGCAAAAAGTGCTCCCATATAAGGAGGAATCTGAGAGTGACCAGCATGCCCACCTGGTGAGACACCCCAGACAGAGGGGTGACAACGATATGGTGCCAAAGACAGCCACGTTGCTGGGCACAATCAAGGGAATGAGCACTCGCTGTGGGAGAGTGGAAGACGTTAGTGCAGGGGAGAAGGACGCTCTATGCTGACGATTAGGAAACTTTGCACCCAAAGCCTGGAGAGGTGGAGGCCCCATGGCCCACTGAGTGCCAATTCCTGGGTCCAAGCTCAAAGGCTGAGTCCAGAGAATGATGCCTGTTATGTGCACAGGGTAATGTAACTAACGCTCCTGCAGGATGCTGGGGTGACTTCAACAGGGAATCTGCCAGATGGAAACTCTGCTACCTACTTTTCTCTTTTGAAAACTCAGTCCTTGAATACCGACATGCTACAGAGAGTGCAAACCATGCCTGCGTTTTTGAAAGAGATTTTTTAAACCCAATTTTAACACACACACACACACACACAATATTTGCTTTTGTGGTGTCCCATGACCCTGTGCGACATAGAATTGTTTAAAGGCTTTGTATTGCCCACATTCTCAGCTAGAAGTGGAGGAACTTATAAATCCTCCAGTGTGACGTCATTGCTGTTTTATAGCTACAGACTCCATATTTATGGTGCCCGCTTCTTTTTGCAGCTGTGCCTTAGCTTACAGGGGTGGATTTGCACGGGGACTTAACGTTACCATGCGCCAGGGCTCCCTATAGAGATACTTCCTCAGCTTGCGGTAGTTTTGATTTTTTAACTGCTTGTAGGCAATGCATTTATTATGTTTTTCCTCAGACAAATGTGCTAGCTTGAACTGATGGAAGGTTTATTTTAGAACATTATTAACAGCTTAAAAAGTGGAGATGTTGTGCAAAGGGATAAAACTGTATGAAGGATTCTGCATAGTACATTTTTATTGACTGTCGCTTATAATGACCCATAAGAAAGGTTAACTGTGTTGGCCCCAATATAACAGATGTTACTGTGGTCACACTTTTCAATAAAAGCTATTTACAATTTTTGACTATTAAAAGCCTTCCTAATTTACCCCAATATTAATGTATTCAACTCTGAATTTACTCTTAA
Source organism: Homo sapiens (assembly GCF_000001405.40). Taxonomy (NCBI): domain Eukaryota; kingdom Metazoa; phylum Chordata; class Mammalia; order Primates; family Hominidae; genus Homo; species Homo sapiens. The sequence continues at coordinate 75,530,058 of NC_000018.10, forward strand.
TTTAGCATTCATTCTAAATTTGATCAAAATTATCAATGAATTACATCTCCAAAGAAATTGAATTTACTATCTAATTACACAGCCCACATAAATGGGTTAAAAAACAGTTATAGAAAGTGAAAATGCAATCATTGCTACGGTATTTCTAAATCAGGTTGTAGTTCAGTGTATAGTCAGTTTGTCATGAGTTTTCCATTCACAGGTCTCTCAGGAGGGTTTGAGAAATGCTACAATGAGACTCTGCCAACTTCTCAGCTTGTGAAAGGAGCTGGATGGGTGGATATGTGCCTGACACCAGCCCTGCCGGGTTTTTGATTGGCTGGTGAGGCTGTGAAAGTGTAGGCTTTTGCACCAGATTTCCTGACGGTGCTTAACCTCCTACGCCTCAGTTTTCTGAGCTGCAGAATGGGGACAAATAAGAACATCAGCCTGAGACATAGAAGGTGCTTAGAGAAATATCTTTTCTCTACATGCTGCAGCCATACGAGCCATAGGCAAGACTGCGACTGCTTGTGGCGAGGAAACATTTGCCTCTCCATCCCTATTTCAAGACAAACATTTTAAGGAGTTCCTATCGAATCCAAAGTTTGTCCTTTCTCTCGGACACAAAGAGGAAAAAACGCTGTGACTCATATGATCTGTCCCGCCGTTGGTGTCTCTCTGGCTGCAGGCACTTCCTGACATGGAACATGGGAATTCCATCTGCTTGAATGAGCTGTTGAAATACAGGGCCCATATGCCCCGGACCCAGGGGAGGACATCATGAGTTTGCACAGGATGATTATAAGGGCTGAAAAATGTGGACATCATGGCCAGCAGGCTGTAGTTGTCACTCAACATTTGCCAGTCTGGAAAAAAGGGCAAAAGCATTGTAATCAAATTAAGAGAATGAGTGAAGCAACAGATGTAAAGGACAGTGGAGGAAAGACATGGAACACATTTCCTCTGTATATTTTAGATCAACAAAGTTTCTAAGTCCTCTTGAAACATGTCAGATTGTCAACACCCAAGTCAGGCCCAGGAAAACCTAACACTGACCATCTAGGAGGCTTTGCAGAATGGGAGAATGTTCTTTCCAATGAAACTGAGAGCAAAAATCAAGTTAGGACTTGGGGGGTGTCATGTTTTCTAGTTTGAAAATGGTACTCATGTATTTTTAGCAAAGTGAACACATGAAGCAGGCATATATGTTACTTTGATTGTGACTAGTTTGCCAGTTTGTGAAGAAGGTAAGCCGTCAGCATCAACACGACTCCTTCAAAGCAAAAGCTTGCCTTGTAGTTTAATCATTACTTTGGAAATGATATCACATCTGGAGTATTTAAAGTTCCGGGTATGAGTTACATTCTCTCTCTTGCAATGTTGAATTGGAATCCTTTGTTTGTTTGTTTGTTTTCAATCCTAAAACATAAGAGGAGGGTGAAAGAATTTTCGAAGGTGTTGGAAGAGCCAAATCCTAGAAACCTTTACCCCCCCGCCAACACCCGCCATGAAAACACACAGGATTCGTGGCTGGCTTGAGGCCATGACGACAGCAAGCAGATAGAGTCCACCCAGACATTCTAGCTCTCTGGCCTTTTAAGCCGGTGACAGCAGAGGGCTTCGAGCAGGGGAAGTGTGAGTCCCTGTAGAGCACAGAGCAGCTGTGCCCCTAACCCAGCTCCCTGCCTGGTTAGGGGGTTGTGTCAGAGATCGTGTCGAAGTCAGTGAAAATGATAGATGGACTGTGGGAAGGAAGGAGAGGCTGCCGAAGAATGGTATTGAGGGGAAGGCCAAGGGGCCTTGAAATCGGATGGCCAGGGAGGGGTGAGGGCAACAAAACACAACAAAAGCAATAGACCTAGTAAACACGGGCACGAGAAGCAGGCACACAAGCAGGCAGAAACCTTCACCAAACCCGGCCACCCGGAGCTGGCACAAAGGCGGGTGCGGAGCAGAGGCCATGTGCCCGATGCAACCTCACTGCCGGAATGGAATTCCCACCCAGGGACCCGGAGAACTGTGTGGCCGCCTGAGTTTACTAATTAAGCAGCCCTCAAGAGCACCTACATTTAATAGTGGATTTCCATATGGAGCTCTGGAGCTGCCTGCCATGGGCCAGCTTCTCATCTCCCGGGGACACATCCATTAGCTTTCCTATGGCAAACGGAGGCATCCAAGAGGCAGGATGTTGCATTAACACAGTTTTCCAACCTGCATCCCCCACCACATCTGTGCTGGCTTAAGTACGCATATTTTAGGGATGAAGAGGGCCATTTGAATGATGAGCTTAAGGAATTCAGGAAAAAGCTGTAAACAGAATTCTAGTTTATTTTTCCTACATAGACATATATTCAGATCAGACATAATGACAATTTCATGCACATCAAGGGGACAGAATGGTGCTGACTTGATGGCATCCTTCTTTTGATGGGAATACCCACTGGTATTTTAATAAGGAGTGATTAAAATGATCTCCACGTAGCTCATAGACCACCAGTTCTCACAGTTTTATGACAACCTCTGATGGTCTACACTCTTGTAGATACATTACATTCCATAATTTGAATATTGGTGAAAGACAGAAAAAATGGAGTCAATAAAGTTTAAAAATAATTTTGTTGTCTGGTCTGTGGGTCAGTGCTATTTACAATAGAAAATGGAGCAAACTATTTCCTTTCCTTTCGTTTCCTTTCCTTTCCTTTCCTTTATTTTCCTTTCCTTTCCTTTTTTTGAGACAGGATCTCTCTGTGTCTCCCAGGCTGGAGTTCAGTGGCACCATCTTGGCTCACTGCAGCCTCCACCTCCCAGGTGCAAGCAGTCCTCCCACCGCAGCCTCCCGAGTGGCTGAGACTATAGGCATGCACCACCATGCTTGGCTAATTTTAAAATTTTTTTGTAGAGATGAGGTTTCGCCATGTTGCCCAAGCTGGTTTCAAACTCCTGACCTCAAGTGATCTACCTGCCTTGGCCTCCCAAAGTGCTCGGATTACAGGCGTGAGCCCACAGAGTAAACTATTTCAAATGTTCATGTTTTAGCATATGGTATGAGACACTTACAGATAATTTTACCTTTACTTTAGGCTTTGGCCAATAAATAGGTTTATATAATGTATTCATCATTCAAAAATGCAGGTACTGAGCATTGCCAAACGCAAAAAAACCTGGTCCCTGCCCTCAAGAAGTTAATGATGAAATTGATGTGAATGAGTGTGTGTGTGAGTGCACAGAACTTACTTGGAGATTTGAATATCCCTAGTTAGTACTGAGAGATACAAAACACAGGAATCTTACTGCTGAACCCAAATATGACAAGATGACACCAGCAGGAAATAGAAAAGAAACAGATTGTTCCTGCCACACTGAGAAAAGCAAATGACACAATTATGGGTAAGGAGGAAAAGGATTCCAGATAATTCACATTCTTAGCGATAGAGAGACAGAGGACATATTTTCCCAAGCCCAACCCTTGCAGTGAGCTCCAGCCTTTCTCTTGGAGAAGAGCTTTGAGGAAAGGTCATTTGATTGTGTCTGCTGTGAGTCCTTAGGGTTAGGGACCCTCTCGGTTGTGGGGATGAAAGCAGTCCCTGTGTTTGGTTGTTCTCTGATTAACAGCTAGATATCAGAAGATTGCGATCAGGTTGTGAATATTATATTTGTATTTTTTAAAATTCCCTAGCTTCAGCTTAGCCTCAAAATTAAAACACCACCAAAACCCAATATCGTCAAGAAAAAGCATCAAGCATGCATGTCCTTTATAACTTTATATTACACATATATACCATTATATTTGTATATGCATATATACAAATATATACACACATATATCATTATATTTGTGTATGTATATATTATACACATATGTATACATATATACCATTATATTTGTCATATGTATGCATATATATGTATATACCCCATTATATTACCATTTTAAAAACACAGACTTGCTCTATGATTTTTCGCTGCAATCACATCTTCGTATGGTTTTTTGAACGTGTGTTCTGGGGGAGTTCTCTATTCTGTGAGGTGGCAACAAGCTTGCACACAAAGGGCCTGCACAGCAGCTGGCCTGGTCAGCCGTGCACATTTCATCTGCTTGCTCCTCCCACCAGGCCAGGGAGGCAGGCAGCATTTGTACAGTCATGTTTATGGCTAAGGAAACCAAGGCCCAGAAATCTTAAGCAACGTCTCCAAGTTGAGAGTAGAATCCAGGTTTTCTGGCCCCAAAGCCTGTGCTTATCATCTGAGATGGATCTTGATGGGGGTCCCTGCCTGCCATTGTGAACTTTGGAGATATTTTTTTCTTGGTGGGTCTGAGGACTATTGTATTTCGGTGACATGGCCAAACAAAGCAAACATCAAAGATATTTTCTTGTTATCATTTGGGCTTTTTAAAGATGCATTTCAGGATTTTGTTTATTGCCTTTTCTATTGTCTCTATTCTGTGTTAATATTGGCTCAAAAATTTTTCAAAGCAATTAGCAAAAAAAAAAAAAAAAAAAAAAGATTCAAACACCAAGTAAGATACATTTCTCATATTCTGGTCGCAGTAGTTATTTAAATAACATAAGCTTTGCCCGGGCAGGATTTGCTTGCTTTGTTCACAGGTACATCTCATTTGCCAGGACATCTGGCCATGGCCGGCCTGCGGCAAGCACTAGGGGAAAGGATGTGGGCTATGAGCTCACTATGCTCGCCACACCAGGAGATGCTTAGGGGACATTTCTTATTGTAGTAAGTGTCGCCTTGTAAGAAGCAGGGTGTCCAGATAGGATGTTTCAGCCTTCCTTCAATTTTCAAACCTCTGAAAACCCTAATGGACCAGATGCTCCCCCTCCACCCAATACAAGCTCTTAAAATACTTAATTTTAGCACGCTGCCATTATTTCCCAGTGCCACCTTCCACTCCCTTCTGAGAGGGTCTCAATCAGGCTGGAAGGACCCCAGAAAAGAAGGGAGGCCCATGCTCAGCAGACTTTGAGTGGCCCCTCCCCTTCTCCAAGGCTCTGGAGTCCTAGGTAGGATGTGGGGTTGGGGTGGCCGTGCACACTTTCAGCAGGATGAATGAAAGGTCTTGCTAGAATAGATGCTGGACACATATCAAGGGCTTCAGTCTGGGGAAACCGTGGCTCTGGCAAACTGAGAGGCAACAGAGTGAGGCCCAGGAGAAGGAAATGGGCTGGGGCTTAGCATTGTTTCTGGCCACTGGGCCGAAATGCAGGCAGAGAAAGGCCAAGGTTCCATTCCATATGGGTTGTCCCAGAAGCAAAGGATGGTCAGGGAATAAAGTTTGCTTCATGGACATTTGGCAAGAGATGTCACATGATCACATTTCCCAAAATGAATCTTAGCGGTAGGAGCCTGGAAAAACCATGGAATTCCCAGAAACAAATGGCACTGGGATTACCGACAAGGACCCAAGTGTTGTCAGCACTACAGCCTGCTCTGTCCAATTCACAGAGCGATGTGAGGCTCATGTGGGGTCTGTCCACTGCCACGGAATCACAGAACAGGGCCTGCAAAGAGGAACTGATTCATGCCATGGGCTTTTAATGGAGAAACAATGTTTTCACTCACGTTGCAGTTCATGAGCTAGAAACAAAACTACCAATAAGACACACGCTAAAAGAAACACTTTTAGTTATTTACTGCGGAAGTCATGAGAAAAAAACTTAGGACTACAGGCAGAAAGGTAAGCAAAGGATGTAGGGGGAAAAAGTCAATTTGATTAAGATATAATACAATATGATAATCACTTTTTTAGGTGTAGAATTTCATGGCTTTTGATGAGTGTATAGAATTTCCAAATCTTTCTTCCCTACCCCAAGACCCTGGTATCTGCTGGTCTGATTTCTGTCCCTATATCTCTCAGAATGTCATATACATCAAATAAAATCACACAACCTACAGCTGTTTGTGTCTGGCTGCTTTCACTTAGCATAATGCTTTGAGGTTCATCCCCAGTATTGTGTTGATTGGATTTATTATTTTTCATTGCTGATTAGTATTCATTGTTCCAAACATTCTTAACTATTTACCTGTTCATGGGCATTTTGGATTATTTTCAGTTTTTGGTAACTATAAATGAAGCGGCTATAAACATTCACCTATAGGATGTGTGTTTTTATTTTTCTTGAGCGAATATCCAAGAATAAGATGTTAAGTTGTAGGGGAAGTGTATGTTTAACTTTTGAAAATGTGCCAACTGACGTCTACAGATATTATACCATTTTGGATCCCCCCCCAGCTGTGTGTTAGTCTTTGGGTTGCTCCACACCCCCCAACAACACTTGGTATGGTCAGTTTCAGATGGTCTAATGAGGATGCATAGCAGCATCTTGGGAAGATTTTAAATTCCATGTTGCGAATGACCAGCAAAGTTAAACGTCTTTTCATGCACGTATTTGCCGTCTTTTTTGGGCAAAGTGTTCAAATCTTTTGCATTATTTTAACTAGTTGGCTTTGTATTGAATATTGAGGTTTTACATTTTTTAGTATATTTTGGATATGAAACTCTTATCAGTTATGTAATGTGAAATATTTTATCCAAATCTGTGACTCGTCTTTAAATTCTCTAAACAATGCATTTCAAAGACCAAAAGTTCTTAATTTCAATTAGCCCAATCTACAGATTTTTTTTCCTTTACCGGTCCTACTCTTAGCCGAAGGGCTCAAAAAGAGTTTCCGTATGTTTTCTTTTGGAAATTTTATAATTTTAGGTTTAAATTTAGGTCCTGAACTATTTTGAGTTTAATTTTTATCTAAAGTATGAAAAAGTATTCCCCCTGTATGGCTCTTCAGTTTTCTGGCATCATTTGTTAACAACATCCATCTTTTCTGAATTTCCCTGTTATTTGGTCAAAAGTCAGTTCACTCAAATGTGTCTGTCTATTTTTGGACTCTCTATTCTGTTCCGTTGATCTATTTTTCTATCTTCATGCCAATTTCACACTGTTTAGATCACCATAGCTTTAGAAAAATCTTGAAATCAGGTAGTTTAAGGTTTCCAATATTGAAATTTAGAAGTCATTTGTCAGTTTCTACAAAACACTCATGGTATTCTGATTGAAATGGTGTATGTCTTCTTTTGTTGATAACTTCTTTAATTTTTCTCAGCAGCATCATAGATTTCAGTGTACTTGTCTTGCACATCTTTGTCAGACTCATTCTTCAGTACATGATACTTCATATTTTGATACTATTTTAAATGGATTTCTAAAAGATTTTAATTCTCTGTACATATTGCTAGTATACAGAAATGCAGTTAATTTTTTGTGTATTTATTTTGAATCCTTCAGTTTAGCTAAACTGACTTATTAGTTCTAGTAGGTTTTTAATTTTAATTTTTTAGATGCTATGGGATTTTCCATATATACTATCATTTCATCTCCAGATAAAGTCAGTCTTAATTATTCCTTCCAATCTGTATGCCTTCTATTTCTCTTCCTTGCTTTACGACTAGCTTCCAATACAATGTTGAATAGAAGTAGTAGGTATCTGCCTTGTTACTGATCTTAAGGGGAAAACTTTTGATCTTTCACCATTAGGTCTATGGTTAGCTGTACTTTTTAAAATATATGTGGTTTATCAGTTCAAAGAATTTCTCATCTTTCTAGTTTTTTTTTAATGCACTAGAACTTAGTCTCTCTTAGTAAATGTTTGTGTGCACTAGAAAATAATGTATATTTTACTCTGATTAATGGTAAGCCAATTTAGCATACAGTGTTGGCCAAGTCTGTTATAAACTTACTGATTTTTCCTCCACTTGTTCTATCAATAATGAGAGAGGGACATTGAAACCTCCAATTATAACTGTAGACTTATTGATTTCTCCTGGTAGTTCTATGCGTGTTTGCTTCTTGTATTTAAAGCTCTGTTGTTAGATGTGTAAACATTTAAGATTGTTATATACGCTTGATTTTCCTTTAATATTATGATATAACTATCCCTAAAAAATCTTGACTTTGAAATCGTCTTTGTCTGACATTAATATAGCTACTCAAGCTTTGTAAAAATTAATGTTTTTATGACATATAGTTCTCCATTAATAAAACTTTCATCTAATTTGTGTCTTTATATTTAAATTGAGTTTTTTGTTGACAGAATATATAGCTGGTTATGGCTTTAGAAATCATTAAGACAATCTCTGTCTTTTAATTGGAGTGTTTACATAATTTATATTTAATACAATTTTAATATGACTGGGTTTATATCTGCCATTTTGGTATTTATTTTCTATTGTGCCATCCAGTTTTTGTTCTCTTTTTTGTCTTTTTCTGCTTTCTTTTGAATTATTTGAGCATTTTTATCATTCAATTTTGTCTCTTTTGTTGGCTTATTAGTTAGAATATTTTGTTATACATAACAAATTATTGCTATATGGTTGCTATAGGTGGCTATATGGTTGCTATAGGACTTATGGTATCCAACTTTAACTTATAAGGGTTTACCTCAAGTGATATTTTATCACTTCTTATACAGAATAAGAAACTTAGGAAGATACAACTTTATTTTTTCCTAGCCTTGTGCTAATGTTGTCATATGTTTTATTTCTACATGTTATACAGCCCTAACTACATTATTACTTTTGCTTTTTACAGGCAATTAGCTTTTTAATTTTATTTTTTTTTACATTTACTCACATAGTGACCATTTCCAGTGGTCTTCATCTTTTGTGTTGATTAGCGATTCTCAACGAAAGCAATTTTCTCCCTTGCAAGAGGCATTTGGCCATGTGTGGAGACTTTGGTCATCACAACTAGGGAGTGGGGAGTGTTACTGGAACCAAATTGGTAGAGGCCAGAAATGCTGCAAAATGTCCTCCAGTGCATAGGAATCCTCCCACAACAGAAAATTATCTCCCCAAAGTGTGAGTAATGCTATAATTGAGCAACCTTAGAATAGGTCCAGAATTGCCATCTGGGATCATTTTCCTTCTCCTTGAAGGACCGACTTTAACATTCCTTGTGGTGTAGTTGAGCTGGTGATTCTTTCAGCTTAGATATATCTGAAAAAGTGTTTGTTTCACCAATGTTTTTGAAAGCTATTTTCATTGGTACAGATTCTAGGTTGGCAGTTTATTTCTCTACTTTTCTTTTTTTTCCCTTCCCTTATTTTCCCTTTCACTTCTGTACTTAAAGATGCTTCTCCATTGTCTTCTGACTTGCATTGTTTTGACTAGAAATTTGCTGTTGCTTATGCTCATTCCTCTGTACGCTGAAGTTCATCACAGCTCCCTGATGCTCTTTTCATTTTTAAAATTCTATGTTCTCTACGTATTTATTGCTGTGTCTTCAAGCTTACTCTTCTTTTCTTCTGAAATGTCTAATATTCTGTTAATCCAATTCCATGCATTTTTAATCCCAGACGCTGTATTTCTAATGTCTAGAAGTTTTCTTCGGGATTTTATTATATTCTCAATGTCACCACTTAATCTGCTCAGTCTATTTCCAGCTTCTTAAATATATAGAATATAGTTTTACTAACTGTTTCGATGTCCTTATCAACTAATGTTCTATTTGTGTCATTTCTGAGCTAGTTTTGATTAAGCAAATTTCATCTTAATATTGGATATATTATCCTACTGTTGCATGGCCAGCCTTTTTGATGGATACAATATATTTGAATTTTACTATGTTGGGTGCTGGATATTTTTGCAACTGTATAAACATTCTTAAACTTTGTTCTCATGCAGTAAAGTGAATTGGAAACAGTCTGTTCCCTGCCTCTTTTGCTTTTTAGCTTTGGTAGGTAGGCCTAAAAGAGCATTTAGTCTGTTTTCCCCAAAGTTGATGAAAACAAATTATCTGAGCACTCTGCCAATACTCATCTGAAATCATAGATTCCAAAAGGAAATGGAATAAAAATTTCCAACTGCTGAAAAAATACAACTGTCAACCTAGAATCCTATATACGGTAAAACCATCCTTTAGGAATAATGGGGAAATAAGGAAATTCTCAGAGGACAGAAAAACTAAAAGAATTAGTGGCTGGAAGACCTACCCTTAAAGACTCACCAAAAGAAGTTCTTCAAATAGAAAAAGAAACAGTAAAAGAAGCAACCTTGAATCTGCAGAAGGAGGAAGGAGCAATGGAGGAGCAGAAAGATGGGTACGTATGGTGGACTACTTTGTTCTCAAGCGTTTTATAAATTGCATTTCATGATTGAAACAAATATTTTAACAGCATCTGATACTCAACACAATGATCTTCTAAATGAAAGGCCAAAGGGGCCTAAATGGAGATAAGGGTTTCAGACTTAAAGTGGTAAGACGTTGATACCACTAGGTCAAGCCACATGATATATGCATATTTTAATAGCCAGAGCAATCACTGTGAAAACTATACAAAAAGATACATGTAAAAACTCTACACATAAACCAAGAAAGATTTGTAAAAATATGTTTAAATAACTCAAAGGAAGTCAAGAACAGAGAAAAAGAGGAGAAAAACTAGAGAAAACACATGAAAATGATAGACTTCAACTCTAACATATAATTACCTTAATATATATGGACTTAATATACTAGTCAAAATACAGAGACCAGCAGAATGGATGCAGAGTGTTATTCAAGGCTGGTCAGCAGTTGAAAATCAACCAAGGTTTTCTACCATACGAACACACCAAAGAAGAAAAACCATATGATCACATTAATTAATATAAAAAAGCATCAAATTGTCAAAAATCTGACACCATTAATGATTTAAAATATATTCTCAGCAAGTGAGGAATAGAAGGGGCTTACTTCAACTTGATAAAGAAGATTTATTTAAAAAAACTATAGCTAAAATCATAGTTAATGGCGACTTAAGGCTTTCCTCCTAAGATCAGAAACAAAGCAAGGATGTTAGCTCTCACCAATTGTATTCAACCTAGTACTTGCAATTCTATCCACTGCAAAAAGATAAGAAAAGGAACAGAAAGCACACAGGTTGATATGGAAGAAATTAAAATTTCTTTGTTTGAAAATGACATGATTGTATAGAAAATCTCAAGGAATTTACACATACAAAAAAACCTTATGTAACTAATAAGTGAGTTCAGCAAACTTGCAGGACACAAATTCAAGAAGAATTTCTATATATCAGTAATGAATGTGGAAACCTAAATTAAAAACACAATACTATTCATTATTGCCCTTGAACAAAATGAAATATGTACTAAAGTATCCACTTTACCAAATATATATAGAATCTGTATGCTGCACATTGAAAAATGCTGATTAAAGAAGTCAAAGAAGACATAAACAAATGGAGAACCAAACCATATTGATAAATTAGAAGAATCGACATAAAAAGATCTCATTTCTCCCCATATTGATCTACAGGTTTAATGCAGCTCCTTTCAAAATCTCTGTAGGATTGTTTTTTGTAGATATAGATAAAACTTACTTTAAAATTCATGTGAAGAGGCACAGGCCCTAGAATAGAGAAAATAATATTGATGACAGAGAATAAAGTAGGAGGAATAGCTCTACCTGATAGCAAGGCTTACTATGTAGCTGCATGATCTAGATAGTGTGGACCTGGTGGGAGGATAGATACATAGATACTCAGAACAGAATAGAAAACCCAGAAATAGAACTCCACACATATGCTCAACTTATTTTTGAAAAAGGTGAAAAAAGCAATTTAATGGAGGAAGGATGAACTTCTCAACACATGGTGCTTGAACAATTGGACAGAGATAGGAAAGAGAGAGAGGGAGAGGGAGAGAGAAAAAGGACCTGACCCATGTTCCACACTTTATACAAAAAGTAACTCAGAATGAATGATAGACTGAAACATATTGCATAAAATTAAAGAAGTATTAGAAAAAAATTGAATAAAATCTTTGGAATGTAGGGATAGGCACAGTTCTTAGACTTGACACCAAAAGTCTAATTAATAAAAGGAAAAAAATGGGTTAATTGGTCCTCATCAAAATTGAAAACATTTGTTTTTCAAAAGTTCCTACAAAGAGAAGGAAAAAACCCTGTCAATTATTAGAAAACATTTTCAAACCACATACTCAACAAAAGAAGAGTATCTAGAATATATAAAGAACTCTCACAACTCAAAATTCAAAAAATAAACAATCCAATTAGAAAATGAACAAAAGATATGAACAGACATTCACTGAAGAGGATATACAATATATGAGCAATAAATGTATGATAAGATGTTCAACAGTATTAGCTAATAGTTAAATGCAAATCAAAACTGCAATGAGCTATTACTATATGCCTATTAGAAAGGCTAACATAAAAATAGTGACAATATCAACCGCTGGCGAGGATGGGAATCAATCATCCACTGATGGTGGGAATTTGAAATGGTGCAGCCCCTCTGGAAAAGAGTTTTGCAGTTTTTAAATAAAGCTAAAAGTGCAATTACCATACAACTAAGCAATTGTACTATTCAGCAGTTAACCCAGAGAAATGAAAACAGGTTCACAGAAAAACCTGCACATGAATGTTAATACTCCTTTTTTTTTTTAACTGGCCCAAAACTAGAAACAACCTGGCCATCTTTCGACATATATATGGTTAAATAAACCATGGAATACCACTCTTCAACAAAAAGAATAAAGTATTGATATACACAAGGACTTGGATAAATTTCTAGTGATACACTTCCAATTATGAATTTGTAATTATGCTTAGTAAAAAAAGCCACTTCATCTATAAAGGATTTTTCAATGACAAAATTTCAGCAATGGATAACTGATTAGTGGTTTTCTGGGGTTAGATACGGCAGGGGAGAAGCTGGAGAGAGGGGCCTGTGGTTATTAAATGGTAACACAAGAAATCCTTATGATGATAGAATGTTCAGGATCTTAACTGCAGTGGTAGAAACCTATGCATAGAATAAAATGTTGGAGAGCTAAATTCACACCCATGCATGAGTACAAGTAACATTGGCCCAGTTTGTAGTAATTTGTTTTATGGCAGCAATAGAAAAAAACGCAATGCTGTTTGAGCCAACATGAAGCAAGAAACAGGCAGGATGATCTGATGGAAATCAGAACAGTGATGCGTATGTGGTGGGCAAGGAGAGACTGGAGATCAGGCAAGAAGCATGTTCTGGTGTGATAGAAATATTTCGTATCCTGACGAAGCCTTGGGTTACTTAGACATATGCATTTGTCAAAACTTATCAAACCATACACTTAAGTAAGATCTGTGCATTTCAGAAAATGTAAATTATACCTCAGTTAAGAAAAAGTATCTGATTATAATCTGAAAATTGAATTAAATGTTCTGAATATTTTGTAGCTAAATGAGGTCTGGTAGAATAATTTCTCTAACTCTTAACGGATTTTGAAATCAAATTTAAATACTTTTACTCAATTGTTAATATTTGTGTAATATTTTCATAGCACCAAACTATTAAAATATAAATGAGAAATAGATGATGGTGAGGACCAAACACTGCTTGCATTTGAATTACGGTTCTTCAGCTTATTGGTTCTTGGTTTTCAGCAAGTTACTTAGCCTCAGTTTATGCCTTGACCAAAGGGGATATTAGTGTTGACTTTGCAAACTTACTTCGTGAGGATAAATGAGAATGTGTATCAAGCACTTAGTATCTAGTAAGTGTTCAATAAGATTGATCACTCTTGTTACTTCAAATCACAAATATATGGTATTATTTATGTACCACATACAAAATTAATCTTAATCTAATAGAAATCTAGTGGAAAACAACAGGTGAATAAAAATTCTGATTGTTAGGCTTGTATTTGCTCCTCATCTCAAGATGCCATCGAATAGTGGGGATGTCTTATGGTCAATGACGGCTATTTCCATAGTCAATGAGATTCCTACTCAATCCATTTTGGGGTTGCAAGTGGTAATCAAACCAAAGTGTCAGATGAGATGCTTACATGACTCACAGAGTACAAAATGGGAAAGTTCAAAGAAACCTCGGAACCACTGCTGGGAACAACAGCACGTGCACCAGGACCCCAACAGAAGCTGGGCAAATGTCCGCCGCTGCTAGGAAGCCACTTGGTAGAAACAGGTGTGATACTTTCGACCAAAGCCTCTTACGTATGAAAGAAGGAGCTGGTTTTGCTAGTTGAAACTCTGCCCAGAGGCAGCACGGCCCAGCGGGTCACGGGCCGTCATACCCTCCACCATCAAGAGTGACCCCCCAGCAAGTTCACCCCCAGGGGCGGGCTGCGTGTGATGGGAGCACCAACCATCCAGGAACCACATTGTCTGTTTCTCTGCCACAGCCTGATTAGGTCACCATCATCAAAGAGGAATATCGCTTGCTAACTTTTACCAACATCTTATCTTTTATTCTAATAGTGTAGAAGCGCATACTCATGTGGAAACAATGACTTAGATGGGTTTAGTCACTTCCCTCAAAGAGGGCTGCTGCTTTCATGAAGGTCTTGGAGTGTGCACAAAGTCCATGGCCCTGGTGAAGACACAGCTGTCCTATCTTGACATTTGTTTGCAAGCTCCCTGTTTTGCCATGCTGGTACGGACATTTAATAAATATGCTGAAATGGAGAATTAAAGTAAAAGCATGGGGGAAGAGATTTTTTTTGCTCTATGTGAAATTGGGACTTTGAAAGACTAAACAATGGCTACTCCTTGTAACATTAATTATCTGTAGAATGAGGCATCGACGGCAGATGTGCCTGTGGTTCCGTCTCAGCATCAGCTTCCAGACTTCAATCAGTGTGTGACTCACAGTTAGTGAAAGAAAAATTGTTCGGGCTATACAAGAAGAGCATAAATATTATGTGTCACTTGGTATCATAATTAACTGCATGCTTCAAATATTTCTTTCATGTCTGCTTTCACAATAGGTAATATAATTTACCATTAATAGGATTAAAATGTCTTCTTTTAAATAAATAAAGGTAAATACTTCAGTGGTTTAAACTGTTTTCTATTTGTTTGTACTGATACATATTTTGCCACAGGCAATCTCTTTATACCCTGCAGAAGAAAATAATGAGGAAAATTGGAGATAATTTATGCCGTCCAGAAGGAAAAGCTTTGCATGATTATTATTTTTGCTTTTGCTCAATAATAAAGCAGCCTCTTTTCATGAAGCATTGGGAGAAAAACATCCTGACTTCCAAGCTGTTGTACAATTTTAAAGATCTGAGGTAAAGTAGGAAAAAAAACCCCATCATTGCATGAAGACAGGAAGTTTACCCTGGAGAATTAATGCAAGCAGTTCAGGAAACTCCAAACAGAAGAGTGCCCACATTCAGGCTCCTTTTTAAAACTGATAACTGAGAGAAAGGGAGGCTTGCTTAGATGATTTTTTTTAAACTTTCCATTTTATATTTTCCGTAGCACGCTCAGCACACTGTCATGCGGGCTGACACAAACCAGCGCAGGTTAGGAAACTCATTACAACTCTGAACTTGTGCAATGTTCAAACAGGTCAGAAATTAAAACCTATAACCTATGGCATGGTGTCTCCTAAGGAGCCAAGTTTTAATTTGATCCAGAAAGAAGGAACCATTGTTTAACTAGGCATATGTCTAAATACAGCATACCATGCATCATAACGTGTACACGCTCCTGATAATGTCCTTAAAGGTTAGGGGATGGTGGGCTTGGCAGGGTGTAGGGAGAAAAGGCATGGAAGTGCAAATCTAGAAAGAACATTGGGGATGAGCTAGATGAGTCTCCTCTTCTTGCAGAAAAGGCACTGAGTCCTAGAAACGTTAGGTGACTTGCTCAAGGTCACTCAGCTGCCAAGTGGCACAGCCAGGCATAGAATCCTGGTCTGTAGACATCCACTGTAGTGCTTTTCCCATTATGTGATGCTGCCTCCAATGTCTCTTTGGAAGTGATCTTCTCTTTCCAGCCATTACCGCCAAGTGGAATTTGGCATCAACTATTGGACGTGCTCACTTCACTGCCGATCTATCTATTGACGTTTCATTAGGGAGCCATATGCATTTGCCAAGGATGAATGAGTTCATTAGCACTGAGACTAATAAACTTTAAAAAGTTAATAATGTGAATATGTTTGATGTGGAATTATGCATACAGGCATTAGGAGTCACAAAAAAAGGCTTTCTTCATATGCTCAGCTTTTTCTATAATTTTACTGGTGTGATAGACTTAAATTTTCTGAAAACTCAGAATAGCACTCACTCTCAAAGTATACTTATCATCCCTGTCCTCCATTTTTGTGGCAGTTTCTCCAATTAGTGCACTTCAGAAACAACTAAAACCAACAGCAAAAATAAATAGTAACAACAAAACAGTGAGTTTTATCTCAACTGTGAATTTCTCTCCCTGTTGTTTTGGTTTATATTGTTACTGGTTTCTACCCCTTACTTACTCTGTTTATTCCCTTCTTTAGTGAGGGAATGGGAGTGACGATGGTTGAGTCTTCACCCACAGGGCTCAGGAGGGATTTCCAGAGTTCGGTACCTTATAATATTGACTTGGATTCACTAGGGCAGGTTCTTGGGGGGTAGGTGGGGACCTCCAGGAATCCAGTACATTTTACCACACTCTGGTAAACTCTCTGAATATGTTTCCATGTGGATATGGCATTGGGTTAATGATGCTTGCTAAATATTCTGGGTTTTCTGTTTCCTGCTGTCCATACCTGGGTGTAGGGAGCAGCCCGGTGAGGAATCTGGGTCAATCCCATGACATTTGGTGGAGGGAGATGAGAGGAGGTTTGGGTCACGGAACTATCCTCTTATTGATCCCCAAAGAAACAATAACGTTTTGTTCCTATAAATATAAATATTTTCTTCAACTAGGAATCCAATACGAAAAGGTTTTTTTCCTCTGAGACTGACCTACTCATGATTAGCCTCTTTGAATAAAGGACCTGTTTACATTTTCCTTCTAAAATGGTTCTCAGATATTGGGAAAACTCAAGCTTTTATTTGGAGGTTATTTAATAGAATCCCTTAATTTTTTTTTTTTGATAGTGATTTTTCTTAACTGACATTCAATTTCAACAAAATGTGGTCTTGACTACTTAACAATTTTCCAACGTTGGGGAACTTACAGAGAAATAGGTGACACCCAACAGAGAAACACAGATGATGGTGGGCCCAGTGAAGATGAAGGTGAGGCCCAACTGCCCGAAAAACTGCAGGATAAGCAGAGGGAGGAACTCCCCCAGACCAGCAGGGGTCGTGCTTCTGGCCTTACAGGGCCCCCGACACCTCTCCCCATGGCTTTTACCCTGAGAGGTGGTTCTGCCTGGGGTTAAGAGTGTGGGCTCTGTCGTCACGTTGAACTCAAGTTCTAGCAGTTACTGACTGTAGAATATGAGTTCAGCTTCTTTCCTTCTCTGAGCCTCGGTTTGCTCATTTGTAAAATGAGGAGACTATTAGTGCCTATCTCTATCTCATAGAATGGAGTTGTTCGGACTAAAAAAGTAATTTATTGGAAGCAGCTGCTGCTGGCGGGTGTGCCATGGGAAGTATTCACTAAATTCTTATAACCGTTACGATCACACCTCTCATGAGCCTCTTGACTCTTCTGTGACCAGACCCTTGCCCCTCGATTCTTCCAATACACCACGGCTGAGCTTCATTTTGTCACTCTCTTACTAAAAACATCTGTCCATTGCTCTAGGATAAAGCGCAAACTCACAGCGTGGACTGACGTTTGTGTGTGAAATATGCCACAAGTGCACAGTAAGTGCTCCGTAAGCGTAGCTCCCACACATTCCTTCATTTGTTCCTTCAGTGATCCTGCAATGGAGACTGAAAGCCAGCTGGACCTCTTCTCTGTGCCCTTACCCTCAGATCAATGAACACCTCTCTGGGTATCCTTTCCTCAACTCTGTAAAGGAAGTCTGCTGCACTATTTACAATAAAAAACACTTGGAACCAACCCAAATGCCCATTGATAATAGACTGGATAAAGAAAATGTGGCACATATATACCATGGAATACAATGCAGCCATAATAAAGGATGAGTTCATGATGAGTTCATGTCCTTTGCAGGGACATGGATGAAGCTGGAAGCCATCATTCTCAGCAAACTAAAAAAGGAACAGAAAACCAAACACCGCATGTTCTCACTCATAAGTGGAAGTTGAACAATGAGAACACATGCACACAGGAAGGGGAACATCACACACTGGGGCCTTTTGGGGTTTGGGGGGCTAGGGGAGGGAGAGCATTAGGACAAACGCCTAATGCATGCGGGGCTTAAAACCTAGATGAGGGGTTGATAGGTGCAACAAACCACCATGGCACATGTATACCTATGTAACAAACCTGCACGTTCTGCACATGTATCTGAGAGTTTAAAGTAAAATTTAAAAAAAAAAACAAAAAAACAAACAAAATAAACAAAAAATCTCTGCTGCCACGTTACACTGATTTCCTTAGGCCGCTGATGGTTTCCCAGGTGCACCTTCCCCCCAGCTCAGCTCAGCCCTGCCCTTCTCTCCTCGGCTCTTGCTCTCCCTCTGAGGGGAGGTGGGGCTCAGACACCAGACCAAACTGAGGACAAGCTGAAACAGACAGAGCAGAAGCTGTTTCCCATAAGACACGCCCACCAGTGTGCCAGGTCAGTTACCATTGCCATGGCAACACGAGGGAGTTACCACCCCTTTCCATGGCAACGACCCAACCACCAGGAAGTTACCACCTCTTTCCTAGAAATTTCTGCATAATCTGCCCCTTAATTTGCATGTAATTGAAAGTGGGTATAAATATGACTGCAGGCCTGCCCCTGAGCTGCCACTCTGGGCACACTCCCTGTGGGGTCGCCCTGCTCTGCAAGGAGTTAGGACCTCTGCCGCTGCTTTGCATGGCAGCTTCAGTAAAAGCTGCTAACACCACCAGCTCGCCCTTGAATTCTTTCCTGGTTGAAGCCGAGGATCCTCTGGGCTAATCCCCAGTTTGGGGGCTTGCCAGCTCCTCATCCATGGTCAGCATCACTTAGGCTTTGTCCTTGCTTCCTAAGGTGTCGGGGAGAGGAGAGGGAAGGGCAGAGGTGGGAGTTTGCTGATTCCCCTTCCTCCTTCCTGGGATGCTGGCAGGTGCTGCCCCTCTTGGGGCAGGCTGGGCCTCTTTGGGTAGCCCTTCCTCCACAGCCAGCACCAGGCTTTTGGGAGCAACTTCCTGCCGTCACCCCTCAAGCTGTGTTCTAGCCACGGCTCCCACAGCTCCCTGTCTTCTGCAGTCTCACCGCCCCTGTTGGTTTCTGCTGCTTCCCACACCTGTGTGACTCTATTTTCCGCAAGCCCCAAATGCATCCTCCCCACCCTAAAGCCCTACCCATACTTCCCTCTTACGGAGAACCATTCACTATTCTTTCTTTGGCACAATTCTCTCCATTGACCAAGGCTCAGCTCCAGTCAAGCCTTCTCCATGAAACAGTCCCTGCCCACAAACATGTCATGCTTCTCTGAACTCATGACAGTCACTTTTGTAACTCAACCAAGAACAGCCAGGTATCACCTGCTCCAGCCTTGCTAGCTACTTTGCAATTGTGTTGTTAACTCTCACGTGTTCAACTTTGTGGCAAGATGGTGAATTCGGGAGACTAGAGTCTGCCTTCTCCTCACTCATGTGTTCACGGAGTTGTAATTACTGAGTGCTGCTAGTGGCCCATGCTCCACAGGTCACTGGGATACAACCCCACATATGACCCTGTGGCTCATGCCCTGTGGGCTGTATATGCCAGTAGGGGAGACGGGCGCTGGACAGTCAGTCATAACGCACTGAGATGAACATTCCGATAGGATATGAAAGCACTGAAGATGAGACCCTAACTTAGTCTGAGGAAAAAATACAGACGAGACCTGAGGGATGAGGCGAAATCAGCCAGGAATAAAAGCGGGAGACGAAACTTTCCCACAGATGTACCAACACATGTGAAGGCCAACCGGGTGCATGGGAAGATCTGGGGGTTTCTGAGGAGCTGAGAACAGGAGAGAGGGCTGTAGCCAAGTCAAAGAGGAAGCCCGGTGAAGATGGGGGTGGAAGGAGACCAGAGGTGGTCAGGGGAGCCTTGCAATCACGGTGCTGGGAGAGTGTTAGGAACCCCCAGAGAGGTGTGCAAGGGAGGGAACAGGTGGTGGTTCCATTAGAAGGGCAGGTTGGGCTGCACTGTGGAAAATAGAATTTGTGTGGCTGGGGGGATGGGGAAGCCCATGTGATGTCTTCCAAAGCATAACTGAGATGGCAACGATGATGGGAACTCGGCTGACGCTGGGAAGGTTGAAGCAACAGGGATAGACGAGAGATGTGTATAAGGAAGAAGAAACAGGACTGCTTCTGAGAGCAGGGCTGACCTGGAGGGCAAGGGAGAGGGAGTTTCAGAACAGATTCCAAGCAACTAGGTGGAAGTGCTATACAGTGAGCTATGGAACCCTGGAGAAGAACACTGCAGGAAGAAGTGGTTAGTTCAGTTTTTGGACATGTTGAATTTGTGGTGCCTGTGAGACTTCCAGGTGTAGGTAACCAGCAGGCAGATGGATAAATGCACCTGAAGCTTGGTAGAGAGGTCAGAACTCTAATTTTTTAGCATAGATTAGATGATGAGGGAAATGTCACTGTATTAACAGCTGTCCCCATAAGGTTCCTAAGAAGGGCATGGTTTATTTAGAAAGAATTCCTTGACAGGCCCCGTGGGTTACAGGCTTGAACTGGAGGGCTCTGGCTGGGGCAGCCCCACTCTGTGTACAGCGGAGGAGGGGGCAGCACTTCTCAGGCCCTTGCCCAGAAGATGACCCCTCCCAAGTTCCCCAGTGCTGAATGCTAAGTTCTACCAGAAGTTTAAGAAGATGCTCATCAAGAGCAGTGCCTCTTACCAGATTGTGTTTGGCTGGACTGAGGCATCAGAGGAGGATGGCCGGAGGGAAGCACGAAGGAGGACAGGGGATTTGCAGAAATCTTGGGGTGGGCTCTGGACTCACAGGCCCTGTGAACCTGGGTCACAGTTTGAAAGTCTCTGAGGGACCAGACAGACTCAGCTTATCTTTGAGCCCCCACCCTGTGCCAGGCCCTTCTGTTGGTGCTGAGGATAAAGAAATGAGCATAATGGACAGCTTCCCTGCCCTCGAGGCACGGACTCAACTGGAAGCTGTGTTTATTGCTGCATAACAAGCTACCAAAATCTCAGCAGCTTCAAACAGAACCCATGTATTCTGTACAGTCTTGGTGGTCAGGAGCCCAGGCACTGGTTAGCTGTGTTCTCTGCGCAGCATCTCACAAGGCCGGAATCAAAGTGTTAGCCAGGCTGCATTCTCCTCTGGAGCTCTGGGAACTCTTCTGAGCTCACTCAGATTGTCAGAAGAATTCAGTTCCTTGAAGTTGCCGGTCCCCTGAGGTTCCCATTTACTTGCTGGCTGTCAGCCAAAGGTCGCTCTCAGCTCTTAGGTCTGAGCCATGTGGCCCTCACATAATGTGGCATTGTACTTCTTAAAACTTTGCAGGAGAATCTCTTTCCAGTCTGCTACCCCAGGACCTCATATAATATAACGCGATCATGGGAGGCCCTGCCCATAGCCTCCGTCAGATAACATAACCCACGTCAAGGAGCCACCATTCCACTGTATTCACCCAACCTGTTTGTGCTCCAGGGTGTGCAGCAGGAGACAGTGATCTGCGGGGCCAGTTTAGGATTCTGCTTCCCACAGAAGGCTAAAGACAGCAAATGAATGATCAACAAATAAATAGGATTTCAAGTGGTGTAAAGGGCTGTGACGCAAATAAAGGAAGGAGAGGGGAAAGAGTCACGGAAGGGGCAACTTGGAGGAGGCAACATCTGAGCAGATGCCTGATCACACTGAGAAAGTAAGTGTATGTGGATAGCAGAGCAGAGTCTTCCGGGAAGGATAAAAAATGCAAAATCCTTGAAGAGAAGTGAGCTTGACCTTCCTTATGAATAGTACCTGGGGCTGAGGGTACCACCACTGGGAGCACACACGGAAGCTCAGAAAGCCTCTGTGGCCAGAGAAGCTCCAGAATCTGAGGGATGGGGAGAGGAGTCGGAGGGATGAAAACCCCAAGCCTCAGCCCAGAGGATCAGGGACGTGTGCTGCAGGGTCTGGAGGCAAAGGGAGGGGGTGGTGGAGGAGAAGGGGGTGGGAGGAGGTGCCAGCTGCATCACTGGAGAGCAGAAGACTACTAAGACTGGGGAGGTGCTCATCCGACTCAGCAACATTCAAGGCTTCAGGGCTCTTCCCAGTAGCATCAGCAGGGTGGCAGAGCAAGCTGAAGAATGGGTCTAATATGGGCGATTCTTCTAACTTGTGAATTCATACTTGCAAATTCACTTACTTGATAAAATTTATTTTTGATCTCGAAACAAATACAGCACTATTACAGTCATTCACATACACTTGCAGAGAGGTGGGAAATTTGAGTCACCCAACATGCATGTCCCAACCTGAGGTCAGACAGGACAAAGCTCTGCCTTCTTAGTTTCAGCCCAGACTGCACAAAACGTCATTTTTGAGGTCTAAGTAGTGTCATGGTTTTCAGATTTTGTGCCTTTTCTTGGTGATTTCCCTGTTTGAAATGGCCACCAGGTGTAGGGCTGCAGTGCTATCTAGAGTTCCCAGGTGTAGGGAGGCAGTGGCACACCTTACTGACAAAATCTGTGTCAGATTAGCTTTGTAGGCATGAGTTACAATGCCGCTGGCTGTGAGTTCAATGTTCCTGAATCAACAATAGATATTAAATAAGGTAACTTTGAACAGAAGCACACTTAAAACAAGGCTATATGTCGATTGGTTGAAGACATGCGTGACCAGAGGCTCCCAGGAGCCTGGCTCTGTGTTTCCTCTAGGAGCCAAGGTTCCATATTCTCTAGCTCAGTGTCAGAGGTGACTTTGTAGAATGCTGTATAGACTTTACAGAGCTACCAGGAATAATGGATATCAACTCTATTTCATGTGTCCCCTTATATTGTCTAATAAGTTTCACATGTTGATGTTTAAAAACTAGTTTTCACCAAGTCATGGAAGTATGAAAAAACGTTGGCTTCCATGTGTTTTCTCTGGGCTATCACAGTCTTGGGTGATGCTGAATGGAAATTGAAAACGGAAGAGAAGGGAGGATGGTGTATTGTAGCAGAGTGCTGGGCCTGATGACCGGGTTTCAAATCCCCACTGTCACTTGCTCTGTTTGGTCTGTGGCAGGTTAGCTAACCTCTCTGTGACTCGGTTCCCTTGTCTGTAACACAGGGAGGTGGTAGCACCTACATCTCAGCCTGGGTGAGGCTCAGGAGATGACAGGCACGTGTGCACTCAGTGCCTGGCGTGTAGTGAGCGTTAATAAAAGCAAGTGCCGTGCAGAGCAGGTCTTCAGAAGGAGAAAGGGATGGGGTCAGCGGAGAAGGGAAAGGCAGTCTCTGGCTTTCTTTAGAGGAACAATTCAGTTTAACTGTAGAGGAAGGAGATGGATCCTCAGAGCAGATGCTCGTTGCAGGATGAGGAACACATAATTAGCTTGTGCTTTGCCTTTGCTGTATCTCCTAGGAATCAGGCAACTGCCAGGCAGATGGGGATGGAGGAACTCTTAAACTTACTTTCAAAATAGTTGTTAAAAAAAAATCACCTCCCCTGGCCTCACTTTCAATAAAGGATCTTGGGCTTCTCGCTTTCTAAGCCTTGAATACTGTTTCTTACCTGGAAACATTATCTTACTTAGGAACTAGGAACCATCAACTTTATATTGATCTATTGCCAATAGAGAAAATGAGGGGCATCATTTCTTTCCATATTGACCACCAGCTCTCCTCAAATAAAATAATTTTGTTCTGCAGTTGACTATGTGCTCAGCATATAATCAGGATTTTTCCTTTTAAAGAATAACTATAATATGATCAAAGATTGACAAAAAAACTTTTGTTTTACTGGCTCCTTCCTTGTGGAAATGTAATTTAATGGGAGCAACACAAATCTTTAGTAGAGATGTTTAGCCAATACTACTACAGTATTAAAAAAAGCATTTTCTTTTTATGTTGTCTGGGATCCTTTGTTGATCTAATTTCAGAAAACCCCTGAACCATAGCTTACCTCTCCTACTGAAATGGCTAAGCTTTCAGAATCTACAGAGGTTAAAACCAGTTGTTATAAATGACTGAATCTCTATCCCCTTCACTCCATTTACCAAAATGATTCTAGCAATGTTATTAAAACATTAGCAGTATAGTCTCAGTACTTATCAAGCTTAGCTTGCTTAAGAATCACCTGGAGAGTTTGTTAAAACAAAGCTACCTGATCTCCACAGGCAGAAATTCTAATTCAGGAGGCCTAAGAGGGCCCGAGAACGCGCATTTCTAACAAGCTGGTGGGTGTTGCCGATGCTGCTGGTCGGGCATTTAAAGTAGCAGCGCCCTAGGGCCTGTGCTCTCAGTGGGGAGCAGCCACATCTGCCTCTTTCACTGTCACATCCCCTAGTGCCTACTGCTGTCTGGCTCGTATAGAAGCCCCATGGATTCCTGTGCAAAGGCTAAAAAAGAAATAATTTGAACAGCAAGCTTGTGATGAAATCAGTCAAGAAGCCTAGGCCAGTGGAAGAGCCAACTACCACTTATTGTTTCTATTTCATGAGTCTATTCTCTGCTTTATTGTGTGCGTGAGTGTGAGTCCATGTGTGTATGCATGTGTGAGTGTGCGAGTGTGTGCACACACGTGTGTATGTACACAAAGACTAGTAGAGTTGGCAGAGTTAGTGAGGCAGAAATTGGATGTTGGCAACCTTAGCAATCACTAAATCACTGATTTTGCTGTTTTTTCTCTTTTATTTTTCAAGTCATTTGGGGGCTTTTCTACAGTAAACACAGTTATAAGGTTTCAAATCTCAGTGCCTGACTTGTTAATTCATAATTTTCCATAATCAGCACTTTCCTAAGAATAACGTTTGCAGGCTTCATGCATGTAGTTGGGAGATAATTTGCATATTGAATTTTTGCTGTTTAATAGACTTGGGCCCTGAAGGAATACTATAGGGCCTATCTTAAGGCAGGAAGTGGGGAACTAGATGTGATGCGTACAAAACAGCATGGTAAACTGGCTTAAAGCCAGAAAATTTACTTGCCAGTGGGAAGAAGCTGGTTTCCTTTCAAGACAGCTTTGGATAAAATGTCTTTTCTAAATGTCTCATCTGGTTATAAAGTGAGACTACAGAGAAATCCATTTCCCCTAAGCACTGTGTATATTGTAAATGTAGCATTGGAAAGAATCTTGCAAATGAATTGGGAAGGAAATTTTGGGGGAAGATAAGGTCATTGGGTGGAGACAACCTAATGCATGTTTCTATCCTCCGTCCAAGGCTCCAACATCAGACTTGGGTCAGTCGCGGCCGTGCATTTCCACTTTTATCAGCGTAACTGTGGAATTCCTAGTTTGGCATTTCTTGTATGGTATGGATATCTTGGCTGCTTAAGGGATGTATTTTGTATTATAAAATACAAATCCTGTCAAAGCACTGCCAAGAACAAAAGCAGTTTTCATGTAACTAGTTCAAGAGGCTCCTTGGGAGCACAGACACTAATCCCACCGTTGAAGACCCACAGACCCCACTCACTGGGAAGCAGCTGGTCCAGCGTAGCCATCACTGCTTATTTTACAGATGAGCTGCCCCAGGTCTCTTAGGTCATGTCTACACTAAAGGCAAGTTTTCAACCTTGCTTGAAGAATTTGGTGAAGATGGCGCCTCCCTCTCCCAACTCCTTTATGGCCTTTTGGAATGTGTACTGGAAAGTCATGAAGGTGATAAGAATACTTCCGTGACTGAAAGTTAGCTTTGAACTAAAGAGACTTTTGCATTTGAATCCCTGCTCCTCTGCTTACTAGCTGAGCAGTTTTCTCATTAGAAACTGAATCAGTGCTCTGTGTTGCAAAGAGTACTCATGCAGTTGAAATTTATTTAAATTTATTATTTATTGTAAGGATTCTGATATTCCTCATGAAACCAAAATATAGGATGCTACCAAGTCTCAGAAAAGAATGGAAGCGGGGCTGGGCTCTTGTTGAGGCCGTAGCTATGCCTTTCATCCCTGTCTCATTCTGCCTATCTCCTCTCCTCGATCTCTGCAGACCGTCTTCTTTACTCCTTTGGTTCGCCTAACAGATGACACAACAGCTAACTGCTCCCAAGCTTCATGCATTTTGGTCCAGACACCCAAAGGGAGACTGACTTGGCTTTCTTGGGACAAGCCCAACACGTTTCTGGGAAGGACCCACTGGCCCAGGTTTGGTCAGTTTCCCACTTGCTCTGACCAACTGTAGCTGGTGTCTGGCTACATTGCAATATGGCTACTTCTATTGCAAACGTGTGTGTTTGAGGTGCGGGGAAGGGTTTGCCAAGAGGCAATTCCTGATCATGAGGTCCTGGGTAAACTGTGTCATAGGCACCATGTTGTGAGTGTTTGATGAGATTACACAGTGTCAGACGTTCAAAAAAAGGCCTTAATGAATCGTGTCCGTTGTTAATAAGACCAGAATAAAGGGAAGGAGAAGAGATCAATAACCACAAATAATACAGCCAAACTTCCAATTTTAAAACTTGCAGACATGTATCTTTAAGCTTTAACTTTATCTTTATCTTTACTGTATCTTTAGTGTTTAACTTTATGATTTTGACCTATCTCACTTACAGAAAAGTTACAGAGGTAGATGTTGAGGTTTGCTGAAAATTAAATATTTTTCAGAGATTACCCAATCACATTGTTAATAAATTTGCTGACTGTGTCCATATGTAACAGTTTGTGGCTGAAATGTTCATTGATTAGACACAAGCCAGGGCTGAATTGGTAGCTTAGATTCCATTCTTCCTAAGCATCTTTCCTATTTTCTCTTCTCCTTTTCATCTACCTCTCCTGCCTGGCAATGGACAGCCCTATGAGAATAGTCTTCGTTGTTTAAGGTAGTCCAAGGACATCTAACTAGGAATAATGGGATGGAATTCAGCAAGGGACAATTTATGCTGAATTATAAGAGAAATTTCCTAACAGTGAGATCTATTAGACTAGAGAATAGGCTCCCGAGGGAAGTAAGCACCATTGCCAGAGTCATTTAGACTCTGGCTCAAGTCCATAAGTAAAAATAAATTTGGTTGTCTCATTTTATTCTCCATTTGTGTGGACTCTGCAGCACCACTGAAAAGTTAGACAGAAGCGACATCAAATAATTGACTTAAGGGAGATCCAGCAAACTTGGAAAGTATTTTGCCCTCATTTTCTGAAATACTATTTTTATTGTTGTAACTTTCATGAAGTCCCACCACCTAAATTTAGGTAATTTCAGCAGATGTTTCAGAATGTCTCAACCATGTGGGCTGCATGACTCCATTTTTCCAGAGTGCACCACTTCAAATGGCATCTGAAGGTCAATTCACAAGTTAACCAACCTGGGGTGCAGGGGTCTTGGATGCAGAGATCGGAACCTGGGTTGTGACAGCCCACCAGAAGCAGTGCCCCTCTGAAGGCATGGTCTGAGCCCTCAGCTGATGTCTGCGAGCATCATGAAGACTTCTCCCTTCATCTCTTTAAAATTGATGCGGACCACGCACCCACATTTTTGGTTCAAAATATTGTCATAAATTATCATCCAGATGATCATTTCTAATGAAGTGACACATACTCTTTCTTCAGCATTTGAACGTGGTGGAAAATATTTTCAGAGTCTTTGTATTACAAAAGCTCCTAGATAATTTGAGGTAGTCTAGTCTACCAGGTAACCAATGAAATTTACTGGGTTCCCAAAAGGCAAAATAATTTATCAGCACAAATAAATGAAAAAGAAATTTGCATTATTCAGGAGTTGGGGACCATGGAAAAATATTCGAAGCCTTCCAAACTTTTAACAAATGTTTACCTAGCAAGGCAAAATATGCCCATATCAACAAACTCCTAAGTACTGGAAAATTGCTTCTGTAAAGTGTTCACTTTTTTTGTGTCTTAGGATTCCTGGAAGTGTTAGACACACAGAAAGGGGGAGAAAGTCCATCAACTACCTCTTTCATTCCACAACAGTTCTTAATCCAGCAGAAAGCCATCAGAATTCCGCTCCCGATATGTGTTTTCATTGGCTAGCATGTGAGTTTGCACACATGGGGCAGGAGGCAAGGTAATACCTCTCTCTTAATCAAGACAAGCATATTTCTCTCAAGTAAGCTTCCTTGTTCATGTCACATCTTTGTCAAATTATCAGGAGCGGGCTCTGTCTTGTTGCTCCACTGGACCAAGAGAGGCCCTGGTGACATGATCCCCCATTTCCAACCAGCGCATCTGCATTCTGGCAGCTGGAAACAGGAACAACTAGAAGGTTAGATGTGTGGCTTCTGTTCATTTCCATTGCTCAGAAGTTTTGCATATGGTCGCACCTGGTCAAAGGCAGGCTGGTAGAAAAACTTTTATTCTGGATAACCATGTGCCCAGCTAGATATTTAATTACTATAAACTAAAGGGACATTTACAAGGTAGAAAATATTTTCCACCATCTTTAAATGTTGGAGAGAAGTATGTGTCTTATAAAAACCAGGTGAAAATGACACCTTCCACAGGGCTCTGGAGACACTGTTCTGTTGTTTATGTTCTCTGGAGCCTCAGTGGTAGGGTGGCTGGAGCTACACATATCGTATTTTTAATATAACTTAGTGGGGCGTGGAGCTTTTTCTCGGTGAGGGCACAAGGGTATTCATTCATTAATTGCCACTATTTCTAAGATGGCATAAAAGGGTTCTACACCAGAAAACTGGAGCCCTTCCTGTTCGTGAATTGCCGGACCCATTGTTTTCAGTGTTTTATAATTTTATTCCCAGATAAAAATGTGTTCTCCAGTTTCACAGCCATTTGGTTCCAGCTTTCCTTCCCTTATTTTATCACTTCTGTTTCAGGAGAGGGAGCTGAGATTTAACCAAGGAAGTACAAATATAATAGGAAGTACAAATCTGGCTTTCTAATAGTGGGTCTGCAGCTGCCGGAACTGTAAATACATCTGTTTTTGTGCTGGTTGGAACAACAAAGTATCCATTATGATGATTTGACATAAATTCTAGCATCTCCTTCTGGGGATGGCAGATCATTTACAAATACTCAGGTATCTGATGTTACAAATTTGCTAGGCTCCAGTTAAATAAAACAGCACTTAAAAATATAGTTTTTAACATATTTTTTGTTTAAACAAGCATATAAAAGTCAAAAATATCTTAATTACAGGGGCAAATAGTAGGTGTACTGGAGACACGGGTTATGAAGGACTCACTGCAAAACACCCAGCATTATTTCCTAATAATCACATAGTAACTGCCTGGCAATTCCGTTAAGCACAGTGGTAACTGTGGAGTCAGTTGCACATTGGACAACATGATAAGTCGCTTGAGCCTCTGCAGCAAAGTCTCCCCACAAAAGGAATGCCCCCTCAAGTGTGTTAGCGACAGAAGAACAAGCAAGAGGAAATGAAGGGCTACACTAAAACCCAAAGCAGCCTCATACACGTGCTTGATGGTGCTCATGAACAAATATTTTTTTGTTTTTCATTTTGGAGAAATATAGATGAATAATGCTGCATGGGAAAAATACGTTCCCAGGAGACTGTATTTAAGAGACCCTTATTCAACATGTCAGAGTGGAGAGCTCATGAGTGTGGAATCATATACAACCAGACTCAGATCCCACTCCACTCACCAGCTCTGCGAGTGCCATTGCCCTGCAGAGCCTTGGCAAATGGGGTTAATAACACCTAGGGCTGCTATTAAGATCGACAGAGTAACAAATGTGAAGTACCTGCCACAGGACGATTATTTGATAATAATTAATAAAAATTAATTTTGCTTCCTAGTTTTGTCTGACTTAAAGGGTGAATCCCACAACTAACATCAAGGTTTCTGCAATTTCCTAGTCAAATTCTGGACGAATGTAGAAGCAGTTTTGCTTAGTTTTGAGCCACATGAAATTACTTAGATTTATTCATTCATTTGTTCATTCATTCATTCAACAAATATTCACTGTATTCTAGTACCTGCAAATGTATCCTATGTTTTGCAGGCAACTAGTTAATATTAAACAGTAGTATCTTTAATTCTTACTGCCAGGGAATTGTCCAAGGGTGTTCCATAAGAATCGTTATGGTTTTTCCCAATCAGACATTAAGCAGGAATTAATTCTTCCCACAAAAAGGGGTTTAAAATGTGACTCCCATTACCACAATACACTGATTCTGGGAGAAAAAAGTCAGGAAACAGAAGGCAGAATCAAACATGGAGAGGGAAAGATGCTGGGCCAAGCGAATGGAGGCTCGGGAAGGAGGGTCTGCTGAGACGCCCTCACAGGGAGTGCAGCAAAGTCTGCACATGCAAAGGCCACGTGCTCTCCAGGTGGCCAGATGAAGCAGAGACCCAAGGCTGGAACTGGGACTGGTGGGGCCCTAAAGGCGCAGGCTAAAGTGGGAGAACTGAAGGATTCTGGCTGGGATGAGAAAAGTTATCATGGTCTTAGCTGCCCTGGTTTAGGATGCTCATGGTTATTTCGTGGGGAGAGTCATACTGCAATTCCACTGGATGGTTTCATGGCTTGTGAGATATAATTATAGTGTATATGTGAGATATATATATATATATATATATATATATATATATATACACATATATATATATATATATATATATATATATATATATATATATATATATATATATAGTGATGTATGAAGAATACATACGATTCTAATTCCACAAAGGGTCTTCAGTTATTCTTAATAAATCCTTTTGCTATTTTGGAAGGAAAAAGTTAAGAAAGCCCTCCCAGGTGGGAGAACTAAAACAGCAGCTCCTGGGAAGCCTCTGCCTTCACTGGGACAGTGGCCATCAGAGTGTGCTCTCTGCAGTGAGGACAGTGTGTTAGCCACCGTGGGCTCCATGTGG
Source organism: Homo sapiens (assembly GCF_000001405.40). NCBI lineage: Eukaryota > Metazoa > Chordata > Mammalia > Primates > Hominidae > Homo > Homo sapiens. The sequence continues at coordinate 75,560,870 of NC_000018.10, forward strand.
CAGAAAACAGGAGCTCTGCCCCCATGCAGCTGAGAGTCTCACAGGGAGATGCACGCGCATCAGTCTCTAAGATACTGACAAGGATTTGTCATCTTCTCCTCCCACAATTCTCCTCTCAGCATGGAACCCTGGTCAGTGCCACCATCAGCCTCGTAATTGTTCCAGGCTGGACTGTGGATGTCCCCATTGGACTGGGCTTGACGCGTCTTCCCTCGTAATTAAGTAAACACCAAGTCTGGTTGTTTTGGCCTTGCTAATCTCTTGCACATCTCTCTGCATTTTCATTGCTACATTCTCAGTTCAGGAAGAAATACAATCACACATCTGGGTGACTCTCACGGTCTTCCTGCCTTCTGTCTCAGCCAACTCCAACTACTGATCCAGGCTCACCTTAGCTTAGGTATCTGACCTCTGAGCTTGCCATTGAAGCCTTTGCTGTCCAGGCTCCTGACAAGTGAACCTGCCATTCCATACCAGTCTCTATTTCTCTTTCTCTCACTCTTTCTCTCTCTCTCTCTGTCTCTCTCTCTCTCCGCCCCCCCCCTCCTCTAGGTCTTGATACAAGCAGTTACCTCCCAGATAATTCCAATCAATTTTTTAGTTCTCCTCTTACAAGCTGCCTTTTCTGGGATTCTCCTGGACAATTTACCTTCCGGATAATTCCAATCATATTTTAGTTCTCCTCTTACAAGTTGCCTTTTGTGGGATGTTCCTGGACCCCTCCATTTGGTTGGGCCCCTCCTACGTGTAGCCCCGTGGTATTTCTTGTTCACCCTATCTCTGCCCCAGCAATCTCTGGTGCACTCATTTGTTTACACAGATGCTCTCTTCAGCTAGACTGGATGCTCCTGGAGTCCAGCGCTGTGGTCTTGACTCCCTGTTTCCTACCACCTGGCACAGGCCTTGCCAAAAGTTGAAGGTAGCTGAATGACTTAATGAGCAAGTGAAGAATTGGCCATGCCCTGGGAGCAATTTGGATGAAGTGGGGTGCAAATTCAGCCGAAGAAAGACTATGTCCTGTTGGGGGTTCAGGGAGGGCTCTTGGGGGAGTGGACAAGCTGTGCATTAGTGGCTATCAGGATGTGCAGATTCAGAGGTCTGGGTAGAAGGAGGGCTAGGTTAGGAAGGATAAGTTCAGTATCATCAGGAAAGTGCGGGCAGATGTTGGCAAGAGCTCTAGACTTGTGATATTGGCATTCACTCCAGACGAAGGGGATGCCTGATGCCACAGAGGTAAATGGAGGCCATTAGGAGAGGGGAAGTGGCTCAAGGGCTGTGGAGAATACCCAAATTCGTCAGGCAAGAGGGGAGAGGGTGCACAAAAGAGGATAAGAAATGATCAGTTAGGAGCAAGGGGAGATGAGTGCATGTCACTGAAGCCCAGGGAAGAGGAATGGTCATGGGGTAGGGGGTGCCAAACTACGTGGAGTGAGCAGTGGAGGCTGGGGCATCAGATGGGAGCACTGGGAGCTCAGGAATCACTTGGAAACAGCTGCATTGGTGGAGTGGTGCCAACACAGAGGAAGAAAGACAAGAAGGGGAGAGAGGGTACACTTTGACTCTTGGTCCTGCGAGACACAAAGGCTGCAGTGATAAGGGGCCTCTGGACGCAGCAAGAGCAGGCAAAATGAAACAAGTGCAGGCACAGGGGAAGGCCAGCCTGGAAGAGTGGGAGGCAGAAATGCGGAAGCATTGAGAGGCAGAGAAAAGAAGGCAAGTCAGTATCAGCACGGCTTTTCTGCTCTGGAAAGCAGGCAGCAGAACTATTTGAAAAAGTGCAAGGCTAGGATTCTAGGCTGAATAAACTGTCCAAGATGCTGAGAAGTTACTAGAAAGGCTGACAGGGAGGGGTTGGAGCATGTTCTCACCATGACTTGCAGCAGATCCCACAGAGGCTGGGTGCATCATTTATGATGGAACCAACTGCTTGGTTCTCTTCAGCAGGTCACAGACCCGGGGCTGAGAGAAGGCAGCCCATGGTGTGGCCAACTGGGCCAGAGCCAGGTCGGTGAGACCAGGCCGGGGGCCCAAATGGGCTTAGCGGGATGAGGATCAAAGAATATTTGAAAACAATATAACATTGTTTCAGCCAAAATAACGGGGTGCGCTTCTATTTGTATTCCCGTGGCTTGGCTCATTTCTACGGTTGTTTGCCTTTTCAGAGGAAGCATGATTTCCCTTTGCAATTCTTCTTGGTGCTGGTTTGTATTCATCTGACTGTCTCTGCTATCAATATGTGTTGATAATGTGCATTTTATAGGTCACTCAACAATGTATTTTGGTTCCTTTGGTCTCTAAGGTAGAATACCTAAATGTAATATGTTAACTATGCAACTCAATTTTATTCCTATGGAAAACACGTTCAATATACATTTCCTTGCAATTTAATGTTCTTGGAGCATATTTGTGACCCAGCGTGCTTCTTTATGTTGACATATTGTTCATCGGGTTTCATTAGTCAGATGCTATGTCACATCACATATGGAACATGAGGAAAAGTGACATTAATGACAATCTGGTGACATTCAGTACTATGCGACACATCAGGTTAAAAATAAAACAGGCAAACAAAAAAGATCTTTCTTATTTCCAGTAAGGTCTTTTTTTTCTTTCTCTCTTTTCTTTCTTTCTTTTTTTTCTTACTCATGAAAGAACTGTGCTCCGTCTGGATCAGGAGTGAATTTTTACTGGCAAGATTCTGTAGGTAACTAGTGATGCAGATATCAGCCCGCCCACTGCATTTGTAGGTGAAAGGAAAGGAAGGGGAGGATTTCTGCTGAAGTGTTCATTGCCTCTTAAGTCTCCGTTTTATTTATTTATTTATTTTTGAAATGGGGTCTCACTCTTGTTGCCCAGGCTGGAGTGCAATGGCACGATCTGGGCTCACTGCAACCTCTGCCTCCTGGTTCAAGCCATCCTCCCACCTCAGCCTCCCGAGTAACTGGGATTACAGGTGCCCTCTACTATGCCCAGCTAATTTTTGTATTTTTAGTAGAGACAGGGTTTCACCATGTTGGCCAGGCTGGTCTTGAACTCCTGACCTCAGGTGATCTACCCACCTCAGCCTCCCAAAGTGCTGGGATTACAGGCCTGAGCCACTGCGCCAAGCCTTAAGTCTTCAATTGTCCAAACTGTTCAGTTATAACACTACATCTGTGCACATCTGCTCGTGTGTCATTCAGCTTCGGCGGGGTGGGTCTAGAGAGAGGTGGTGGGTGCCTAGGAGCAGGTGCTGGCCAGACTGACAGAGAACTAGTTCACAGGCAAGTGTGGACTTCAGATGAAATCACTGGCAGACAAAACACAGGCTTTCTATAATTTATGGGCTGCAATCTCTAGCATCCAGTGAACAAAACTCACAAAGCATTGAGACCTCTGATAAGGCCACCCAATCACAGAAGTTGAAGGGCTAAGACCTAAAGGAAGAAGCCTTCTGGAATCTCCTCTCCACGAAAAAGAGGGCTTCAGCTCAGCCACAGAGGTCTCCAGCTCCTCCCCCTTCTCTCCTGGGGGCTCCCCCAGGAAGAATTGCCCCATTGCCCCTGAATTCATCCACTCCCGTTCTAAGACATTCTGTGTGAACAGGATGACATGTGGCTAACTGGAGATGGGGAAGTGAGGGAAAAGAATAGAGCATTACTTTCTGAATGGAGGTCAGCCTCTTAATTTTCAGGTTCTGTTTTTAAAAATGGAGAAATACATGGAGCTCTTCATTTAAAATGTAGGCATACTGTAATTTTCTACTTTTTAAATGCATGTGCCTCATTCTGATACTGTCTTTATATTCATCACAATATGTTTTGGTCAGCATTTAAACAACTGGCTGCCTGGATTTCTGGATGCCAGATTTAGAGAACTAGGTTGTTCATGCTGTCTTACTGCTTCTGCCAACCCCTGGATGCCACCGAGCAACACCTCATGACAAGACCCACATCTCCTGCTCCTGGTTCAGGGATGCATCACTCTACCTTGTTTCTTCTGTGTTCTCTTCAGAGAACATGATGTCCAAATATCTTGGATTTTTCTTAATTGGCTGTGTGTGCCAGGGGAGGATTTATCGTACAAGTTTTGTTGTAAGCAACAATCTCTATTTTCCTCTTTTCTTGGAGATTTTTTGGAATGAAGAGGGGCAGAAACCAAGTGGTCACCAATCTCCAGAACTTCATGGACCTGGTGCACGTGCCAGGGGCTCTGTGGTTCCCTGCCAATGTTTTGGTTCCCTTTAAAATTTCTACAATTATCGGTGGCAGTAATTTGGGTGGAGTTAGTTCAAAATCATGTTGTCTTCTTACATTTTGTTTGTTTGCTTACCATCTACTTCCTATTCACAGCCCCTTTTATCTGTACCCCATATGACAAGATGAATACTATTGCTTTTTGGTGGGGGCATGGGGGGAATCAGGCAGAGGCAATATGTAATTCAATTGATTATAAGAAGAGGAACTTTGTACTCAACACAAAAATCATGCTTGGAGGAATCATCTTGTCTAATTCTGTGTTTTCACTGTCATGTATCTGAATTCATGGACTGCATTATCAGACATTCTTAAATGTCTTATCATGTGTGTGTTAGTGTCTTTGGGTGCTGTACCACATTACCACAAACTGGGTGGCTTCACGTGTCAGAAAGGCGTTCCCTCACAGATCTGGGGACCAGAGTTCTGAAGTCGCGGTATTATGGAGCCAGCCTTCCTGTGAAGCTGTAGCGGAGACGTCTTTGCCTCTTCCAGCTTCCGTGACAGTGTTTGCCATCAATCCTTGGCGTTTTGGGGGCTTGTGGCTGGGCCATTCCTGTCTTTGCTTTCGTTGTCACTTGGCATCCTCTCTGTGTGTCTCCACCTTCAAAAGCGGTCTTCTGATGAGGGCACTAGTTATGCTGGCGTGGGGGCCGTTCTCCTCCAGTGAGACCTCCTCTTACCGAATTCCCTCTGCAGAGATGCTGCTTCCAAATAAGATGCTGTTCTGAGGCCCTGGGGGTGGGACTTTAACATAGCTTTTTTGGGGAACACTGTTCAGCCCATGGCACTGGGAGCTCAGCTTATCAATCCCAGCAATGACGACCATCACCAGTGAACCCATGGGGGCCTGATACCACCTGCTTTGGTAGAGCTGGCTCTGCAATTGCCCCTGGCAGGGTCCTCTTCTTCTACAGTTCTTGATGGATTCCGTGGCCCACCAGTGCCAAGATCTTCTATTCCCCAAACAACTATAATCATTGAGTTCAGAAGCATTTACTGAAAACCAAATAAGCACACAGTACATGATTTTACAGGACAGTTAGAGTAGATGTATGGACAATGAATTGCTCATTCCCCTTGCATGGGGGAATCCTGTTTGGTTCACTGTTTCTTCGTTTTCCTTCTCTTTACACAAGTGCTGTGTTTTCCCAGTGGGAGCCTGCCCAGGTTCCCTGACCCTGTTCTCTCTGCCTGGTTCTCTGCTGCACTGACTACCAGCCTCACGTCCTCTCCTGTCTCCATGTGCTGCTGGCTGGAACAGGCCCCAGAGGAATTCTTCCCCTTGGGTGAAGAGCACCCTTCCCATCCCAACCGCTTCTTTCTCCTTCCCTTGTGATGCTCTCTCCCTCTCACAGATCTGTGCTTTTGTACTATAAGCAATGTCAAAACCATCCATCTGCTGAACAGGGCCATGTTCTCAGCTCCTCTATTCCTCCGACGTTATTCATCTCTCCATACTGGGACCTCAGTGTTCTGTTCACCTAGGCTAGTTTTCCGCAGTGTTCACCGATAAAACTGGTCAAAACACAAAACAAAACAACTTTTGGAGAAATATAAACACGATTGTTTCTCTTGTTTATTCACCTTAAATTGGCTCCATTGCACCTGCCTTGTAAGGTCAATAGGATGCCTGGAGTGGATCTTGTAGCTCTGTATGACAGGGGCTAGGTCCTTACAGGACTTCTTGTCCTTGGGGAGTGAGCTCCACCTGCTACATTGAGGACCCCAATCCTGGCATGCCATGCTGAGACACAGAGATGAGCTGCTGCAGTCACAGGAATGGTGGGTCTGGAGTTTGCTTGCTGTAAAAGAGGGCAGGAGGGACAGTGCTGACCACTGTCACACTCTGCAGAGGTGAGATAGGCTGACCAAGGCATCATGACCTCATCAGAGTACAGCCAACGTGACCAGCACGGACCACAATGAGGTCATGAGGGCCAATAAGTGAGAAGACCCAGTAAGGAGGAGTGCAGGGCCAGCGGCCCTCAGATGATCAGAAAGGCCGATGTCACTGATCAGTAGCTCTGCACCAGGTTGGGATTAAAGAGCAGAGTTTTACTTATGGGACTGCCATGGGCTCAGTGGAGCCCCATCATCTCTAATGAAGAAGAGTAAGAAGATTGGGATGGAAGGAGCTATCTGTTGGGTACAGTCTATAATTCTGGTATCACCATGTTGGGAACACATTCTAGGCTTTGGAGTGTTAGGGTTCTTTTTAAAGGTGATTAGACATACTGGCTGTCAGACACACTGGGAGGGCCATAAAACCAGCCTGTGAGGTATGGAGCCAGGGGCAGCATCCAAGCTCACCATGGGGACAGCTAGTGACAACCATGTCACTGTCCCTTGGCTTCAGCGATCTTGGGAGTGAAGGTAAACACCCCAGGAATACCTATTATCTCTTAAAAACAGGACCTCCACACATGTGCTTGCAGCTGCCTCCCACCCGGCTCACTTGCTCTTCCAATTCATGGGACTCAGGCCACATGGCTGTACCTGGCTGCACAGACCTGGAGCTGTGAGTTTCTGCTTCTGCATGGGGAAGGTGGGGATCATGATGCAGGCTGTTGAGCACCAGGACAAGGAACGTGCTCCACAGCCCCCGCCCCCCAGGTGGGTGGCCATTTAACACTGCCAGTATCTGTCTCGGGTGGGTTTGAAGACTGAATTCTAGTTCATGTCTTTAAAGGTAGAGATAGAGGGAATGAGGTGTGAGTGGCCTCAGCACCTCCAGAGCTTGGCCTCTAACCCCATAACTCATACCACAGGATAGTGCAAGCAACCCCTGATTTACAACCGTTTTGGTTACCAGGATGTATTTGTGATTGAATTGTTTGGAACCTAAATTTGTTTTTTTATAGAAACCAAAATAAACATGGTGCTAGTTTCCTTAGCTGGCCCATGTGCTCATCTAACTTGCAAACTGATGAGACAGATCTATTAATGCTAACCAGATAATAAGATCCATCTAACTCTATCTCCCTATCTATCTAGCTATCTATCTTATACATAATACATAATTATGTTATTTTGATGTTGTATGCTACATTGTATTATTCTTTATTTATATGATGGTTAATCCCAGAGAGTAGCTCACGCTTCCACAGAAGACTCATTTCTCAGTGTAAGTGAGAAGACGGGGCTCTGTGCACACCCATGTCCTCTCCTGGATCCCCGAATTTTGAAGCTCCTCTGTGCTGAATTGCCACAGCTGTGCACCTAGGACCCACAGGCCTCTTGCCATAGACGTCTGTTTGCTAAGTGGAGTGAGCAAGAAGTGCCATGGTCATCAGAAGACAGGGATATCTGAATGGACAGGAACGCCCAGGGAGCTTCACAGATGGAGCTGTGCCTAGAAAGCTCAGGCCAGGGTTGTGATTCAACAGGCCAAGGGGGTGAGGAGGGGTGAGTGGAGTTGTGTGAGTGGCAGGGAAGCATGGTGCTGGCTCCGTGATGGGACCCATCTGCCTTGTTTATTGCTTCTCAAGCCCTGGCAGAGGGCCTAGAATTTAGGAAGTTTCAGTAGCTATCGTTGAATGAACAAATGGCGAGCAAAATCAGGTATTTTTTTTTCTTTTGGAATATTCTAATTCTGAAGATTTGGGGATCATTTTATATGCATTCATGAAGTCAGTGGTAGACATAGTGTCCGCCAGCTTTCTTCCCGATTGTGCCATGTTAGCTATTTTGGCACCGATGGAGTCTTTCTTAGGAAGCAAAAATTGGGGGACAACTGAAAGTGTAAACTGAGAGTTCGAATCTACTTGGTGTTATTCAAACTTGAAACGTAAAACTAGTGAAAGGAAATAGACTCTAAGTATCAACCAATATATATAACTTAATATTTATAAACAATACATGTATGTCATCTATCTATCTAACCATCCATCTATCTATCATCTATCTATCTATCCATCCATGTATCTATCTATCTACCTGTCTATCTACATCATCATCACCACCACCACTATCACCATCACCATCTCTCAGTCTGGTTTGTACACATGTCCTGAGAGCTGTCTGAAATGGTTGTTGCCTAATATTCGTAATGGTGACTTGTGGTTTTATAAGAGACATCCTTTGGATAGATGGATGGATATGGATGGTGGTAAGGAATTAGGCACTTATTTGTTTGTTATTTGAGTACAGTTACATGGCCTAGTTTTTATTTTCCACTTCGTACAGTTTTGAATTTAAATATCAAATACTCAAAAGATATATTGGTACCTGCTCAGTGCCAGCCACTGTTGGTGCACTGTGGACACAGTGGTGAGCAGTGAAGATGGGCATCCTGTCCTTAAGCTTGCATTTTATATAACAAGTTGCAGAAAAAGTTTAAATTAGACCAAGTATGGAAGATTACTGGGCCAGTGTTCATTTAAGCAAAATATTGTAAGTGTGAATTCACAGAGCACTTCCTAGTTTAGCTCCCCTCTAAGGATAAATTCAGATTCCATTTATTTTTAACTTAAACCGATTAGATCAAAACAAAAGCATAATATTGATGAAATGTGGTCCTGTATGCAAATGACATTTTGGAATGTATTCATGTGTCCAATGCGATCTGAGGTTCCACCATGTACAATCTGCAAGAGCTGCTTCAGTAGCCCAGGTCCATCCTGTTCTGGGTTCATCCCAGTGGTATGCTGTTAATTGTTTAACAGCCAACTCTCAAAAACAAAATGAAGCGCCCTCATCTATGTTGTTTGTCAATTATACCATAGCTCATTTCCAGCTACCAACGTGATGTCGCTGAACGTGGAATAGGGAAGGATGTACATAACTGCCCTGGTCTCATAGCAGCTTACACTGAATGGAAGCGGCTATTTCATAACTATTCCATCATCCAGAAATTGTTTCTACACATAGAAATTATTCCAGCAGTTGTCCCTAAATCTCATGGCTTACAAAGGAATAAACAGAAGAACAATCTATTAAACTACTGAGGCTGTGGGGATGAGTTTGTAATTTCAATCACATGGTTAATATAGTGAAGGGATGCTTCTCATCTAGACCATATCAGAATGTGACTCAAGTGCTTGTCTTTACATAGTATTCAGTTAGTCAACGCTCAGATCTTATCTCTTCTTCCTTGAAGTATTTCTCCAGTGTGTGACTTCCTTTCCATTGCCCTGGTGTTAGCTTCCTCCAGATCTTCCCCTTTTGAGGCCTGTATCTCTTAAACTAGATTCCTTGGTTTCGCCTTTGCCTGCCTCCTATTTCATGCCATTTCCCATTTAATATTCCTAAGATTCTGGGCCGGGGGTGGTGGCTCATGCCTATAATCCTAGCCCTTTGGGAGGCTGAGGCAGGCAGATTGCCTGAGTTCAGGAGTTCGAGACCATCCTGGGCAACATGGTGAAACCCCATCTCTGCTAAAAATACAAACATTAGCCAGGCATGGTGGTGTGCACCTGTGATCCTAGCAACTTGGGAGGCTGAGGCAGGAGAATTGCTTGAACCTGGGAAGCAGAGGTTGCAGTGAGCCGATATCTTGCCACTGCACTCCAGCCTGGGCAACAGAGCTAGACTCCATACCAAAAAAAAAAAAAAAAATTCTAGGATTCTGAGATAATCTCATTAACTTCTTGCTCTTTACACAAGTTATCAGCAGCCTCTTACTCCCTTCAAGATAAAAGTCACCTCCGTAATCTGACATTTAATGTCTTCTGTTATCTGATCCCATCTTACCCATAAAAATGAATAAGCTGGCTGGGCGCGGTGGTTCACGCCTGTAATCCCAGCACTTTGGGAGGCCGAGGCGGGCGGATCAGGAGGTCAGGAGATCAAGACCATCCTCAATAACATGGTGAAAACCCGTCTCTACTAAAAATACAAAAAATTAGCCAGGCGTGGTGGTGGGCGCCTGTAGTCCCAGCTACTCGGGAGGCTGAGGCAGGAGAAGGGCATGAACCCAGGAGGCAGAGCTTGCCGTGAGCAGAGATTGCCCACTCCAGCCTGGGCAACAAAGCCAGACTCTGTCTCCAAAAAAAAAAAAAAAAACGAATAAGCCATTATTTCTTCTCAAGAGCCTTTTAGTTCGGTCAGAGTGATGACCTATGTTCTTCAAGGACATCCTATTTTTTAATTAGTAAAAATCTAAAATAATTTTATATTCACAGGAAGTTGAAAACATAATACAGAGAAGGTCTATGTATTTTTCACTCATTTTTCTCCAATGGTTACACTTAAACAACTATGGCACATTATCAAAACCAGTAAATTGACATTGGTACAATGTATATGCATAGTTTTATGCCATTTTGTCACATGTACAAATTCATGTAACCATCACAGGGATGAAGATACAGAACTTTTCCATCATCACAAGTATGATGTGCAACCCTTATATAATCATATAATCAAATAATCAAATCCACCATCATCCCCAACCATCACTGGCTTCTGTTAAATCAAGTTCAGCCTAAAGCTGCCTCCTTACATATTTTAAGTTCAGTCTAAAGGTTTCTCTGTAAAATGTGAACTGTAACCTAAATGGAGTTGTTAACAGACTACAGTCTACTCTTGCACCGATCACTGAGTTTTAGCTAACCAAAAGTGGCCAACAATTCAAACTGTGTTCAAATAAGGTGAACGTTGAGCTGTAACCAGTTTGGCTGTTTCTGTACCCTACTTCCATTTTCTGTAGGTCACTTTCCTTTTTCTGTCCATAAATCTTCTTCCACCATGTGGCTATGTTGGAGTCTCAGAGCCTACTCTCACTCAGAGGCTGTCCGATTTGCAAATCGTTCTTTGCTCAAACGCTTTTAAATTTAATTCAGCTAAAGTTTTTCTTTTCACACATCTGACAACTGTGGATTGAGCCCCCATTCCAACTTTGGTCATTTTGAGAATGTGAGGTAAGTGGGGTCATCGTATGTGACTTTGATATTGGCATTGTTTACTCAGCATAATGGCCTTGAGATCCACCCAAACAATTGCCTGTGTCACGAGCCCCCTTTTTTTTACTGGCGAGTAGTATTCCACAGCATGGATGTGCCACAGTTTGCTTAATCATTCACCAGTTGAAGGACATCTGCTCTGTTTCCAGCTTTGGACTCTTATGACTGATGCTTCTATGTACAAGTTTTGTGGGAACATAAACTGGAAAAATGTCCGGAAATTCAACTATAGGATAGTAGGAAATGCTGCATTTAGTTGTGTAATAGACCACCAAACTGTTTTCCGGAGTGGCTGTACCATTTTGCATTCCCACTAGCAATGTCTAAGAGATCCTATTTCTCTTCCTCCTCACCAGTCTTTCGTGCTGTTACTATTTATTATTTTAGTTGTTCTAATAGGTGTGTAGTAATACCTTATTGTGGTTTCAGTGTGCATTCCTTAATGGCTAGTGATGTTGAACATCTTTTCACATGTTTATCTGCCATCCAGAAAAAACATCTTATTTTTGTCTCCAATAGTTTATTTGTGGTGTACTTTCTGCAAACAATAATGTTTCTCTTCTTCATCCATCCGAATTGTATTCATTTTCTCTGACCCAACTCAAATCCCATCTCTTCCTCAAATTTCAGCTCTATTGCGCTCGATCTACTCTGAACCCCCATAGTAACAGTTGTCATGAAGTGGCTTGTATTTTTACTGAACCATCTCCTATTTGTAAAGGACACTGTTAATGGTCCTCCTGGATCCCCTGGATCCCTCTGCTGGGCTCCCATTCCCTGGCTTCCCTGTGAGTAGAAGAACTTCCACTCTGCTTTGAAAGTGCCCAGTGGCCGATACTTAACTTCTATTTGAAAGATTGTCCTCAGGCTGCTGGAGCTGTCTCCACACATGCAGAGACCTGGAGACCCCAGGATTTTATATTCACCTGGAGGAGCTTGCAGCCAATGGCTGAGGCATGTGGGAGTTTGAACACTCAGCTTCCTCGCCCCGGGTTGAAGAAATTCGAAGACATAATTTGCACTCCAGAACTACCCTGCAGCATTGGGCTTGGGCTGCCCTCCTGTCTTAGTCTAAACTTATATCCTTGCCTGGCTCCTTCTCTTTCTTGTTCTGCTCACTCTCATTCCCTTGCCACTTTCTCCTGGGAGGATTTTCTTAATAAATCCCTTACATACAAATTTTCATCTCAGGTTCAGTTTAGGGGAACTCAAACAAAGATAGTTGGTACTGGGAATAGTGCTTGGAAACCGACTTTGAGGATGGGATTCTAGAGTTAGATCACTCACAGGCCAGATGGTAGCAGGTCCTTTTCACTGGTGGTAAGTGGAGTATTGATCATCTCTGGTATATTGTAGGTAGTGTGCCGTTGCAATTCTTAGGAGTTTCATGAGTGATGGGTTTAGACGAGATATAGATTAAGAGGCTGCATTGACTTTTGTGATATCTCTGTTATTTGAGAGAGATGGGGGAAATGGTCACTTTAAGGATGGGGAATTAGTTGTGGCTGAGTAATACTAACAGATTGCAGAGAGGTCAGCCAAATACAAAGTTAAGGCAGTGAGAGAAAGCTACAAGGTCTCCACAGAGCATATAAAAGACCCTCATCTTTGGCTGCCAAAGAGAAGACTATCCTAATCTCTAAGACCAGGACCCTAAAGAGAACCAGAACCTCAAAATTGTCCAAATTTTCACCCTTCAGTCTACACCAGTGTTAGAGAAGGAAGGGAACCCTAAAACTTGGGGTGAAGATACATGCATTCTAGAACACTGGGCCCCTGTATCCCCGGAACTTTCTGTGCCTGCAGAACACTCACTTCTTTCTTTCTTGCAACCCTCTTTGCCTGAAGACTATCTAGGTCTCAGTTGAGGCATATGGCTTGCAGAAATATGCTTGCCCAACCCAAGATCTGCCTTAACGTTCCCCCATGACCATGAGAGCAACATCTAGTGTCAAAATTGTCTAATGACATGACTGGGGAAGTAGTATCCGGCTAAGGGGGAGAAGAGATTATTCACATGAAGAGTTGCAGGACTGGCTAAAATATACTGTGAGAAAGTGGTAGTACGTGATTGAAATGGACCTCGACGGATCTGCGTGCATGAGTGGGTGTGTGCGTGGAGGGGACGGATATCAAACTGTATATCGTATAAGGCAGCCTTTGTTGATAGGAATCCTTAACTCAGCAACACCCTGGAAAGGACTCCTAGGCCAGTCCTATTGTGCTTGTGGGTTGACTCTAGAAAGTTTAGGAAAAAATGACAGCCTATAATAAGTGGGCTGCCAGAACTGCCTTGGCAGGATGTTGAGGAAAGGATCAAAAGAGTCTTAGAAATGAGCATGCTGCAATGAATCATTGTAAAACCTGAGAACCCTCCAGCCACCGCTGCTTCTTGGGAAGGCACAGAGGACATTCCTTCCACTGAGGAGGTAAGGAATGCACCAGTAGAGAGTGTCGGAACCACTGAGAAACTCTAGCAGGGCTGAGGAGAGGGGTTGCTATAAAATAATCGGGCCTCCTAGTATTATAGAGTTCATAGGATTGCAGAACACAGTGGCCAGGAGGCAGCATGTGCCCATCAGAGTCAAGGTGGCCATGATTACCATAACAGACAGCAGGAGCAGAAGCCACCATAGAACCTACCTTCAGTTATCTATGAAAATGGATAATAGACCACCCTCAGTTATCTACGAGGATAGATAATAGATCACCCTCAGTTATCTATGAGGATGGATAATAGACCACCCTCAGTTATCTATGAGGATAGATAAGAGACCACAGGGTTCCTACAGGCAAGACATGTGTGCAGCTGACAAGAGTATCACTTTACACAATCAAGAAATCAAGAGTGGATGAGCGGTAAGCTAATGCTAGTGACTCCATTGTAAGACAGGATCCCTCATCCAGTTTCCAAGTCTGAGCCAGTTCTCAGACCCAGAGCTTTTGGATGGAAGGAGAAACAGGGTAGCCTTGAAAAAGAACCCTGATCTCTGCCAGGTATGCAGTAGCAATTCCTGATGTTCTTCTCCAAGGGGACTTTCAGACACTGGTCTGAGTAACACACCACTTAGAAAAAAAACACTGCCACGTTTTTCAAGGCCTAATCAACAAGAGGTCTTATGGGATGGTGGCTCCAGGGAACCCAAAGTAACATCACAGCCACCTTTTGGAGGGAGTCAGGTGATATATGAAGTCCTGACTCAGAACTGTCATACGAATGGATCCATGAATCGTCATTTTTCTGGTTCCCAAATGCATAAGTAAGATGGACATTGTTAGCAGGCTGCAGTACCCTCACTAGTTTCTTGATCTGAAGAGTAAGGGGTACCATGATTGGAAAGGCTAAACAGAAACCCCTTCACTCTCCTTGGCCCCAGCCAAGATAGCGTGGGAGAAAACTGACCTCAGCCTGGGTGGAATGGCTAAGTATTGCCCGTCTCAAAGACTTAACTGATGCAATGTGGTGTTCTCTGTTACATCTACAGTACTGAGTTCATCAATCTGGCCAGTAAAAAAACCTGATGGATCCTATGGGATCAACGTGGACTACCACAAACTTAACCAAATGGCAACTCCAGTCTCAGACTCTGTGGTAGATGTGGTATCCTTGCTGGACTCTGGTTTGTGGTATGGCTATGGAGTTAGTGAATGCATTCTTTTCTATACCCATCATGAAGGAGGGCCAGAATCTGCTTGTATTCACTGGGAAGGGTGGGCAGTTTGCACCCACAGCCCTGCTCCATGGTTGTGTTATCTCCATCACAATACAGCCTGAAGGGGCTGGACCCTCTGGGCATTCCAGAGTATCCTGTTGGTCCATTACATTGATGACATGTTTATAGGACATGATTAGCAGAAAGTGGTGACCATCCTGGTTGTGCTTCATAGGGTAGGAGATAAACTCTACAAGGTTTGAGGGGCCTGGTATACTGGTGATTTTTCAGGGATCCAGAGATCTGGGGTGGGCCAGGCTGTTCACTCTTAGGTAAAAGACATGTTATGACATCTTGGACCTTCTTCCATTAAGAAAGAAGATGGACTTGTAGGCATATTAAGGTTTTGAAGACAGCACATGTCATATTTGGAAATACTCTATTGGCCCATTTATCAAACGACTTGCAAAATGACCATTTCAAGTGGGCTTAGAGCAACAGAGGCTCTGTAGAAGGTCCGAACTGCAGTGCACACAACACTGCCTCTTGGGCCGTATAAGTCATCCTATTCCATGCTGCTGGATGTACCTGCCATAGATGTAAATATCATGTGGAATCACTAGCTGGGCCCAATATGAGGGTTGCAGTGCACATTTCTGGAGTTCTGGATCGAAGCCAGGCCCCCTGCAGCAGAGGGACATGTGGAAAGCATCTCTTGGCTTGGTCCTGGGCCTTGGTGGAGACTGAGCGTCTGGCCATAGGCATCACATGACCACTCAGGCAGAGTTGTTCATCAAGAGCTGGCTGTTTTTAGACTCACCAAATCATAAGATTGGACAAGCATGGCAACAATTTTCATGGGAGCAAATAGATATGCCCCAATGCATGGAGATGATGAATGTAAGTTATAGTCTTAGACCAATGGCTGCAATGGGAGCTATAGGTCATCCCACTAACCTTCTCCTTGTCAATTTCCCCCAGACATTGTGACTAACAACCACCTTGAAGATGTCATGACAGTATAAAGCAAACGTAATGTGAGTGGATTTAAGCAAAGCAAGGGGTGAAGTGAAATGAATATTGTCAGTGCTTCTCCCATATTCCCTAGAATCCCCACCTGATGACTTTCCCCTTGCCCCCACCCCAACATCTGGATGGTTTGCCTTTGATGACTGCTACCTGCAATGCTTCTTTGAAAGATGGCCTTTGGGCTACTGGAGTCACTTTTATTACATGTGCAGAGAGCTGGAATTACCTAGGAGTTTCTGTTCCCTTGATGCAGACCTTAGCCAATGACTGAGAAGTTCAAGAGTACAGAAACTCAGCTCCAATGTTTCAGATCAAGACAACTCCTAGGTATACTTCACACTTCTGAATTATCCTGAAGGACCAGGCTGGAACACTTGCTGTAGGATTTTGCCTGAAATTACATCCCTGTTTGGCCTTCCCCCTTCCCCACCTTGATTCCTTCTTTTTTTCATTATTTTCTCCAGGGAACACTTTCTTAATAAATAAGTCATTGCACGTGAAGTCTTATCTCAAGTTCTGCTTTCGGTAAAACTGAGCTATGACACTGTCTCTTCTTCTTAACCAGGATTTAAGATTCTAGAGGGCTGAGATGGTTTCTTACAAATTCTTGAGTTTTCAATCATTGTGTGCAGTACAAGGCATGGATGTCATAGACAACCATTTGAGTCTCAACAAAATCCTTGAATCACTGTAACAAACTTTAAACAATTATATATTTATATATAATTTACAGGAAATGAAATATTTGCTTACTAAATTGAGATGTGATTTGCCTTTTTTTTTTTTGCAGAATGATGGGAAGCTATTCATTTTTGAAATCTTCATTTTATTTTGACATCTTCCAGCATGATTCAGATACTACTCATTACAAAGGGTCCATCACTTTCTCATCAAGGTGAGGAATGACACAAAAGAAATGCCTCATGGCAATAAAAATTTATTTTTAAAGTAAAGTTTGATTTTCTAAGATCTCACCGCATACAAATGAATTTCCCTTTCCACTTGGCTATCACAATATTCACAGAAAATTACAATAAGATGAATCATTCACATCAGTCAGAAATTCATGATTTTAAGATCTCATACAATGCCTCTGATAAGATAATGTGTAAGGAAAGAACATAATTGAAGTAGCAGACAAGGTTCTCCCTTTGATAAAGATGACAAAACCCTCCCATCAAAAATATGGGAAACTTCATTACCCATTCTCATTCCAAACGTTTTTAAAAGATATATTCTTGACTTACTTTGGTAATATGATATATGTGTGTGATGGAAGAGAAGTTGATCTTCTGAAAAATAACAGTTTCAGAAAGTAATGTGAACAGCAAATGGGGCAATGAACTGAAATACATTGGGAGGAAAGATGCTCTCCTAAGTGTGAGCAGAGCCAAATCCACGCCCTGTGGAAGGTAGGCAAATACTGAGAAATACGCAGTGAGCGAATCTTCACTGGCATTGCCACGACATTGTTCTGGCCTCTCACCTTGTGTTCATGCCATAGATTTGCACCTTCTGTCCCTACCTGAGGTTCGTCCTCACCCCTAAGTTCTGGTCAGTGAATTGGGAGCAGAATGCTGTGTGTCACTTTTGGGTTGGAGCATTTGGTGGCCTGTGGGAGACCCCCTAGAGCTCTCTTTCCCTCTGCCATGGCAGCTGGAAATGTGGGAGATTGTGGCAACATTGTCAACCTGGAACCCAAAGCAGGGACCATGCTGAGCTCAGCGCCACCTTTAGCTAAAGTGAGGATACAGTGGGAATAAGAAAAAAAGTGTTGAGATGTGGGTCAAAGGTTCCAAGTTTCAGTTAGAAGAGAGGAATAAATTTTAGTGGTCTATTGCACAGCATGGTGACCATAGTTTATAGTAGTTTATTATCTATTTTAAAATTGCTAAAATAGTAGATTTAAAATATTCTCATCAGGAAGAAAATTAAAAGTGGGTGAGGTGATAGGTATAATTAGCTTGATTTAATCTTTCAACAACGTAGACATATTCCCAAACATAACATTGTACTGCATAAATGTGTACAATTAATCTGTGTCAATTGAAAACTTACATTTTTAAAAAAAGAAAAAAATATTTGTAATGTTAAGCTACTGAGATAATCAGATTTTTTTTCACGGAATACCAGCCCATCTTGCCTAATCTGGAAGGTAATGTTTACCTTCCCCTTGATTTCCTACCATTCTTCCCTAACTCCCTCCCCTTCTACAGTTCTTCCAGTCAGTCCCCCAGGCTCCCAGGAGTTCTGTCTCTCATTCCTCCAAACAAAACTTATTGAGAAATTAATTTATACTAGGGCATAATGAAGCTTAATTTATTGTATCTTTCTGTGGTATTTTTGTAAGTAAGGACAAAATTTAAGGCAAATAAATACATAATGGGTAAACAGATAGAAGACAGACAAACACATTGTAGGGAAAAGAAGCTCTGGCATTGTGAAATTATCTGCACAAGTCTTCCATCACTGGTCTGCTGTAAGCATTAGCAGAGCATTAGGATTCAAACATAGACTCTGGTACTAGGCAGAACTGGGTAGAAATGCTCTTACTGTCATTAGTTTTGTGACATTAGCAAAGTCATATTAATACGTAAGCCTTAGTTCCACATCTGTGAAATGGACAAATGCATATGACTTGGGGTTTATATGAAGATTTAGTGGAAGTAATGTACATGTTCTTTGCTGAGTGTCTAATAGTTATAAATAAATCTTTTTATTATCGCTCTCCCTATTACCTAACAATCTCTTTCACTCCATTGTATGATCAAAAACGTAAAGGGTATTATCATTGATATTTTTATTCATGATCACTTTGGAAATTCCCCTTACTTTTCATGGTTAGTTGCCATGTGTACTGAGTGCTGTCAGATCTTTAATTTCTCAGAGCTATTCCTCTCCTGTCTAAATGAGGAAAATCAGTCTCATTTTTAAAAAATCCATAGCCTATATGTCTTATAGATATATTTTAATTCTTTTTTTCTCCATAGAAGGCTAAAGGCTTAGCCCATATATTCCTTGGCATTTTCCAGCAATCAAGTGGATCATGCAGTTTCCCTGGGTCACAAGACAGTTCATGACAGCGTTGCTCAGTTTTATACCATCCGCTAGCCAGATAATGAATTTACAGAAGAATCCAAGACAGAGGGAAGAAGGTTTTAATTTCACTCTAAATATACATATACATACACACACATATACACACATACATACATATATACACACAGATATATATATATACACACACATACATACATATACACACAAATATTTTGTACATAATATGGGGAAGAAAGCTATGGAAGAAAGGTATTAAAAGGAGAGTAGGAAGGAAAATGAAAGATAAACATTGCCTTCCATATCAGGCAAGATGGGCTGGTATTTTGTAGGAACAATCTCATATATATGTATACATAATATATACATATATAGTGTGTATATATATATATGCACACTATTCTACTATATATTATAGTGGAATATATATTATATGTAGTATACATGCTAGTATATATAGTGTGTATATATATAGCATATATAGTATATATACTAGTGTATATGGCCAAAGTGGCCAGCACTGACCAGAATGAGGTCATGGAGTCCAGTAAGTGAGAAGATCCAACAGGGAGGAGTGAAGGGCTGGCAGTTCTCAGACGATCAGAAAGTATACATGGTAATCTTTGGTAATGAGGACAATATGATCATTTGTTGCTTTTTAAAATAAATTTCATAGATATTTCAGGTTTTAAAAATTCCTCAAAAATGCACAGTAGTTCCACTTCATCTCTTTGGTACATCTTTCCAACATCCCATGGGCCCTCAACTCACTAAGTGAGGGCAGTTCATATATCTAAAAGTCTAACCCCCTAGGAAAATGTTTTCCATGCATATTGTGAAACTATGTCCATGAATTATTCTAAAAGAGAGTGATTAAATTAAATAAACACATTTTAAAGATATTACTTTTAAATGCCAAAAACTGCAATTAGTTTTGCACTAACCTATACTATATATATATATATGGATGGATATAGTAGAATCAGGTCTGACTTCCAAAGTGAGTTTAACTTATCTTTTGGATTAAGATTTTAACCATGATAATATATGGTGGAGGTTTTCAAAATTTTGAAAATGGGATTGTGAGTCAGAAAAATCCAGGTTTACGCTTCCTTACCGGTCATGTGACCTTGAATAGTTCAGTTTTATGAAAGTGAGTTTAATTTCTTTACATATTAAAAATGGGAGTAATAGCTGTCTTCTTAATGTTATAGCTTCTTCCTAGATATCAAATGACATATATATGTGGAATACTATACAAATGAGGCAACTGTTATCACGCTTATTATCTTGAGGGAGGTCTGTGTCATGTACAGAGTAAACAAGTGGATTGGCTGAGTGGGATTAAGAGCATGAGAATCTTAAGGCTAATAATTTCATTTTGGTTGGTTCAAGTCAGAACTTGAGTTAGTGTCTTTAAAATGTATTAGTTTAATCACTCCCTTTTAAAATAATTCATTGACACAGTTTCACAATTTGCATGGAAAACATTTTCCTAGGGGTTTAGACTTTTAGATATATGAATGCCCTTATCTATTGAGTTGAGGGCCCATGGATGTTGGAAAGGTGTACCCAAAAAATGAAATGGAACTACTGTGCATTTCTAAAGATTTTTTAAAAATTAAAATGCCGATGAAATTTATTTTAAAAAGCAACAAAAGAGTGTATTGTCCTCATTACTGAGGATTACCACATTCTAAAATGACTTTCCTTTTAGAAGAAAGGCTTTTCATTTCCCCCATCCCCCCTTTCTCTCCCCACACCCACCGTGAGTGTGTTTGTCTAGAATGTTGGCCAAGCCACAGTTTAAACCCGTAAGAGACTGTTCTTTTATTATGACTTAATTCAATACAGGCTTAACTAATCTAAAACTTTTTTGTTTTTCAGAGTAATCCTAATACATTTGCACTGGAGCCAAAACCTTCTACTGTGTTTTCAGCAGAATGCAAACGAATGGCACTGATCAAATCTCTTTAAACTGGGAGGGAGCCTGTGGTGGGAACACAGGCCCCTTAGTTGTAGTGACATTGATGATAGTGGGGGAAAGCTTGTCATTTGGCGACTAGTAAGAAAAGCAGAGGGTTTCTCAGTCATGGCTTCTTGCTTAGGACTGGATGGGGACTGAGGAGCATCACTCCAACAATGTATGACTGATGAGGACAAATTGAGAAACCGCGGCTTAGTGCCCATCCTCATGAGAGAAGGCAAAATATAGGCCACATGTCCCCCAAATTCCGGATGCTTGGAAGACAAGAGCCTACAGAAATGCCAAATGGATTCTTAGCATATTTTACAGCAGCTTTGAATAATGTTTTCCTTTTTCATTCCTAATGAATCTAAGCTTTCTTTAAATATATATATTTTTCCCTTCTGCATAAAATCTTTCTGAAAGGACTGATGGATGAGAATTCATAGGTAAGTTCTTTAAGTTCTTTTTTTTATTCTGAGTTTTCTTTCATTCCCCTGCATTTGGAGAGTCTTTCAAACTCCCAATTTTAATGGAAATAAAGTTTGGCAATTCGGGATTTTTCTGTTGCCCACAAGAATCCCCAAATGAGTGTTTGCTCTGTCAGACCCTGTACATCGCAGCAACCTCAAACATAAAAATGCACTATTTCCAAAGCTAATGTCCTTCAAGGTTCATTATGGTGGGTAAACTTTAGTGGTTCAAATGCTCATGATACACACTGTAGAAGAGTTTGCACATTTGAAATCATACTCCACCTCGCAACAGCAAACAGAAAATGCCAAAGGAATGTAAGATACAGAATGATCAAAATAATTTTCATATTATTCACTCCAGGAAAAATGGTTTCTTTGGTTAAAAAATGTAAATTGCTGGTCAGCTTAATCTTCTAAGATTGATGGCAAGTACAGCTGCCATATTGAGTCGGAAAAATAAACTTTGACTCAAACACAAATGTGGTTTTGCCAGCTCGTGTTTAGGGTAAGCCACAACTTTCAGTGTCTCTGGATAGACACAACCATACTCCTTTCCAACTATCTTACTCTGAATTCCTAATTCTTGCAGTTTATTTTCTCTTCATATGACTCAAGAAACACATTTAAAAAAATATAATCACAAAAAGGAGGCAGGAATGTTTAAGGAGGTTTTTATTTGTGTTTGTTTTGCTCAGTGTTTGTCCTTTTCCTGTTCCTGACAAACTGCTTTTAAATTTCTTAAACCAGGGCCTTCTCAAGGGCAAAAGCAGAGAGTTCTGGAAGACATGATGCTTTCTGTCTTTCATAAAAAGTCTGAACTTGGAACTGAGTACAGGGATCGTGAGATGGAAGTGATAGAAAGGAAGCCCCTTCAGATCCAGAGGGAATGAACTTGCGTGGCAGCCAGGCCCACCAGGGCAGTGCCGGGCACGTGGCAAGACCCGAAGACACAGAGGCTCCACTTGCTTAGGGAGGCTGGGCCCAGCCCTGCAAACAGCTCCTGGACCCTAGGTTCAACATGAGAGCCACAGAGAGCCTCTTAGGAGACCACACAAGGAGCACAGACCAAAGACCAGAGCTTCCCAGGTGGCACGCCCTGCTCAGGGACCCCTGCACTGCTCCAGTCCTGGGTGGGTGAGGTGAGAGCTTCCCAGGTGGCACGCCCTGCTTGAGGGTCTCTGCACTGCTCCAGTCCTGGGTAGGTGAGGGGGGGACACCCTGGGATGGCTGAAGATGGGTAAATGCGCTGTTGGCTCCTCTCAGAGTCTTGTGTAATTTGGCATTAGGAGAACAAAGGTTTGGACATTTCTTAAGCATCCTATTATTTAATAGAAAAGTATGCATATTATTAAAGAAGTGAAAAAACAAAACACTTGAAAAGCTCTTGAAAGTTAATGAATGATTAAAATCACCCCTAACTTCACTACTTAGTGATTGTTAACGTTAAGGTGTATATCTTCCTAGCTTATTTTTCTACGTATAAATATATGAATATATGTATATATTTCTTAATAAGTAAGATTTTACTTGGTACATAATTCGGAATCATCTTCTCACATAATATGTAACAGGAACTTTTAAAGTCATTATTAAAAAGAGGTACCATTAATGGATAAATGCTATTCCATCATATGGGTTTAATCTACTTTCTGTCACACTTTCTTTGGCTGATATTACAGCTATGTGGGATGACCTCCAATAAGCTGTGTCCATCCTGTGGTGGGATGGGCCAGACAGAGTCCAGTTCCACCAGGGACCAAGCACATCACTGGATGTCAAGGCCATCGTTGTTGGAGAGGAGGAAGGAGCTGCTGGAGTTCCCTCTCCTGGCATTCCTCTTGGCCTTCCATAGACCAATATTTGAGCAATACCAATGGGATAGAGCCCAGGTAGCGGTGCTTCCTCCTATAGCTCTATGAGACTCAGACAGTAGAGTAGAATATAAGTCAGTCCGAATTATTATTTTCCCTACCTTTCTCTGGCTCCCTTCCATCACCCTTGAGGGTTTTTGCACAAAAGTGGTTATGCACAGTGGAAATGGCAGCAGTGGGCTCAGCACCACACTGTGGATGAGGTCCCCCCATCTAGCAGCTGCTCCCCACTAGGGCACAGTCCCTGGTCAAGGTGATGATGATGCCTGGAGGAACCTCAGTACTCAAGGGAGTCATGCTGGGACAACCCTCATTCCTGGAAATACCTTGAGGAAGGACAAAGAGAAGAGGAATAAATGAGGATATGCACCAATAATTGATTGGTGTGTTCACAAGCCAATGGCAGATGCTCCTCATGGATGCCCCCAGTAACAGGCCCTCTTAGGCACTGGATTCTGCACTAGTGAATGAGGACGCAGGAGAGATAGAACTCTGAAATGAGCAGCTTTGCATGACATTTGATTCTTGCATGGAGATTCTTAGGAGGAAGATTATTAGGTCCTAAGATCATGAACACATTTAAAGCTCTTGCACCATCTTACTGATTTGCAGAAAGAAACCAACTCACATCTTTTCAGAATTTTGAGAGATTTAAATTTCACTACATCCTTGCTAGCATTGGCAGCTAGACAGAAGGGACAAAAATGAAAAGGAGCTTCTAAGGATGAAGCTATCAGATAGGAGAATGAGAACAAACTTGAGCTGAAGTTCTGTGGAGTGGTTTGTGGCAAAGCCAGGACAAACCTCGTTCAGGAGATGGGCGTGGCGATGGCTCACTGGGTGGCACTGGCCTATTTTGGGATGGACACCTTGGTGGCACGGGCAGTTGAGAGAGGAGGAGGTAAAAAAGCTAACCTGTCACGGAAAACATGCACTCAGGCCATCATTCACACTGGAATGCAATTTTTAAATTATAAGGTCAGACACTTACTGCAGTTGAAATACTTTGTACACATAGAGTAAAATTTCCAAAGCTGAACATCAAATTAAGGCAGATCTGACTTTACTACATATAATTGCTTCCCAGGGCTGCCATAACAATGCGTCACAACCTGGGTGCCTTAAAACAACAGAAATGTGTCCTTACAGTTTTGGAGGCTGAGAGTCTAAAACCAAGGCGCCATCAGGGGTGTGCTCCTCCCATGGCTCTAGGGAACACTTTTGCCTCTCACTCAGCTCCTGGTGGCTCCCAGCAATCCTCCGCACTCTTGGCCTGTGGCTGCATCCTCCCAACCTCTGGCTCTGCCATCACCTGACTGTCTTCTCTCTGTGTCTGTGTGTCTTTCTCTTTGAATAAGGCCCACCCTACTCCAGCACAACTTCCTCTTACCTTGATTTCACTGCAGCGACCCTATTTCCAAATAAGATCACATTCGCAAGTACCCCAGGTTAGCGTTTCAGCATATTTTGGGGGAGAGGAACATATTTTGACCCACTAAGGCTAATATGTATTCATTTCTTTCATTTATAGAGTACTTTCACATTTGTCTGTGTTAGTGTGAAGTCTTTGTAGGCAGAGTCTCCTTTTAAAATGTTATGCTTGCATTTTGTTTAGGAGCGCATACTGCATGTGCACGAGAAATCTCATCATGGGAAGCCCCACAGTCAATGATTTGGTGGGCTTTTTTTTTGTCATGAATAGCATTTGTGTGCGTTCTATTCCCAACTCTCTCTGTAGAAAGTCTTGCAAGGGATAAAGAGTATCTCTGTGTGTCTTGCTGTGTACCACACTCAGCAGAATGCTTCGTGCACCTGGGCTTTTATTATAAATGTTTAACACAATGATGATAAAAACTAGTTCTAACAAGGCATGTAATTATCTCTCCCTCATCTTCACCCCATTTATTCAGCACTTTGAGCTGCAGGCATGTTTCTTATGTTTCTGTTGATTTAAACTTTCTTTGCCTTTCTGCATTTTACCATCTTGGTTCTTACTATTTTCTCCAAGTCTGGCAATGTGTCACATCCAAATTCATATTGTGCGATGGACACTTTATCTCATTTACATAACTGACTGCTGTCTTTACCAGCAATTCCATCATGAGCTTTATTTGAGTAAGGGGTTGGGAGATAAGTTCAAATTGGACTCCCAGCCCCGAATCCCAAGTGGGCATCTGTACTGACCTGCGACTGGGTCACAGAACATAGGCCTTAGTTGCTTTCAGCTTGTAATGACCGAGCTGCCTTACAATTCTGTTTTCTCCTTTGTCTGTTTGGACAGAGTGTCTTGTGCAGAACAGAGCATGACAAATTGTTTTTTTACTATAAATGCAAGGAGATGATCCTCCATGCTTCTCTCTTCCTTTTTCTCAATAAGCGGTATTTTTCAGTGTTTATTGCATGCGTTTTTCACTAAATTCTGGTAGAGTGCCTTTTGACTTTTCACTGCCACTTCAGCAGGGATCTGCATTTGGCTTTGGGAGTGGTGTTCTCCTACCTCTGTCTTCCACTTCCTCCCTCCTCTCTCCTCTCCATATGATTTCACTTGCAAATGTTCACCGATATGCTAACTGCAGTGGAGCTCTGAAAAAGCGTAAGGCTGGTTTACTGTGCTGATCCTGAGACAATCTAACAGCTTGCTTATGCATCTATTTGGCTTGGATGGAAAATTAGAACAGCTTTAATCTGCTACCAGCATCAAGCAGGGAAGCACTCCCTGGAGTGAGGAGTTGGGAGCATCACAGCGGGCTCTGATGAAGGCGGCTGCTATGGTGTCAATCCAGGCAGCAGAGCTCCAGTAGCAAGGAGGGTGCTGGCTTGTTTTAAAGAAAGCATATTATATTTGAGGGGGGTGGAGGTGGGGGGAAATAATCATTATACTGAACTTTTCCAGAGCTGAGTAGCTGCATCATGGAAAAATACAAACAGGGATTGCTTTTTTTTGTTTTTGTTTTTGTTTTTCCTGGGTGCCCACATCAGTGGGGATAATGGAACTGAGGTCTTTAAAAACGGACACGTAGTGCAGTTCGGTCAGATGAGCATTTTAGATTTTAGTAATTAGTAGTTAGGGCTTGATGAAGTGTAGGAGGTAGGAGGGAAGCAAGTCTATTTTAGGAGATTAGAGTGATAAGGCCTTTGCATGTTTTTATCAGTTCATGTAGAATTTGACATATGGTAAACAGGAAAAGATAGTATTTAAAACTCCCATAAATACACAGGGTGGAAAAAAAAAAAAAACCAAAGTAGAGAAAGGAATGCCTGCCAGCAGCACTCCCCCTTGGCTTCAATAGTAGGGTAGCAGGAAAGGGCTACATATCATTGTGCGAACCGGATCCGGCAATACAGAAAGTCAGCAACTGAGGATCCTAGATGGCACGTTAATTAATTCCAGCCAGTTGTGCCCAAGTTCACCAGGCTCCATTTGGCATCGCCCACTGGTCTCTATATTTGGAATCATGAACTTCGATAATACTCCCCACTCTCAGGGAAGCCAAATTCTAGGTTGACTTGATTTGTCACATTCCTTTGTTTTATAGCTTTCTGTCAAAACCCCCCAAATTAATGCAATGCTATGTTGACTGTTTTGTTTCTTAATGCAATGAAACTGTCTTGAAATTACAGTTGGATAGAGTTTTTTAGAAATTTGCATTGACATCATAATCAGATCATAATGAAACTGTGGTGGAGTCTCATAGCTTTGCATGGACGTATCTATTGTCAAGGTATGGTATTAAAAGTCTTTTATGTGATTTTTAATGTGATTTTTTTACTGAATTATTTTTTAAAGTGTCAAGGCACACATAGGCATCATAAACAAATGACATCAGCTTCTGTTGCCTAAAAAAAATCTAGTTAGATATTGGGTGAGCCTAACTCAGGCTTATTGTGAGGCCAAAAATGATATTTGATGAGAAAGTGCTTTGGAAAGTTAAAAGTATTCAGAAAATATTAAACCCAGAACAAAGTATTTTTGGTAAGTGAGTAATAATGGCAGTGTAAAATAGTTCATTTTGACTGGAGCTAATTCAGTATTACAGGAAATTCTCACTATATATCTTCCAAGTAAAAGTTTCCATCTTTCTTTGAGACAGGAAATTGTACCACAATGAAATATGGAAAAGAAAAGATTTTATTTTTAGTATAACCAAATCATGTTAAAGTACTGTACTAAAATTCAACAATGTCTTTATATATGTGTGTATATGAAAATACCTCTACTAAATAGCGGGTAAAAACAAACACATACTCACTATTTCTTTACCTAATATAATTGTAGCCAGCAGGATCTTTTGTTATTAGTTTCATTTTCCTTTTCCTCTTTTGGAAGGCATTAGCCGCATTTTCTTTGGTGAAAATGGAAAAGAACCTTCCAGTAGATTATGCCGTGGGTCTAATGTTGTTTCTGGAGCAGACACTGGCTGGCGACCCTATCTGCTGCCACCCTTGGGCCTGATGGTGGCTGATGAGTGGCTAATGACGCCTGTAGGCGTGTGGAGCTCTGCCTTGGATCACAGGACCAGGTGGGGGCGTGCTAGAGAATTCCACGGGGCCTCATCCTCTGTACGTGTCTCACGCGTGCTCCAGCTGTGGCCGTTTCCCCAGAGAGTCACATCTCAGGTGAAATAGGGGAGGGGGGGAACACGCGGCTTTCCTCGTCTAACTTCCAAATGTTCTATATCATTATAATCACGTGAGTTATCTACGTCATCTAAGTTGGCCATCACAGCGTGTAAGAATTAGTTTCTATTTTCTTAAGATAAACAAATGATTTGGATCCTGAGTGATCAAAAGAAATCCCCAGTAATTCTGAAGGCCGCGTAAACAGCGAACGAAAGGAGAGAGGGAAAATGATCCCGGCCGCCTGGAAGCGAGAGGCAGCCACAGACACACTGTTCCGGAAACCGCAGGATGTAACTGGGGAGTCCTGGAGAGTGACTAGAACCGGAAAGGGGGCAGACGCTTTGAGGGAGGCAGGCGGGGGAACAAACGGGCTGCAGCCAGCAGGCTGGGCCGAGGTTCCGGGGGACATTTGTCCCGGGTGTTGAAGCAAGCTGGCTCCTGGCCGCTTACCTAGTATCCTGTGAACTCTCACATGGCATCGTCAGGAACGAAGCGCAGCCATTCAGTCAAAGCGGCCGGCTGGAGAGGCAACAAGCAGGTGCAGCTGTAGCCGTAACAAAGACCCTCAAGCTTTGAATGATTTGCTGGGCTATAGAAATGTATATCACAATAGGCTTGTAATCTCAGCACTTTGGGAGGCCGAGGCGGGTGGATCACCTGAGGTCAGGAGTTTGAGACCAGCCTGGGCAACATGGCGAAACCCTATCTCTAGTAAAAATACAAAAATTAGCCGGACGTGGTGGTGGGTGCCCGCAGTCCCAGCTACTAGGGAGGCTAAGGAAAGCGAATTGCTTGAATTCCGGAGGCAAAGATTGCAGTGAGCTGAGATCACCCCACTGCACTCCAGCCTGGGCCACAGAGCGAGACTCCATCTCAAAAAAAAAAAGAAAGAAAGAAAAAGAAAAGAAATATATATCAAAATAGGGAGATGAGTTGATTTAATTTAGGGTAAGTAGGTAGAAGTTTTATTTGACAATTATTTAACAATAATAATAGCGATAGGGTTATTGTCAATAACCCAATTATTATTGTCAAATAATTGTTTTTATTTGACAATAATTGTCAAATAATACTTAATTTTAAAATACTTTTAATTATGGCATTGTCAAATAATACTTAATTTATAATGGACAACAGTTTTTTGCCTCCAAATTAGATGAATTGATCAGCATTGATATTTTAAGTTATAAATTAAAATCTCAGGTCATAGCTACATGACACCCAGCAACTGGTTAGTTCAACACATTCACATTGATACGATATTACAAACAATTAGTCTAGCAATTTATTGTGGCCTAACTAGTTTGTCAGCTGTTTTGAAAAGCACCGTTTTTGTTTTGGAAATCAATTAATTGATTCAAAACACTTAAAGCGGTTGTTATCTCCCCTCTCATAAGGAAATTTGCATTCCCTCAAATTAGCAACATTGAATTACTCACAACAGTCCTATGAGGTATATGGCCAAACACAGATACTGGAGCATTCATTAATTTAATAAGCAACCTCATATTGAGAGTTCGTCGTATGAGGCACTGAGATAAGCCCTGGATAATTTTCAGGCATGTATGCTTATACTATCATTTCTAAAACTAATATTCACTTGGCAACTATGCTACTGATCTTGTCCTTCTAAACTTAATTCTGTGGCATTGTCAAATAAAACCATATAATTGGAAAAAGTAGCCTATCCAACTACACATAAAATTATATTGAAGTCACAGCCTGTGCAACTTGTTTCCCAAGGACCTAGTCTTCATTAATTGTTCTGTTAAAAAGAATAAACAAAATCTACTGATTCCTTGATACAATCTTTAAAGTGTCTGTATATTTGATTATATTTCTGATTATTAATATATTTAAAGCTAATCAAAATAGAAAGAATTGTGTAAAAAACTCCATGTTTATCTATCATTTATCTTCAACAATTATCAAGTTGTGATCCAACTCATTTCATCCATATCTTCTACCTACTTCCCCACTCCAGATTTTTTTAAACTTGTAGAGGAATTATAACATTCACTGTTTACTATCATCTACAACGTTTTTGTGCTAAAATATCTATAACAAAAATTTCTATTAGTGACATACACGATGTTTTGCAACAATCTCGGCTATCTAGTTCCAATACTTTTCATTTCGCTAAAAGGAAGCTCTGCAAGCATTAAGCAATCGCTTCCCATTCCTGCCTCCCTCAGGCCCTGGGAATCACAGATATGCTTTATCTCTATGAATTGGCCGCCTCTGGATATTTCATGTGGATGGAATCATACCACATACAGCCTTTTGTGTCTGGCTTCTTTCACTTAGCATAATGTTTTGAAGGTTCATCCATACTGCAGCATGTATCAGAATTTCCATCCTTTTCATAGCTTAAGAATAGTTCAGGCCGGGCGTGGTGGCTCACGCCTGTAATCCCAGCACTTTGGGAGGCCGAGGCGGGCGGATCACGAGGTCAGGAGATCGAGACCATCCCGGCTAAAACGGTGAAACCCCGTCTCTACTAAAAATACAAAAAATTAGCCAGGCGTAGTGGCGGGCGCCTGTAGTCCCAGCTACTTGGGAGGCTGAGGCAGGAGAATGGCGTGAACCCGGGAAGCGGAGCTTGCAGTGAGCCGAGATCCCGCCACTGCACTCCAGCCTGGGCGACAGAGCGAGACTCCGTCTCAAAAAAAAAAAAAAAAAAAAAAAAAAAGAATAGTTCACTGTACTGTGTTTCATATTTTGTTTATTCATCAGCTGATGGACATTTGGGATGCTTTGAGTTTTTTACTCTTGTGATGAGTGCTGCTGTGACATTTGTGTAGAGACTTTAGTTTGAACACCTGTTTTCAATTATTAAGGTATATACATAAGAGTGAAACTATTGAGTCGTATGGTAATTCTATGTTTAACTTACTGAGGAACTGCCACACGTTTTTCAACAGTGGCTGCACCATTTTACATTTCCATCAGCAATGGACAAATGTTTCAGCTTCTCCACATCCTCACCAACATTCATTTTGCATTATTTTCTGTTATTTTAGCTATCCCAGTGTGCGTAAAGTGGTATCTCATTGTGGTTTTGGTTTACATTTTCTGATGGCTGATGATATTAAATCTCTTATGTCATTATTGATCATTTCTATATTTTCTTTAGAGACTTGTCTTTTTATTATTGAATTATTAGAGCTTTTTTGTATATTCTGGATACCCTTGATCAGCATTGATATTTCAGTTATAAGTTGATATCAGGATTTGCAAATGTTTTCTCCCATTCTATCAATTGTGCTTTCACTCTCTTGGTGTGTCTTTTAAAGCACAGAAGAAGGTATGTGCTTTTAATTTTGATTAAGTCCAATTTATTTATCATTTCTTAAAATACTGGCGTTTTTGGTGCAATGTCTAAGAAACCATTGCTTAATACAAGGTCAGGAAGATTTATGCCTGTTTTTTTCTAAAAGTTGTATAGTTTTAGCTCTTACAATAAGGTCTTTGATCCATTTTGGTGTCAATTTTTGTTATATATTATGAAGCAGGGATCCAAACTAATTCTTTTGCATGTGGATATCTAGCTCTTCCAGCACAATGTGTTGAAAAGGCTATTCTTTCCCCTTTGCACAGTCTTGTCACCATTGTTAAAAATCAATTGACTATAGGTGTATTTTTTTTTCTGGATTCTTAATTCTATTCCATTGATCTAATCCTTTTGGGGTGAACATAGATATAAACATGTATTTTCTTAACAAAATGTATCATGAGCTCTTATTAATACTTCCAATTTAAGTTCAGGACTACAGTGTTCTCACTCAATCTCACAGGCAGCATGTATACCTCTTTTAGCCTATGCTGACAATTCCAGTTCTTAATGACAGCAACACAATTACTTACTTGCTTTATCTGACATACACGTACAAAAGTTTCAGAATAACAATGCAAAGCTTACCACCAAGAATATAATAACTAAAAAAGTTATTGAAATATATTTTCACTAAGAACCCTAGGTTGACACTTTTAACCTTCAGTATTTTGAAGATGCTATTCCACTGTCTTCCAGCTTGCATTGTTTTCAGTGAGAAATCTGCTGTCATCTTTATTTTTGTTCTTATTTATGTAATGCGACATTTCTATCTGTCTCATTTGAAAACTTTATCCCTGGTTTTAAGTAATTTGATGATGATGTGCTCTGATGTAGTAGCTTGGGCTTTCTCTGATTCTTGGGTCTATAGGTTTATAGTGTGTATCAAATTTGGAAAATTTTCGTCCATTATTTTTTCAAATATATTTTCTTCACTCCTCACCATCTCTTTGGGAACTAAAATTACACAAATCGTAGGCCACTTGAGGTTGTCTCACAGCTCACAACTCTTTCCTTGTTTTTAAATTATTTTTTCTCTGTGTTTCATTTTAGATAGTTTCTATTACTATGTCTTCAAGTTCACTAATCTTTTCTTCTTCATGTGATATATTGTTAAACCTATTCAGTGTACTTTTAAATCTCAGGTAATATGTTTTCATCTCTAGCAGTTTAATTTACATCTTTTTTACATCATTCATGTTTCAACTTCAGATGTTTGATTTTTCCTGTAATATTCTGAGCACATGGGATAAAATTTTAATTATTGTTTTAATGTTCTTATCTACTGACTCTATCATCTGAATCATTTCTGGATTAGTTTTTCTTGATTGGCTTTCTCCTAATTGTGGGCTGTGTATTTATTATTCTCTGCACACCTGGGAACTTTTTATTGGATGCCTTTCATTGTGATTTTTTTTTTTCATCTTTGGCTACTGGGTATTTCTTTATTCCAAAAAAAATCAGGAGCTTTATTCTGGGAAGTGGTTAAGCTACTGGGGTTACTTTTATCTTTATGAATCTTGCTTTTAAGCTCTGATTAGGAGGACTAGAGTAGTGTAGTGTTTAATCTAGGGCCAGTTTTGCCTTACTACTGAGGCAAACCCTTTTAACTACTCTCCCCAATGTCAATGAATTAAGAGATTTCTTCTTAGGCTGACAGGAACAAGCACTACTCTCAGCTCTGTGTGAGCCCTTAGGCTTATTCCCTCTTATTCTATTGATTTCCCCCTCAGTTTTGGAAAGTTTCCTCACATGCATGCATTGATCATCACTTAGCTGAATGCTCAAGAGGACTTTTCTGCTGCATACTTGCAGGGCGCCCTCAGATCTGTAGTGCTCTCACTCTGCGACCTTGTTCTCTCTGCTCTGCTCCTCTGCCTGCAAACTCTAGCTGCTTTGGCTTCTGTGATAGGCTAAATAATGGCCACACTCTCCTCTACCATGCAAAAATGTCCACATCCTAAACCCGGGAACCTGTAAATATGTTACCTTAAATGACAAAAAAAGCACTCTGTAAATGTGACTAAATTAAGGCTCTTAAGATGAGGAGATTATCCTGGATTCTCCAGGTGAGCCCAATATAATACTATGGGTCCTTGTAAGAGGGAGAGAGGCTGGAGAGTCAGAGACAGAGAAAGGGATTAGAAGGTGTTATGCTGCTGGTTTACAAGATGGAGGAAGGGGCCAAAAGACAAAGAATGCAGGAACCCTCTAGAAGCTGCAAAGGACAGGAAAACAGGTGCTTCCTTCAAGTCCCTGGGAGGAACACAGGCTTGCTGATACATTTTAGACTTCTGACTTCCAGAATTGTAGCTTATAAATTTGTTTTATTTTAAGGCAGTAAATTTATGGTAATTTGTTACCACAACATTAGGAAACTAATACAGTCTCTTTGAGCTCCCTGGCTTATCACCTCAGTACACAAAGACTTATGGGTGCCCCCTTTCCTCCCTTGCCTTGAATGACTGCCTGAAGACTCTCCCCAGGCAGCAAGCTGGGCAACTGTAGGGCCCGTCACTTGGTTTCCCATTTCACAGAGGTTGGTCTCCTTTGCTACCAGATGATGTCCAGTGTTTTCAGAATAATCAATTTCTAAATTGTGTCCAGTTTTTTTCAGTTGTTTCAGATGGGAGGGAAAATTCAGTCCCTGTCACTCCATCATGGCCATAAAAGGGAAGCCACCTGTAATAGCCACACAGAAAAGGCGTGGCTGTATTAGTCCATTTTCACACTGCTATAAAGAACTGCCAGAGACTGGGTAATTTATAAAGGAAAGAGGTTTAATTGGCTCACAGTTTCTCAAGGCTGGGGAGGCCTTAGGACACTTACAATTGTGGTGGAAGGTGAAGGAGAAGCCAGTACCTTCTTCACAAGGCAGCAGGAAAGAGAGGGGCAGGGGAAATGGCCCCTTATAAAACTAACAGATCTCGTGAGAACTCACTCACTGTCACAAGAACAGCATGGGGGAAACCAACCTCATGATCCAATCAACTCCCACCAGTTCCCTCCCTTGAAACATGGGGATTACAGTTTGAGATGAGATTTGAGTGGGGACACAAAGCCAAACTGTATCAGTCCCTATGCCACAAATTTGATACACAGTGAGATACACATTGACATGTCACTTTATAATGTTCGTGATTTTTAAATTGAATTTAACTTTCCTGTGTTGTTAAATATTTTTAAAGTTATTTAATTTTCTAGCTTAGCTTTCCTTGTTCAAGGTAAGATCTCTGAATGCAAGAAAAATAGTTATTCTCTATCAGATGCCTAAATACCTAGATCAAAGAGAGTAATTTTCTATTGCTGGAAAATACTGACAACATAATATTTTGCTAAAATCTGAACTTGGGAACAAAGACCATCCCTTCACAACAGGTTCATTATTATTATAGCTGTTGAGAAATATACATTTCTGAAAATTTGGGGTGTCTCATTGACAAAATATTTCTACAT
The DNA here is from genome assembly GCF_000001405.40 of Homo sapiens. NCBI lineage: Eukaryota > Metazoa > Chordata > Mammalia > Primates > Hominidae > Homo > Homo sapiens. The sequence goes on from NC_000018.10 coordinate 75,595,472, forward strand.
TAATAATAGCAGATTTGACTCTCTTTTTCAAAAATACCAATATCGGAAGTCTTTTCTGCCCTCTACCACCCCAGCATCAGTTTTGTTAGTCTTCCTCTCCTTCTTCTCCATCTACCTTTATGTGCCTAAGAACACGTCAACCACTTTCATGGAATTAATTATTCAGCCTGTTCAGTCACAGGATCATATTCTCGACCCTGTCACTAAATAAAGCAACACCCTTATGCCAATTAAAGCAACTTACCTACTTGTGAAGTTGGCCACAGCCCTCTTGGTTTAGGCATTAAAGACTTGTAAAGGCAACACCAAGGCATTTGAACACCTGGTTCATTCTACATCATGATCCTAGGCTTTAGTAACTAATTGAATTGACAATTATGATGTTAAACTCCATGACTGGGTAAGGAAATAAAGGCTGATTTAGAAACAAACACAAGCACTAATCTCCACGTGATTTCAAAAGTCAGGTTGTTTTCCCTTATAAATTTTTATTGGTATTCCTTTCCCCCCGACCAGTTTTTTTCTAAGTTTGGAATATTTTCTGATAAAATACAGGCCTGTCTGTCTTTTATGCTCCATCTAGTTTTGGAGAATAGACAGGACCCTTGAAGGTACTCTGTTTGAAATTGTGTGTAATAAGAATAAAGAGTCAATGCCATTCTTAGCACACTAAAAAGTTTAAAATGTCCTCAACAAGGCACAGTGGCACATTCTATAATTAAATGCCAGAAGGCAGTAAAATGTATTAATTACTGCAGTTGATACAACTGAGAATTTGCTTGCCATCCATTTAAAAATATGGACTATTCATTATGCTTTAGGAAGAATTAAAGGAGAACAGTATTGTTTATGGAAAAGAAGTAACAGGGAACAACAGCCTCTCTGTCGCATATGTTTACTTGTATGCCTGCAAACTCCAGTGCAACCCGTTTGGGGATCCCTCACACGACAATGAGCTTTATTTATAATCTGATAAAATCCTTAGAAATTAGCTATTTATGCTTTTGTCTTATCACATGGTTCCCACTCTCATCTTGTTTGAAAGTCAAAATCAGACCTTCATGGCACCAGAACGAATCTTTGATCTATGCAGCTCTTAACTGATGCTGAGATGCATGATATTAATTTCTTTCTTGCATGCGTTTTACTGTTCCTGGAAATTTGTTTGACAAATTGTTGTAAGTGTAATTTTCAACCAGAAAGATAAAGTCTTATGTAAGCTATTGGATCAGTCTACATACATTTTTTGCAAGATCTTAATAAAATATTGGCAAGTGTTATTTTTAAATGCATATTCAAAAATATACACTTAACCTTTTGTACTCTTATTTGGGAAAGAACCAATAAGAATACTCTCCTTTTTCTTAAATATATATTTAAAAGTATTCATTACTCTTTTTATGTTTTTTGTCTCCTATGATCCATTGACTTTATTGCTTAAAAATGATTTTTATTATTGTGTATGATAACTTCTTGTGTTTCTCACAAACTTAAAGGCAATTTTAACACTTTGGGTTTTTTCCCACCAAAAGTTTCTGCAAGCTATTTACATAATATTCAACCCATATTACTTTGATTATCAAAACAGAACTTGGTCTGTATTGTATTACACATCCTCTTAGCATTAAACAACTCATTTATTATTACTAAGAATTATCGTCTTTTTGGAATTTCTAGATTCTCATTTTTATATCATAATACTGAGTTGTGTTCTATATAAAAATGTGAAATGGAAGAATTTAGAGGAGAACCATAAATATTACTTTATGATCAGGACTTCTGTAGAAAGCTAAAGAGTAGCATATTAAAGAGGGGAATGTTAAGATGCCATGGCAATTCTGTTAGCACTTTGTTCACGGTCCCACAAATGCAGTCCTGTATCACGGCACACACACTCACCAACAGGTTCTCCCTTGTTCCTGTATGTCAGTGCACACAGCCGGAGCCTGCTGTGGGTAAGCCCTGGCATTTTTGACAATCTCTTTGCCATAATTTTGAGTTCCTTTCTGCTACTTTTATTTCCCTCCATAATTGCCTCATTACACCTTTTTTGAGGAATTATTTTAATTACATACCGACTAATTTTACAATGGATTCATAGGTAACATAGAGATATCCACTAGCTTCTGCAAAGAAAGCAGAACTGGTTTTAAACAACTGAATATAAATTTTAAGTTATCAGCAAATAAACCTTCCACCCCAGAAGTGCTTTTCTTCCAATTCCTTTGGGATTTTACTGGCATCACCTCTTATGTGATAGCACGTAATCGCCAGTGGAGGATGAAAATAAGTTTTCCACCTCATCCTGGAAATTTCTTTTCCAGTACTTAATTGATTAAATCACCTGTCTTGTCCTTGCATTATTCTGGAAATGGGAGAATCAGGGCTGCTGAGTCATAAGGTGTCACTAGAAAATGACAGCTGCTCACATTGGTGGAAACTGGACAGGAGCAGCCTTCCCTCTGCAATGCAGGCGTTGCCACAACAGCAACAGGGTTCTCTGCTCACTGAGGACAGCGAGAGGCTCCATTTCAGCCTCTGCTTCTCCTCCCCAGGGCACTTGTCTACAGAGCACAACCTTCACAATATGTGGGAAGTATGGTTTTTTCTTGTTCTTAATGAGTTTCTATTTTTACAGCCCCATTTTGCCTCATTATAAATAGGGCCTAAATCCAGCCATGTCCCAAATTAAGGTAAACTTTGCCAGTATGATTCTAGTGATAATTTCCTTTTTTTCTCTTTTTCTTTCATGCCTCCTCTTCCCTGTAAGTTATTATCAGCAGCTTTAACCTTGGGCCTATGGAGAATTGCATGGAGAAGCTGAGCTGTGATCATCCAGCATACAGTGGGTCTAAATTGCAACCCCTCCACCCTGAGCCCTACATCTGGATTTATATTTTTGTTTATTTCAAGGGCAAAGAGGCACCAAATTGATCCTAAGTCAATCATGTAAAAATTATATGCAGGCCACACAATTACATCTATGATCTTTATATGATTGTTGAAGCCAAAGTTTGAGTTACAAAGAATAATATCCATGATCCTTCACCCTCCACCAAGGGTTCATGAGGGTTACACAAAGGAAGAGCAGAAGGAATGCACAGAGCAAGAGCAACAGCCATGTGCAAAACCTGAAGCCTGGGAGCTGATGAGAGACGTTGCATGAAATATTTTGTTGACCTTTGTTTTTTTCTTCCATTGGAAATAGATTCAGCCTGTTTGCTAAAAATATGTAATGGTTCAAAAATTCAAACAATAAAGAGAAGCAAAAAGCAAAATGCGAGGTTAAAAAATATCACATGTGAGACTCTGCTGCCATGAGATGACCACTGTGGACAGCCACGTAGACATTCTTCCAGAGCTCTCTCTATAATCACACACGTATGTGCTCACATGCATGCCTACACTCACAAACACATGCACACGCACTTACTGAAACGGAGTTACACTGTACATGCACAGTACATGGACACAACTTTAGGTTTTCATGTCAATAAGTACCTAACTCCTTGTGTTGCATAATTAACATATTTACAGGTTTTTTAAATGAAGAGTATTGATCTGTCTATTCTTATGTCATTATTATGCTATTTTAATCACTAAAGTTTTACAACCTATTTTAATAACCTCATTTTTTTCAAGGCTCTGGGTTTTATTAATTCTGAGGACATATATGGCATAATTTTATGTAAAACATCTACTTCATTTGCAATAATCTTAGATCCCTACAAGTTGCACGTGGGAGCTAAGCATATTCTTTAGAAAATGGATCTGTTCCTCTTTTGTCAATATAGTATTTCCAATCATTCTTCCTCTATAGACTTCAGAATTGATCATTGCATTTTCTCTCTTTTCTAAGTTTCTGTAAAACCTGTAATAATACAAGATGAATAAAATGGTAAGCAAACAACAAAAATAATCAAACCAAACTAAAATAATGAAAACAAAATATGACTGTATTGTTACAAGCTATCATGAATCAATAGTTTTCTTTTACTTCGTTGCAAGAGCTATCACCTACTTTGATGATATTTTGTATTCATTAGTTTAAGAGTGGATTGTATTCCAAAAATAAAAAGCCCAAAGTGATCAATACAGTTGTATTGTAAATAACTTACCAAAGCTTATAAAATTACATAAAGTCAGGGAGAGAACACTTTTATCAAATGTTTTAATAATTGAAAGTGAGCCACACCATGTACTTTTCTGCCCTTTTAACAGAATGTAACATTGAGACGTACAAAGGGATTCTATTTTAAGCATAGACACATTTTGGTATAAGAGATTTATTTAAAAATAAATTTGTGTCTATGGGGCTCAAGGATATCTGCTCTATTACAAAAGTTGGAATACCTCCCAAACCAAAGAAGAGATATTTCACTCCTCTGTGGAAACCAGACTTGGACGTTGCCTTTCACTATTGATACTGGAAACTGACTGGGGCCATGCTCATATCTGGGATGTAGTGAGGATGTGAGGGGCTGAGAGCTCACATGCTTCTTCTCCTAATCTCCTTGTTCAGTTCTGACTTTGATCCTGAGCTGAGCACACACAGGAGACATGATGAAAATTCCCAAGGTGCAATTGAATCCTGTGGATTTCCTATGAATGTCAGAGGATTCATATTCTTTTAATACGAATCCTGTGGATGAATGTCTGAGCCCTTTAAGATTATCAGACAACCTAGGGTAAAAGAGACTTATGTAAAACTTCATGTGGATCCTGAAGGCATTTTTCAGGAGTTAAATTAGAATTGAGGAATATATGGTCAGTCCGAATTCCCATTCTCACTGGTTGCATCTGTTGCATTCTGCTTTAAAATCACAAAGGGGAGTAAAATTAAAGAAACTGTGCAAATATGGAGACAAGTACTCCCATCTTGCTGTCTTCTACATTCTTCCTGCAAAACCCAGCTCACATTCTGATCTGCCTCAAAAACTTCCCTATGACACCATCTCTCTAATTTTAAAGTTTCTACCCTAATTACTGTCAATATGACAGAGTTTGTCCAAATCTGTTTTCCAATTGTTTTAAGTACATTGATTTTATTGCCCCACCTGGACTATAAACTTTTAAAGTCTGCAACTATGAATTTTTTTTTAATTGCCCATAATGCTCAGTGTAGCACTACGCAAACAGAGGGCCTTAATATATACTCATTAATTGAAAGATGTGTAGAAACTCCAAGTGTTTATACTTAATGGATACTGGAAGTTTCCAATCATCAGGAGAAAAAAATCCCAGAAATAACTAGAATCAGTTGATTGTGACCAATAAATTAAAATCGGTGCCCAAGACAAATTAATTGATCAATGATGAATTTCTTAGGAAATGCTGTAGCCAGTGGACTCTGTTAGACCTAATTATAAACTGGACTGGTTACTTCTCCTACAGTACTTCTGTCTTCACACTGAGAGTTGCTGCCATTTTTTGGACCCAAATATAACTGTCAGGCCACATTGAGATTGTAGGTGAGATTGGAGAATTTGTGTTTAGAATGACCCCTATTAAAATGTTAGATTTCTTCCAATAGTCAACAGCCCTATTATAAGAACAGATAAAGTGGATGTCTGAATTGATCCAAATTTTTTTATGGGAAAAAGAAAGAAATCAAAGCTTAGCACTATAGAAAACTACCAAACCAAAAAGTAAACAATAAGAGAGGAAGAAAGGAACACAATATATACACAACAACAGAAAACAATTCATAAAAAGCTAGAAGTAAGTGGTTATCTATCAATAATAACCATGCATGTAAAAGGATTAAATTATCCAATTAAAGGATACACAATGGCTGAATAGATTTATTCTAAAAAAAGACTTAACTATATGCTCCTTACAAGAGACATACTTCACCTGTAGAAGCACACATAGACTGAATGGGATAGAAAAGGATATTCCATGAAAATGAAAACCAAAAAATAACAGAAACAGCTATAGTTATAATCACTTAAAATAGCCTTTAAGTTAAAAACTGTAAAAAGAGACAAAGAAGATCATAATATAGTGATGAGATCAATTCAGCAAGAGGATATATCAATTGTAAACATATATGCACCCAACACAAGAGCACCCAAATATATAAAGCAAATATTATTAGATCTAAAGGGAGAGTCGGAGTGCAATACAATAATAGTAGGAAACTTCAATACCACCCTTCAACACCACCCTTTCAGCAATAAACAAATCATCTCCAGACTAAAAATCAGCAAAGGAACATCAGATTTAAACTAACTTTCAGACTAAATGGGCCTAACAGACATTTACAAGACATTGCATTTATCAGTTACAGAATTCACATTCTTTTCAACTGCACATGGAACATTCTATAGCATAGATCATATATTAGGCTACAAAATAAGTCTTTGAAGACTTAAGAAGATTGAAATCATTATCAAGTATCTTTTCTGACTATAATGGTATAAAATGAGAAATCAATAACAGAAGGGACTTTGGAAACTTTACAAATACATGGAAATCAAAAACTATGTTCCTGAATAACCAATGGGGCATGAAGACATTAAAATAAAAATTAAAAATGTTATTGAGATAAATGAAAATGGAAACACAACATACCAAAACCAATGGGATACAATGAAAGCAGTTCTAAGAGAAAAATTTATAGCAATAAATGCCTACATCAAAAAAGGAGAAAGATCCAGTAAATGATCCAACATTGCACCTCAAGGCATTAGAAATATAAGAGCAAACTCAACCTAAAATTAGAAGGAAGGAAATAAAAAAGATCACAGCAGAAATGAATGAAAGAGACTAGAAAAGCAATACAAAACGTCAACAAAACAAGAGTTTGTTTTTTGGGAAGATAAATAAAGTTGACAAACCTGTCGCCTGACTAAGCAAAAAGAGAGAGGACTCAAATAAGTAAAATGAGATGAAGAAGGAGACTTTACAACTGCTACCACGGGAACATAAAGGATCTTCAGAGACTATCATGAACAATTTAAGTCAACAAATTGGATAAGTTAGAAGACATAGATAAATTCCTGGGCACATATAGTCTACAAAGATTGAAGCATGAAGAAATAGAAGGCCTGAACAGACCAAAAATGAGTGAGAAAATTGAATCAATAATAAGAAGTCTTCCATCAGAGGAAAATCCAGGAACTGATGGCTTCATTATTGAATTTTACCAAACATTTAAAGAAAAACTACTATCAATTTTTCTCAAACTATTTTGAAAAATTGAAGAGGAGGGAATTTTTCCTAAACCATACTATAAGACCAGCATTATATGGATAGTAAAACAAGTCAAGGACAACACACAAAAAGGAAACTGCAAACCAATATTCCTCATGAACATAAATGCAAAAATCATTAATACGGTATTAGCAAACCACATTCAATAGCACATTAGTGAGAGCATTCACCATGATAAAGTAGGATTCATCCCAGGAATTCATGAATGATTCAACATATGCAAGTCAATAGGCATGATACATCACGTTAACAGAATGAAGGACAAAAACCATATGATTATTTCAATAGCTGCAGAAAAAAACTTTTGACAAAATCTAACATCTCTTAATGACAAAAATCTCAACAAATTAGGTATAGAAGGAATGTAACCCAACATAATACAGGTCTTTAACACAAAACCACACCTAACATACTGAATGGGGAAAAGTTGAAAACATTTTTCAAAAGATCTGGAACAACACAAGGATATTTATTTTACCACTTCTATTCAATACAGTACTGAAAGTCCTAGCCAGAGCAATTACACAAAGAAAGAAATAGAAAGCATCCAAATTAGAAAGGAAGAAGTTAAATTGTCCCTGTTTGCAGATGACATAATCTTATGTAAAGAAAAGCCTATAGACTTCGCTAAAAACCTTTTAGATCTAATAAACAAATTCAGTAATGTTGCAGGGTACAAAATAAATATACAAAAATCTGCAGTGTTTCTATACACCAACAGCAAACTATCTGAAAAAGAAATCAAGAAAACAATCCCACTCATAGTATCTACCAAAAATATTCAAATACTTAGGAGTAAATTTAATGAATGAGGTTATAGATCTCTATGGTGAAAACTATAGAACATTTATGAAAGAAATTGAAGAAGGCACTAATAAATTGAAAGACATGTTGTGTTCATGGATTGAAAAACATGAATTTTTTTAAAAAGTACCTACTACCCAAAGCAATCTACAAATTCAATGCAATTCTTATCAAAATATTAATGACATTCTTCACAGAAATAAAAAAAGAATTTCTAAAATTTGTATGCAACCATAAAAAAACCCTGAATAGCCAAGGCAATCTTGAGCAAAAAGATACTATTTAGCCATAAAAAATAAAATCCTGTCATTTGCGACACCATGGATGAAACTAGAGATCATTATGTTAAGTGAAATAAGCCAGGCACAGAAAGATAAATATGACATGATCTCCCTCTTCTGTGAAAGGAAATGAGTTCTCATTTCTCTCCTGTGAGTTCAAAAAGTTGAACTCATAACGTGGAAAGTAGAATGGTGGTTCCTGGAGGCTGGGTGGCTATGGAGGAAAAGAGATGGGGAGACATTGGTCAAAGGATACATTAGAGAGGAGGAGAAGAAAAGTACAGAGTAAGTAAATATAGAGAGACACAAAGTAGATAAGTGATTGCAGTGATTGCCTGGGGTTGGGGGTGGCAGAAGGAGAGGGTCAGGGGCAGAAACTGGGATGAGTGCTAATTGTTTCTCTCTTGGATGATGGAAATGCTCTAAAATTGATTGCGGTGATGGTTGTACAACTCTGTGAACATACGAAAAAGCAGTGGATTATATATGCTTTAAATGGGTGAATTGTATGATATGTGAATTATATCTCAATAAAGCTGTTTAATAAATCAATAAATAAAACTGGGTTTTTGCCTGTCTGTTTTCTTTTGAAAGTTGTGATTAATGGACAGAGAGACAAGAGGCTTGTGCCTACAAGTAAAACATGGTTAAAAAGACAAACTGCATATATGGAAGGGGCCCAGTTTCAGTTTTCTGTGTAACTCAAGATGAATTAAAGACTTAAACGTAGGCCCTAAAGCCAAAAAAGCCCTAGAAGAAAACCTAAAAAATACCATTCAGGACATAGGCATGGTCAAAGACCTCATGACTAAAACACCAAATGCAATGGCAACAAAAGCCAAAATTGACAAATGGGATATAATTATATTAAAGAGCTTCTGCACAGCAAAAGAAACTACCATCAGAGTGAACAGGCAACCTACAGAATGGGAGAAAATTTTTGAAATCGATCCATCTGACAAAAGGCTAATATCCAGAATCTACAAAGAACTTAAATTTACAAGAAAAAAAAAACAAACAACCCCATCACACAGTGGGCAAAGGATATGAATAGGCACTTCTCAAAAGAAGACGTTTATGCAGCCAAAAAACATGAAGAAAAGCTCATCATCATGGGTCATTAGAGAAATGCAAATCAAAACCGCAATGGGATACCATCTCATGCCAGTTAGAATGGTGATCATTAAAAAGTCAGGAAACAACAGATGCTGGAGAGGATGTGGAGAAATAGGAGCACTTTTACACTGTTGGTGGGAGTGTGAATTAGTTCAACCATTGTGGAAGACAGTGTGGTGATTCCTCAAGGATCTAGAACCAGAAATACCATTTGACCCAGCAATCCCTTTACTAGATATATACCCAAAGGATTATAAATCATTCTGCCATAAAGACACATGCACACATATGTTTATTGCAGCACCGTTCACAATAGAAAAAACTTGAAACCAACCCAAATGCCCATCAGTGATAGACTGGATAAAGAAAATGTGGCACATATACACCATGGAATACTATGCAGCCATAAAAAATGAGTTCATGTCCTTTGCAGGGACATGGATGAAGCTGGAAACCATCATTCTCAGCAAACTAACATAGAAGCAGAAAACCAAACACTGCATGTTCTCACTCATAAGTGGGAGTTGAACAATGAGAACACATGGACACAGGGAGGGGAACATCACACACAAGGGCCTGTCAGGGGGTGGGGGGCTAGAGAAGGGATAGCATTAGGAGAAATACCTAATGTAGATGACGGGTTGATGGGTGCAGCAAACCATCATGGCATATGTATACCTATGTAACAAACCTGCAAGTTCTGCATATGTATCCCAGAACTTCAAGTATAAAAAAAGAGAAAAGGATATACAGTATTTAAAAAAAGGATACAATCCCTTAAACTGAATAGCTTTTTCAAAAAGAGTAAATTTTATTGTATGTGTGTGTATATATATATGACATATATGTGTGTGTATGTATGTGTGTGTGTATATATGACATATGTGTGTATATATGACATATATGTGTGTATGTATGTTTGTATGTGTATATATGACATATATGTGTGTATATATGTCGTATATGTGTATATATGACATATGTGTGTATGTATGTGTGTATGTGTGTATATATGACATATATGTGTGTATATGACATATGTGTGTATGTGTGCGTGTATATGACATATATGTGTGTATATATGACATATGTGTGTGTGTATGTGTATATATATGACATATATGTGTGTGTGTATATATATATGACATATATATGTGTGTGTGTGTGTGTGTGTGTTTGTGTGTGTATATATATATGCTTTGTGGAGGCTCCATAGGCGAGAGGATGAGGAAAGAATGGTAATCAAAGAAGTGGAGGTTTTAGAGATGTTAAGAAAAAGTGAAGTCAGAGCAAATGCTCTAAAAGGAGAAAAGGTTGTGGTCAGTGGGTGGGACATTTGGATTTAGGCTTTCAGGGATGGAGTTGGTCTGGGTGAGGACGTGATCCGAATGCGGCAATAGAGCCGCAGCTGACGGAGGCAGCTGACGGAGTTCTTGGGGTGGAGATCCTGACCTGGAGTGGAAGTGTTCCTCTAGTGGGGGACAGAGGGTGGTGACAGCAGTGTGCCTCTCTCATGCAAAACATTCTCCCTGCCATCCCCAGGCTCCTGAAATCTGATTCTGTACTCGCAACTGGCTGGAGGTCTACTTGTGGTCCAGATTCAGAACCTCTTGATCTGCTGACATATGACCCGCAAAGACTAGGTACTTGCGGCCCCTCCCTTGCCATTCCAAAAAAAAAAGGTGGAAGAGGGATAAGATATGCGTAATAAACACTCCCATAGGTAAAGGAGAGGGATGGTCTTTAGTAAATCAGTAAATCTTAGCTTAGCTCACTATTTGAGAGAGATTCTTGAACACTCAAAATTCATTTTCAGACTCCAAATTCTTTCAGATATTTCAAGCTAAAATATTGCTGCTGAAAACTTCCTTACCCTCTTGTGAAGTCTTGCACTTAAAGATTTTTTTTTTTTTTGGCAATTGTATCTGATGATTACAAAGCAAATAATTGGTCCATTGTGACTAGGAGAAGTCAGCTGATAGTGTGACTATCCCGGTGGTCTTTTCCCCCAGAGAAACCTATTTGTTTGTCAGTATCTATTTGTTTTTATAATGCTAGAAACATGCACACACACACTTTTTCATAATCTTTGATATAAAAGAATTTTGTTATGATACAGAAGTTACCAATGTAGCTATAAAATGTGTTTTAGGAGGAATCTTTATGATTGAGTTTAAACAGTTCACCTTCCACTGACTCTTGGGATGACCCTTGCCTGTCATTGACTTTTTGGTGGTGGAACAGTCATTGCTCAGGAGAAAACAAAATCCATGGGGTCAGTGAAGAGGCAGAGCCCTGGGTCCTGGGGAGAGGGCACAGTCTCTATCCCGGCCCCCCTGTGTCCTTCTCCCTGTTTTCCTTTGCGTATCTCACTCCCAGCACCTCTGCATGTCTGCATGTAGAGAGGGTTTGCGCTGAAGCTCAGAGTAAAAGGTCATTAGAGAGAATGGAAAAAAAATCTGCTACAGCAAATTTTGTTCTTTTAAGATTTGTTTATCTCAAATTTCTGATTTGGTAGTAAGTTTTGGCAAAGTTTAGAAGGTCTTCCTTGGTAAATGTGTTTTAATCTCTCCTGGAAACTGGAAACTCATAAAGATTGTGTTGAAGTTCTGAAGAAGGGAAGACTTCTCCCTGTTTGATCTGGTGGAAGGTAACTATGAAGAGTTGACATAAACAGTCGACAGTGACCAGGACTAACAGTAGCTTTGGAGTGAGGATAGGTATTTGTTTTGTCTGGTTAGAATTTCCCTCTACAATGCATATTGGAGACAGGTCTGGTGAGAGAGGCTGAAGGAGGAACTTTTGGGTGATGAGCCTGAAGGCTCTAAGTTGATAAAAGAACCCCATGAATCAACACAACAAAAATTGTTCCCTGGAAGCTGCAATGTGCCCTTGGAGATTAACAGCAGAGCTGAGGTTTACAAACAGGGTAATGAAAGTTGCTAAACGGTACAGCTCCCTTAGATCCCACCCTAGTGGTGAAATAATTGGGCCCAAAAGTGCTAGGGGAAGGGAATGAGGTTTTGGTGGTTTACAGGGAATGTGGGCTTTCTAGCCATGAAACATAATCCTAATTGGAAGAATTGTATTGGAAGTTGGCCATGTTGCAAAGAGCAGGATGCTTAAGAAAGTGAGCACTTTTTAACAGTACTGTCTACAAATGGCTTACTTTCAAGGGGAATAAAAATTAGTAATAGACCCCATCTCTCGAAAGCAGCAACATGTCATTTTCAGACAGGGATCTTTAAAAAGCAACGGTCTGTTTTTCCTTTTCCCTCCAATAAAAACTTCTGTCCTAAAAAGGTTTTCTCAAAACTTATCTGCTTATGCTGTTTGGGAACTTTCTTCTGCCCAGCTCCTCCTTGGCTCCTGGTTGGTTCCTGGTGGGAAGAAAAAACAGTGGATAAACAGCCATGTCCCAACCTAGATATAGCAGGTGGAATGAACTTGTTTCCCGACTCAGAGCTAGTGTTCTTGGCTTCTTTCCTCACTCTGTTACCTCACTCTTATTCCTGACTCCAGGTTGTTCAGTGTGCTGAACAACCTCAGTGATACTTATATGGATTACATGTTTATGATATTTCCTATTGCTGTTCAGTCTGCAACCTGCACAACTGTACTATGACAGTCCTGGGAGGCAAATTTAGGAATTTCCCAACTCTATCAACTGTCCAGAAATAAAACTTCCCTGAAAAAAAAGGTTTCATTAAGAAAATTTCAATTATAAAATATATACATTTACCCATTCTTTAAGTAAATATTTATTAAGCGGGCCTACTTTTGGCCAAGTGAGTTTAAAGCTCTGGAAAGAGAGGTGAACTAAATGGTGTAGGGGAAAATTTGTGGTTCAGTGGAAAACTATGGATTGTCTTGATGCTAGAGAAGTTTAGAGGTGCATGGAGGGGAACTCTGAGTTAGTAGATCTTTATTCTGCGAGGATTATTTCATAACCTTGCAAATTGTAGATAGTTGATAGCAATGTGAAATAATTCTTGTTTACCAACATGCAATTCTGTTGATAGAGGTTCAATGGAATTATATCTTCTCCCTGTGGAAAAACCAGTTTTACCTCCATTTGGATATATCTTCCTACATTTTATTACACTATAAAAATTGGTTCCTTTTGTTTTTAACTTCTCTTTAGAACTACTTATGACATCCTTTTGATTCTCTCATTGCTTGAATTAAATAAAATACTCAACGTGTCCTCATTTTATATCTTTATATTTTACTTTATAATAGCAATATATTGCTATAATCGTTGTAACAGCAATTTTCAAAAAATTGCTTTTCCCATAGACTATGTCCTCAAACTCAAAAACAGAAAACTTGTAGAACAAAACAAAGCAAAGCAAACATAAAAGTAAAAACGATATTATTTATAACCCTACCATCCACAGGAAAGCTGATAATAAATCAGGGTTCCATTGTATTTGAATGAATATAGATTTTTTTTGGTAAAATTGAACTTATTCTGCATATGTAACATGTTTTATTTTTACTTTGCAATATAATGGGTAATAAGCATTTAAAAAATATCCACAAGCAGGTCTAGTTCATCTGAACAGCAGTTTGCTTTAGGAATCAGCTAAAATAATTATGAGCATTCTGACAGGCTAAAAAATTTAACTGTAAACCACAAATGTGGTATAGGTGTCATGGCAGCAAAGGGGGACCTGGATATAGAATTAAAAGCATCTAACAGGACACAGTCAAGACAAGAAGTCTGTAGATAAGTGTGGTCTTAGAAAAGATACCAACAACAAAGCCAATACTCACCTAGGTGAACCGCAAAGATTGTTTTCTCTTTTGATTTTTAAAGAATTGTTGATTGTGTCCACCTGGAAGATGGGCTTACTTTCTTATTTTTCTTTTGGGATCAACCTTGACAAGTATAAACATGTGTTATATGTGCAATAGATTCATGTGCATAGGCACAGTTTAGGAGTTTCAGCGTGTACTATATTGCAAGTTTTATTGTCATTCAAAATCGGACATCTTGCTTCCAATTTGATACCCACTTGCTATAATGTCTGCTCTGGTAACTACCAATGCAGCAGGGTCCCAGCTGGGAGGGTCTAAATCTGCAGCCATGGGTCAGAGCTGTTTTTTCAGTATTCCCAGCTTTCTTTCTAGACACCAAGCATAAGCCATTCTGGGACAGCGCCCATGGTTTATCCAACTCATGAGATAATCCAACAGTACCTGTTTAATTTAAGGGCATGATTAGGTCCAAATCTTTGACTTTCTTAGAAAACTAATGTGGATATGTTATTCAAATTGATCTGCACCATTGTTGAAGTTGTTTTGAGCTTTTATTACCTCTTGGAGTCATTGGTCTACATAGTTTACTTAATATCCAAAGTAATATCACTTTCTATTTTCCCAGCCATTCTTTCAGATTCAACAAATAGTTTGATGCTCCAGTTTTTTGAATTTAGAGAGTAATCTAAGTTTACTTATCCATTTCTTTTATAGCTTAAAAAATTACATAGTATCCTCTTTTAATCCCTATCTTTTATCATCACTCTTTTCTTTGTGTTAGTGAATTGCTAAGATGCAGATATCTTGAGATTCTGTGCTCCTAGATGGCAGAGGTCATGACAATAATCTGTAATCTTCTGTAAAACTTACACTGACTGCATATAATAGGTGCACAGTAAAGTCTTGTTGATCCATTCAATAACAAATATTGCAAATCTATCTTCCTCTTTCCTCAAATTTTTAATCCATTTTCACAGGGTTGTTTCTTTTTTAAAGCATATGTATCTAAATTTTGCCACAGACCACTGTCTGGTTGTCCCTGAGGAGTTCACCTCATCTTCATTCCAGTCATTTTTTTTTTCTAAGATGGAGTCCTGCTGTCACCCAGGCTGGAATGTAGTGGTGTGACCTCGGCTCACCGCAACCTCCGCCTCCCAAGTTCAAGTGACTCTCCCCACTCAGCCTCCCCAGCAGCTGGGATCACAGGTGTATGCCACCATGCCTGGCTGATTTTTGTATTTTGAGTAAAGATGGGGTTTCACCATGTTGTCCAGGCTGGTCTCTCTCGAACTCCTGACCTCAAGTGATCTGCCCACCTCAGCCTCCCAAAGTGCTGGGATTACAGGAGTGAGCCACTGGGCCCAGCCCCAGTCATTCTTTATACACGTTGCAGTAGGGCAGTGGGCGAGGCCACCAGAACCCACTTCAGGCCTTCCCTGTCTGTGCCCAGGCAGAGAGAACCGGGATGCTTCGTTGTCCTGGGTGCCCCCGACAAGTCACTCCTCCCGCAGACTACAAAAGGTAGGGTTTGGCATAGTGCAAAACAAAGCATGCTTCATTCCTTGTTTCTTTGCCTTTAATCCTGCCTTGCAAAATCCTAAAAAGCCTTGACAAACAACAAAATTATTGGGAATTCTCCTAGTAAATCTGCAGAAGATTGTTCAATAGATGATTTTCCAAAACAGGAAGTTTTCACTCGTCCTAGCCATGCACTTATTTGAAAAGGATTAGTTTATTTGGAAAGACAGAAGAAGAGAAAACATGCAAAGAATTTAGATTCACTGTTTTTTTTTTTTATGTTAGAAAATGATGTGACTACATTTGCTAACTGGACATGAATGAGTGGAGGTCTAAGAATCCCAGGAGGAGACACATCAAGAAAACTTTGGTGTGATCTGTTGCTGTTGATAAACACACTTCCAGTTCTCTTCATTGGAATCACCTTTTTCCGGAGCCTTTGTTGGCTTCCGCACATGAACACGCGGGTTTGGTACTATTGGGGGCCTCTTGCTTTCACTGGGAATTGGTGAGACGCAGATAGCAGTGGGTTCCAGCCCGGGTTTTGGCACCTGGACAGCCTCTGGGACCATCCGCCTCTCCTCCCAATGCGTGAGCATAGGTAGCCCTAGACAGTGTGCTTCCCAGGCCCTTGGAACATGGGGAACTCCGACACTCTGCCAACTCTTCTCATTAGTGCACTTTGCAGCTGTGGAACAATCATTTGGCCAAGATGATGCAGACAGAATATCAAACTGTTTCTTGGAGGGGCAAGGCCTGACATGGGGAGTAGCCCTGTCCAGCACAGCGTCAACAGGCTGTGCACCAGCGTCAGGCACATCAAATGCAGTCACCAAAATCCCCTGGGCTGGGCAAGAATGCTCATTTCTTTTACTGATGCCTGGGCTGAGAGGAAATGATTTCCATCCTGACTGGTCAATTTCTCCTTTAAGTATTTATGACCTTAAGACCAAACATTATGCTCCAGGCATAGTATGTATATTTAACAGATATATTTTGAACATGTAATAGCACAATCCTAAATCTTCACGGGCCATCCAAGCTTTAGAACTCTGAAGATGCGGTTGGCACGTTGCATTCCGGAAAGTTATGGTAGATGCAGGCTCCTCATGGAACCCATTAACTCTAGTGCCCTGGATTCACCTGCTGTCTCCCAATTGCCTTTCAAAATTCAGCTCCAAATACCTTTCTCTTGTCTCTTTTCCTTCCAGTCACATAAGGAGGTCACTGATCCCCGCTCTTTCCTTTCCTTATGGACTTCCAGAAAAAAGAAGGATGGGAGGCAACCCGGTCGTTTGGAAGACACACCCTCCCATCACATCTATCAGCGTCCTGCAGTCTGAGTGCTGAGCACAGTCACCACTGAGAGCTGCTCTCCTCCTCTCTTCCTCTCTCTCTCAAGTTTTAAATTTCCCCAGCTAGTGTAAAACTTAATGAAAGCCCTGGAGTATACAATAGCATTTTGAAAACAGGAATTTGTGACTGCTGTGAATCATCACTCACAGCAGGGACCCAGAAATGTGAATTGTGGGAGGAACACACGAGCCCCTCTCTTTTTTACTGGGAATTTATTACAGGCGGGTCATTATTTACAATGCACCATTCACATCCTCTAAAGAGCCAATAAACTGGCTGCTGAATATGCATTTTGCTCTGTGGTGAACACAGATGTTTCCAGCTAATATCCATTTCATTTAATTTCTTTTCTCCTTCTTTTTTTTTTAAATTCTATCTTGCTATTTCTGTAGCAGCTGGGTAACTATTTGCCCGTCTTCAGTTTGGGAATCACTCCTCATATTTATTATCATTGGTGCCATTCACGTTGCTATACTTAAGAGTCTGTCAGCATTTCCATTAAAAGCTACTGTTTCTGTGAGTTCAAAACCAGGCTGGTAAAGGTTTCTGCGGGTTAAATGTTGGGCAGATGAGGTCCCAGCTTGGGATCACATCACTTTAACAGAGGGTAGGAATAAAACCAGTTAGGGTGTTTTAGTGTTATGAGTTTACAAGCTGAAAAAAGGAGATGGAAACATTGATTTCAAAAGCTGTTTTGCATTTCTGTAAATGAAATACTGTCCTTTGCAACTTAACTTTTTTTAACCATTAATCTTTGAATTTTTCTAATGTTTGCTGGAGAGAGGAAAATTAGCAGTGATCATTTAATGATTCACCTTAGAAGCAGATTTTACATTATTTAAACTTCGGTTGACAATGATCCTGCTCAGTGGTCTCCATCGTTTTTGCCATAACATGATGTAATAGCATACACATCATAACTCAATATGGTCTTCAATCTTGTGCCTTCAATATAGTAGACAGTCAACGTACAGTGATCCAAGTGAACTCACTCATGATTGTACTGTCTATAGTATACAGCTTAGCACATATCATTCTATCACATATATAATTCTATTTTGCATATATATGATATATGTATGTGTGTATATATACACGTACATATATTTATGTATATATGTACATATATGTGTGTATATATGTACATGTATATATATATATGTGTGTGTGCATGTGTATGTATATATATGTAAATATATATACATAAAACGCTACTATCCCATACATGCAGTAGTATTTTTCCAGCTGACCTGAAACCTCTTCCTGGTAAATACTGCAAAACAGCAAACAAACTAACAAGTTGTTAAGCACTTGTTAGGTGCCATCTGAGTCTGTTTTGTGTTTTCATGAGTATTTTCTCATTTAATCCTCACAACAACATGGTGTGATAAGTAAGATGACAGCACTCTGCTACCTGTTATAGAGACTACCTTCCGCCAGGCTGAGTAGAGATGTTTTGTAAATGTTTTGAATTATTATTTCAAAAGTTATTTGCAGGTTATATGAAGCTATCTCAATTACAAAAAGCAAGGACTAGCAACAAAATTAATGTTATGAAAAATCCTTGTTTCTGACTTAAGAAGATATTTCCCTTATTTCTGAAGTTTTCTTTTCTCAGAACATGGCTTAGAGCAAGGGGTAGTGTAGAGAATTCAGCCAAAATGAAATACACATCCAAGAATGAAGACATTCTTCATTGGCTGTTGGAAAAAATTTTAGAAAACCAACTCATCTTGCTGGAGGTGAATTAGTTAAGGAAAATATAGATTTCTGTTTTCACATAGTTTCCATACTTTATTACCATTTCATTTCCTAACGCAAACACCACTTAAGTTTGTCAGTTTTGGCATGAACTCCCTATGAGTTCTAAGGTCATCTCTATATGAGTTTGGTCATATTGTATGAGTTCTGGGATTATTAATGAAGTATTAACAGAGGATTAATGGAGAATGGTCACGCTAAATACTTACCGAATAGGAAGAGTATATTGTGAAAATTTAGATGTTCAAATTATTCTGGACTTAAGATCATTTTAGCATGCATTTTCATAGAAAATTGAAATAGCTCTTTTAGCTTGATTAAAAACGGTCAAGCTTATATTTTAAAAACATTTAATTTATAACTTTCACTGATACTCATTAACCTTGAAAAAGGCTTTCAGATTGAATTATATTTGTGGAAGGTCCTCAAGTGTATGTTTCTATGATAATCAGGGCTTTTAAAATCTCTCTTCCATTTGAGCGATGGCCTCTAACTTCTGTCTTTGTGTCTCAGATGTTCTTTTGAGCAGAAATAGTCTTTTGTCTACACTGTCTCAAATGTCCTCCTCACCTCAGGAAAATTTCTCATACTCTGTCTTTGCTAAGTGAACATCAGAAGTAAATGAAAAAAAAATTCACTCTTATGCCAAAAATAAAGTTAACATAACTTTAATGAGGTGGCTTAAACCTCTAAGTCCCAGGCCATTCATTGACACAAAACTGAGACTTCATTCTTCACCACCAGTATGTGCACGGATATGTCCCAGGATGGAGTTCTCTCAGCTGATGGTAACTTCACTTCTGGAAGGAAACTTGATATTGCAAGGTGAGACCTGGGAGATCCTCTTTCTTCCCCACCCTTTCTCCAGTTCTTTGAACTTCCTTCCTTGCCACTCTTCTTCCTCTTTCCTGGATCTGTCTTTTATTTTCTTGTGTTCCTGTTTCTTGTGAACCTGTTGTGTTCAATTTGTTAAGAAGAGAAAATATGTATTTTGTGACTGTATTAACTTGTAGATTAAGTGTTAAATGACAGTTTTTCTTTTTTTTATTCCTTTACACCTTAAGCTGATTGGCTTTTAAATTTTTTCACTCTATAAGCCAATAATTAAATCTTAGACTGAATGGCAATAACAATAATGTTTGTTTTAAGAATATTATACTTACGTAAAAACTCAGTAGATGCTAATCAATGGTTC
Organism: Homo sapiens; assembly: GCF_000001405.40. Taxonomy (NCBI): domain Eukaryota; kingdom Metazoa; phylum Chordata; class Mammalia; order Primates; family Hominidae; genus Homo; species Homo sapiens. Next base: position 75,615,485 of record NC_000018.10, read on the forward strand.
TATTTTAGTCTACCATGTAAATAATAAAGAATTTCAAACTATTTTCTCTAAGTTATCTTCTGGCAAAACAGAATGGCTCATCTGATTTATATAGTGTAAACAATCACTGTAACAAAAACAGAGTTTACTAGTTCCTTTAATTGTTCTATTGTTTGGTGAAATTGATTTCAGTAACAGGACTATTTTTTTAAAACCCTGGGTTCAGCTGGGCTTGGTGGTTCACACTTGTAATCCCAGCATTTTGGGAGGCCGAGGCAGGCAGATCACCTGAGCTCAGGAGTTCGAGACCAGCCTGACCAACATGGGGAAACCCCGTCTCTACTAAAAATACAAAAAAAAAAAAAAAAAAAAATTAGCTGGGCGTGGTGGTGGGCACCTGTAATCCCAGCTAATCTGGAGCCTGAGGCAGAAGAATCGCTTGAACCTGGAGGCAGAGGTTGCAGTGAGCCAAGATTGTGCCATTGTACCCCAACCTGGGTTACAAGAGTGAAACTCCATCTCAAAACAAAATAAAAAAACCCTGGGTTCATAGAAGCATAATGCAATATCACAGTGGCTGGGGTTGGAATGGGGACCAGGTTGGAATGGGGATCGTTGCCAACTCTGCATGTTCCATTGTGCGCCAACATCATGTCTTCCATTGTGCTGCTGAAGTTCTACAAAAAACAAACAAACAAACAAACAAACAAAAAACAGAAGAGACAAAACCCTACTACACCAAAATCTGATCAAGTCAGTGGAATATTATCCAGCCCTAAAAATGAAGAAAATCCTGACACTTGTTCAATGTGAATGAATCCTGAGGACATCATGCTATGTGAAATAAGCCAGTCACAAATGGAAACACACTGTCTGATTCCATTTATATGAGGTACCTAGAGTAGTCCAGGTTACAGAGACAGAAAGTAGAAGAACAGGAAGCCAGCAAGCCTATAAAAGAACTCAAGAACACCACTAACCAACAAGACCTAATTTATATTTATGAAATAATTCACCCCAAACCAGAGGAGCACACGTTCTTTTCCAAGGCCCTTAGAACATACAGCAAGATGGGCCATGAAAATCCAAAGCAAATTTAAAATAATTACAATCATATGCAGTGAGTTCAACAAGGTTTCAGGATACAAGATCAACAGACAAAGATCAACTGTGTTTATGTATACTAGCAATACATACTTGAAAAGCAAAATTAAAAATATAATTCCTTTTACAGTTTCTTAATATGAATGAAATAGTCATAAATGTAAAAAAATTAACACAAGCTTTTATTCTGAAAACTACACAACATTGATAAAAAAAAAAAACCAAAGAAGATCTAGATAGAGAGAGATACTGTGTTCATGGATTAGAAGACAACATAGTAAAGACTTCAATTTATCTATTGACTAAATTGATGTATAGGCTTCATAAAATTTACATTAAAAACCAAGCAAGATTTTTTTTTGTAGAGACAAGATTATTCTGAAATTTGTTTGGAAAGGCAAAGTAACTAGAATAGCAAAAACAATGTTGAATACAAAGAATACATTTCAAAGGGTCACTCTACCTGAATTCAATACTTCTTAAATAGTGATAGTAACCTAAACTATGCAGTGCTGATGGAAGGATGGACACATAGATAAGGGAACAGAACAGAGAAAAGGAAATACCCCTAAGCATATGCCCAGGTAATTTTTGACTAAGATGTAAAAGCAGTTCAGTGGAGGAATCATTTTGGACAAATGTTACTGGAACAATTGGATTTCCATAGGCAAAAAGTAAACTTCAGCCTGAGCCTCACACTTTATGCAAAAATTAACTCAAAATAGAGCAAAGATTTAAATGTAAAAATAAAACTAAAATTTTTAGAAAGACACAATTCAAAATCTTCAAGATTAAGACTTGATGCAGAATTCTTAAACAAGACACCAAAAGCACAATCCATAAAGGGAAAAAATCTGTAAATTGGACTTCATCAAGATCAGAAAGGTTTGCTCTGCAAAAGACACTGTTAGGAGGATCAAAAGACAAGCTACAGACAGGGAAAAAATATTTGCAAATCACATGTCTGAGAAAGGACTCACATCTAGAATATGTAAAGGGCTCTCAGAACCCAACAGTAAAAATCAAACAATCCAATTAGAAAACGTGCAAAAGACATGAAGAGACATTTACTAAATAGAGTGTACATGGGGCAAAAAAGCACTTGAAAAGATTTCCGGCATCATTAGCTATTAAAGAAATGCAAATTAAGGCCACAATAGAAATCACTACATACGTATTACAACAAGTGAAATAAAACAGAATGGCAACACCAAATGCGGTCAAGGATGCAAAGAAACTAGATTTCTCACATATTGCTGTGCAATGTCAAGTGGTACAGCCACTCTGGAAAGGAGTTCGACAGTTTCTTAAGAAACTAAACGTATGCTTATTATATTTCCTAGCAATCGTACTCCTGGGCGGTTATCTCAGAGAAAAGATATCTTATGTCTACACAAAAATCTGCAATGGTTGTTTATAGCAACTTTGTTTGCAAGAGCTAAAAACACTAAAATTTCCGACAATAGGTGCATGATTAAACAAACTATGGTACGTCCATACCAGAGAATAATACAACAATAAGGAAAAATAAACTACTGACATGTGCAACAACTTGCATGGATGGCAAAGGAATTAGGGCGAGTAAAACAAGCCAATCTCAGAAGGTCACATACTATAAGATTTATAGAGCATTCTCGAAATGATCAAATTAAAGAGGTGGAGATGAGATCAGTAATTTTCAGGGTTGAGAGTTGGTGGGGGCTGGATGGCTTGACTTTAAAGGGGAAGCACAAAGGATGTCTTTGTGATGATGGAGCAGTTACGAATCTTGTCTGCGGTGGTGGTTACAGAAATCTACACATACCACCAATGACACAAAACTATTTGCACACCATGTCTGTACCAGTTTCCTGGCTTTGATATTGTAGGGTAGCTACATAAGATGTAGCCAACAGGGGGAACTGGGCAGAGGATTCATAGGATCTTTCTGTACTATTTTTGCAACTTCCTGCAAATGTATAGTTTTTCAAAATAAAAAGGTTAAAAAGAAACAAAAGTCAACATTATACTTAGTGGTGACATGCTGCAAAAAATCTCATTAGAATCAGGAATAAGGCAATTTTATTTGTTATCAACATCATCCTTCTAATTAATGCTGGAAGTCTGGCCAGTGTAGGGGAAGGAAGAATTATTATTAGAAAGAGACCTAATAATTCTTTGACATTTCTACAACTGTATACTTGTAATACCAAATGAATCTAAAAAAGTTAAATTAAGCAAAGTGATAGAAAGTTAAATAAATATAAAAATATTTTTCTCTACATTGTAATAATAGGCTGGAAATATTTATGGCAAAAATTACATTAATCAAAAGAAAGTGAGTGGTCTCACCTGAAGAAAAGACTTAGCTAATAAAAATGAAGAATGTGACTCTAGTAACATAAAGACAGTTTAAGAAATAAGAATGCATATTATTTTTCTTGATACTAAATTATTAGTGTAAATATAAGTCTTCCTCAAATTTTAGTGGAATAGTGATTTTGGAAAATTCAATGAATGATCCTAAAATAATCTGAAAAAATAAATAGTGAAAATGCCTTTTGAAGGTTTTATTGAGGTCTAATTTACGTGCCATAAAACTCTCTCATTTTAAGCGTGCAATACAATGATTTTTAGTAAATTTACAAAATTGTGCAACCATCACCATGATCTAGCTTTAGAATGTCTCCATCACAGCAAGTAAAAGTGTCATCCCCATATTCAGTCACTGTCTGATACCACCCCAGCCCTGGCAACTACTCATCTACTTTCTATCTTTGTAGATGTCCCTATTCAAAACGATTTGCATAAATGGAATCAGGCAACATGTGGCCTTTGTGTTTGGCTTCTTGTACTTAGCATACGATCTTAAGGGTTCATCCGTGTTGTAACGTGTGTGAAAACTTCATTCCTTTAGATTGCTGAATGATGCTCCATTCCGTAGATAGACTGCATCTTGTTTATTTATTCTACTTGAGTGGACAACTGGGTTGTTTCCATTTTTGGCAATTATGTGAAATGGATGTTTTCATACAGGTGGGAGGGAGGAAACAGCCGTAGGAAGGTTTACTCTCTTTAGATCAAGAATTTTATGCCTAAGAAAGTATCCTAAAGAAATGATCAGAAATGTGCTCAGAAATCGATGTACACAGGGAGTCATTGGAGCAAGTTTATGAGAGAAAATTAAGAACCTTCTGAATACCCAAGAATAGAGAAATGGGAAAAGAAACTGTGATATACTCATTAAAAATGTTGTGTAGCTATTAAAAATTATGCTTTCAAAGACTACTTCATACTGTATTAGAATTCTCACAACATAACATTAAATAAAAACAACATACAGTAGTATATACAGTGTGATACCACCTTCATACAATAAAATTGTATTCATATTTACCTCGATTTTTCTTTTGGATCAACTATACTAAACATACAAATACATTTTCTAGAATACAACTATGGTTATTTCTTGGAGGAAGAACTGTGGATGGTTTCCACCTTCTTTATATTTTTCTGTATTTTCCAAATTTTGCACAAAAAAACACGTGTTGCCTTTATGATAGAAATAAAATAGGCTGGGAGCGGTGGCTCACGCCTGTAATCCCAGCACTTTGGGAGGCCGAGACGGGTGGATCACGAGATCAGGAGATCGAGACCATCCTGGCTAACACGGTGAAACCCCGTCTCTACTAAAAATACAAAAAATTACCCAGGCGTGGTGGCGGGCGCCTGTAGTCCCAGCTACTCGGGAGGCTGAGGCAGGAGAATGGCGTGAACCCGGGAGGCGGAGCTTGCAGTGAGCCGAGATCGCGCCACCACACTCCAGCCTGGGCGACAGAGCGAGACTCCGTCTCAAAAAAAAAAAAAAAAAAAAAAAAAAAAAAAAAGAAATAAAAGATTATTGTGGGTACAAAGAGAAATATTCATTTTGCAAGTTCTTTTTAAGGTATGTATGCTTTCCCACCGCCCCTCCCCACAACTTGTTGGAAAATTACAAAAGAAAACGAAATATCCCTAAACCCTGACACATAAAGAAAGGTTTAAAGCATGAATATAATGAAGGGGCCAGCTAAGCTGAATGAAAGGCTGACCAGAATGATTAGGAATAAGAAGGTAGGAAGGAGGGACTGATCTCAGTGTGTCTGCGGGTTATACCTGGGGGTACTGTGTTATCCCTTGCGGTGTGTGTGTGTGTGTGTGTGTGTATTTGTGGCTGAGCCTTCCTTCTTTGCTGTTCCTTACACGCTTTCCTTCCTTGCGTCCCTCCCTGGTTTTACGCTATCCATGTGGATGGAGATTCTTGCTGCTGGCCTGCGTTTCTTTGGAGTTTGTTTTCAAGGCCCTTCCCGCACACACTGGTGCCTCTCCTTTCTATTTGCCGGTGACGTGAGCGTTGGAAACACACCAGGCACTGGTTTCCATGGGGAAGAGCTGACTTCCTCTATGGATCTTCGTTAGTTCGCAGAGGCTGCTGTTCTGCGCAATTCGAGTGCTGACCACACGCCATCAGAGTGAGCACCGGCTCAGTCCTTCCCTAAGCTGGTCATATTTAACAAGTCCAGAGCACATCGCTTAACCAGGTCCCCCAGCTTGCACATCATAGGAACCCCAATAATTTAAGAGGAGGGGTAGGAGAAGCATGCAGAGAGTGGGCTAAGATCGACACGGGCCCAGGTCGCCTAGCCCAGAAAGCAGCCAGTGGCCTCTCTGATTTTTTCTGCAGAAAACCAGGGTCTGGCCCTGAGAAGACTGCGGGTGACTGTCAGGGCAGGACACCATGATGTGGGATGAGCCCTGTACCATGTCCACTCTCTGAACAGAGGCTCCTGGCAGCCGAACCCACAGCGTCCTGCCTGTGTGCTGAGACTCCAGTATGTGGCCTGACCTTCAGCCAAGGTAGGGGTGCATGACTCCCACTAAGGGCATCTTTGATTATTTTACGTAGCCACCAACCATGAGGCCGAGCAGAGTCAGAGCTTGATCTAGGAGCCGTGGAGGTGCGTGTGGGAGCTTGGGGGAATCTTCTAGAAAGGAAGTGAGGGAGAATTCCCCTGGGATTTGCTGCCCCTGAGGAAACCGGCCCTGCGGGACTCATCCCGGGAAGCCCACAGTGTCTCCCCTCCGCCTCCCTCACTACTTTTTCCATCTTTAGGGCCTGTGCCACGCAGGCGTTGACGTTAGGATGCAAAGTGTCTGATTGGAGGGTTTTCCTGTAGCTGCAGTAACAACGGAAATACATTCTGAAAAATCAGTTTTAATAAAGCCCAGGCACTGACCCCAGGCACGTAAGTATTTATATTATTGACTTCTGTATGAGGTGATTTTTTAGGAGAGAAAAAAACTCTGTCTGCTCTTGTCTTGAGACCTGAGGAAAAAAATAACAAAAATTAGAGAAACTGGAGATAAAAACGCGGTGAGTGGAATAACGCCAATGCCCCTGGGAGGCTCGCCTGCCGCGCTCATTCCGCATCTCATCCGTTCTGCAAGTGTGATAGCTCTTTCCTGTTTGATGGTGTCATTACGTAGACGCTACACATTCGATTCCATTTACAAGTCAATGGTGTGAGATTTTATGACAATTCTTTTTTAGTGAGTCGATTCTGTACGATCCTACTCAGTTAAGAAAAAATATATGAAAAGAATTCCTAAATAGTTGCCTTTTGGACCTCTCCCCAGAAAGTCTCAACCCACTGGGCATTTTTTACTGCAGGACTTTGGCCTTCTGTTCATGGGAAATGGCCAGAAACCAGGTCCAGGTAGCCTTGCTTTTGAGGTAACAATATTTCATAAATGTAAAGGCTGGAGCTTGCCAGGACAAACATTCTGGATATCACGTAGAGGAACTTTGGATCCAATTCTGAAACCAAAAGGAGAAGTGAGAAGCCTGGAAGAAAGTCTGGGGGTGGGATACTCACTAAACCCAGGATGTGGCTCCCTCTGAGGCAGGGACAAAGGGTCTTACCAAGGTGTTTAGATACTTCTAACAGATGGACCCAGATATGGGGACTGTAGGTCTCCATGGTGAAAGAGGCATGAGGCAGCTGTTAGAGGTTGAATCATGTCCCTTCCCTAAATCCATAGGCTGAAGTCCTGACTCCCAGGATCTCTGAATGTGACTCTATTTGGAGACAGCGTCTTTAGAGAAGTCAGTTAAGTTAAAATGAGGTCATTAGGGTGGGTCCTAATCCCATGTGACTGATGTCCTTTTAAGAAGAGATTTGACTTTGGGAGGCCGAGGCGGGCAGATCATGAGGTCAGGAAATCGAGACCATCCTGGCTAACATGATGAAACCCCGTTTCTACTAAAAATACAAAAAAATTAGCCAGGCGTGGTGGCGGGGGCCTGTAGTCCCAGCTACTTGGGAGGCTGAGGCAGGAGAATGGCATGAACCCGGGAGGCAGAGCTTACTGTGAACAGAGATTGCGCCACTGCACCCCAGCATGGGCGACAGAGCGAGACTCTGTCTCAGAAAAAAAAAAAAAAAAAAAGAAGAAGAGATTTGAACACAAACATGCACAGAGGGAAGAGGATTTGAGGAGACACAGGGAGAAGGTGGCCACGCACAAGCTAGGGAGTGAGGCTGGGGGCAGATCGCTGCCTCAGAGCCTCGAAGGAAGAAACCCTGCAGCACCTTGATCTCAGGATTCTGGCCTCCAGAGCTGTGAGACATTGCACTTCTGTTGTTTAAGGTCCTGGCTTGTGTACTGTGTTATGGCAGCCCTAGCAAAAATCATAGAGTGAGGAGGGAGATGTCTCTTCGGAAGCAGCATGACATCTGAAAACTGGGCTTTGAAGACAAGGCAGGGCTTTGCTAAGGTGAGAATGTTCACGGGAGGAGGCAGAGAGTGTGAAGGCAGGCAGGGGAAAGGCTGTGCGGACATTGGTTTGACTGGAGATGTGCAAGAATGTTTTGGGTGTAGTCTGAGCTGTAGCGGGGCACTCAGTAGCCACCCAGCAAGCATTGATCGGGCACCTGCCCTGTGCTTTGCAGCGGGAGCAGACACGAAAAAGATGAGCTTTGCTAAGTTTACACTCTCAGGAAAGGCAGGCATGGGAGGGGGTGCGAATTCAGAGTGGTAGGAGCAGCGGCTGTGAATCTTCAGAGAAGGGCGTGGAAGATTCCACCTCGAAGATGGGACAGGTGACCAGAAAAGGTGGTTGCTGGAGGGCTCCAGGAATGGACAGGGATGGATGGGGAATGGTGGGGAAATAGGAGTCCAGAGAGAAGGAAGGATGAGAATGAAGGCAGGAGTGCTTGGAAAGAGGAATTTCCAAGCATGGCAGAGTAGATGGGCACCCAGGAATGAGGATGGGAAAGGAAGGTGAAGATCCCAGAAAGAGGACCCCAGGGTCTAGGCACGAGGACACAGGATTCACAGAGTTTAAAGTTCTAATGATGGCCAATTTCCATAGTGTTTTCATTTCTTTTCATTGACAACAGTGGCCCCAACTTTATTTTTGTGACATTTAGGTACATTTTAGAATGGAAAGAAAATTAAATCAAATGAATTCGCTCATTGTTTTTCACTCATAGGAAAAAAATCATAATTTCCACAAAACTGGAATTTAAAACAGATTTTTTTTTACAGGACTTGGAGTTTCAGTAGAACATTGACATATTTCTCTAATGAAAGATTACAATATTGTTACTTGTGCCAGAAAATATTTATTAAATGAAAGAAGTGAGCACATTATAGAAGTCACATAGTTCTATGTTTCCATGACTAACAAGTTGTTTTACTGATTTACAACTTAGTGGTTATGGTTTTCCATGCTTTTTCTAGCCATTTAGCTTTTTTCATTTCCTTTCCTTGGGTCTTTTATCTTTGGGTAGTGGAAATTAAACTAACACGCTGTCAAAATTCCCATCATGGAGGCATTTGGGTGCAACGGACAAATTGTTGTTAAAATGTTGTATATTTAGGCGTGGAATATGATCCTTAGAATGGATCATTAATTACATTTATGTTGCTATGTCCTCGATTCTTGTGGGACATTTTATATTTGGTACATTTGCCCCTTTAGGCATGTTTCTCACTCAACCCTGCCTCTCCCACCCCCCAGGTGGAGACAGCCTCTGTGCCGGAGGTCAGAGCAGTGGCCCTGGAAATCTGTGCACATCCTTAGCTGAGAGCCTATGAGGCCACAGCTGTGACTGGGGAGCTCGGGAATAAACTTCCTGGGGCTGAAAAATAGGACGCTTGGCAGCCGAGTTCCTCAGTCTCCAAATCCCAGTTCCATCCCTTCTTGAGTAACGGTTCTCCTGGCGCACAGTCTTCCAGGATTACAGCTTTGGGACATCCCTTGAAGGGAGTAGTGAAGCCTCCTAGGGACACATTTGCCCTTCAAATCACCACCTTTCTCTACTGAGTTATCTGGCGCTGATCTCACAAAGGGCAGAGATTGCCACATGCATGGGTGTCCTGGGTTGAATCATGTCTCGCCGCAAATTCCTGTCCACCTAGAACTTCAGAATGGGATCTGATTTGAAAACAGTCTTTGCAGAGGTGGGGACATCCTGGGTTAGGGTAGGTCCTTACTCCAGTGACTCATGTCCTTTTAAGAAAAGCAGACACAAAGACAGACAGAAGATGGCTATGCGAAGATGGAGACAGGAACTGGAGTAATGTGGCCACAAGCCAAGCTCCTGGGGCCACCAGAAGCTGGAAGAGGCAAGGAAGTTTTCTCCGCTAGAGTCTTTGGAGGGAGCAAGGCCTTGCTGATACAATGACTTTGGACTTCTGGCTTCCAGAATTGTACAAATGTGGTAATTTGTATGGCAGGCCTAGGAAAGCAATGAATGGGGCTGGTGATTTTCCTTGTTTCCAGCAGCCATTGTCTGCTTTTTGGTGTGGCATCTTGTGCCCAGTGCCAACCGCAGAGTTTAGTGTGTGCCAAGCCCTTCCCCAATGCACTAGGGGTGAGTAACAACAGCAACTCCCTGATTCCACCCCAAACCACCCAGTTCTGTGACCCCCTCCCCTCAGTCTCCCCCACTGGCTATTAAGTACCTTAATCAGAGAATTGAGCCATGTCAGACTAGAGAGATACCGATTGCACAAGGATAGAACACACTCTCAATTTCTCACTTATCAATTATCAACACCACACAGCCATCCCTACCCTTCCCCACATAACAATGGTCAGTTTATGCAACTTTCTGTTTCTGGTTTTTTCAATAGAGATAGGAAAATGCCTGGGTTCCATTCTGGGCTATGCTGTTTATAAACATTTTGTTTGCATGAGTTACCTTATCGTCTGTGCTTCCATACCCACAGCTGTAAATGGATTAAAAATAACAGTGCTGACTCCACAGTTCTACTAGGACAAAATACATGAATACACATGAAACCCTCAGAAGAATGCTTGGCACATAACAAATGCTCAATAAACATTAGGTTTCATCCTTGAAAATTTCAAGATTGTCCTTCCTCGAACTCTCTGTGGGCCTCTGGTTCTATCCTGATCACCCTCTGACAAACAAGGCTGAAAGGTATTTGTCTCTGTATTAACAAGGCCATGTCATACTTGCTGGCAGCATTACGAAAACTTCTTGGTGGATCTGGACAAGGGTTTGGCCACCCTGAATAATGAGCAATGGTTAGTCGTAGTGCCCACCTACTGCGTGTCGGGCATGACTCAGTTTCCTGTCCTGTCCTCCACTCCCAGATTTTCCTCCTGGCCAAACACTTTGGCTAAAATGAACTTGCCTCCTGCAACCAGTTCCTGGAAGGACTAACTGGCTCTGTTTGGAATGAGCTGGCCTGCATAGCAGTGTGGACAAGCTCCCAGATGTAATCATACAACAGTCTGGTTAGAGGGAAAGCTAATCAGAGGCCCACCTCTCATGTACCTGAGAGTCCTGACCCACCGTGGCAGCACCTCTAGCACTAGTCTGGGAAACAGTCCCCAGGGGTGTGGCCATGCAGTTAGAAGACAGAGCCAGCTGCCCTCCATAGCTAAGGCAGCCCACTAGTGCAATGCCCAGCCATGCTGTTGTTGAAACCTGAGCAGCTGTTTGATGAAATCTCGCCCTGCTGGTTCAGCAAGGCTCACCTCTAGGTGCAAACCTTGTGGTGAAGTTGGCTGCACCTGAAGCTCTTTATGGCCATGGGATAGGAATCCCCTCCTTGGGCAGGTCTTTAGGGAGTGTCTGACCTAGAAAGGGCTGTTCCTGCTGGGCAGCCTATTCCTGGAGCTCTGTCTTGCAAAATCACATTAGTGACCACAGGGAGATATAAGGAACTCGGTGGCTCAAGACGAACAGCCCACCAGTCCAAAGGGTGTGGACTGTGAATATAGCAAAAGACAAACAAACAAAAACCATGATGGTTTTAAGAAAGATAGATTGGGATTGGATCCAAACCCCGGGACCAGTACTTTGCCTCTTTGAGCCTTGATTTCCTTATCCATTAAGTTGGAGATGATGATATGTTTCTGCAGTGATGGAGAGGAAAGAGCTCAGTGTAAGACCCAGCACATGGAAAGCAATCTGAGACACTCTGCATCTCTCCTCCTCTATTTCTTCTCAATGCTGATGCCACCACTTCAACCGAGGCCACTTACCACCCATGGGCGCTTGGGGCTGCCTCTTACTTTCTTCCAAAGTGACAGTTTTACCTGATAGTTAGCAAGTGAGAGGTTAAACACCTCCCTACCTTCTGAGAGGAAACAGAAAAGAAGCAGAGTAGAGCTCAGGATAAGGTTCCGGGGCCAGAGGCTTTGCCTCTGTCCCCACAGCAATGAGCAGTTACTCTTGTCTCTAAGCCTCAGAGACATTTCATCTGTGAAACAGAGAGAATAATAGTATTATGTTCTAGGTGGGTTTCACAATTATTTTTGGTAACAGATACAGGGGACGAGCACAGTATCCGCCACATAGTAACTGGTCACAAAAGTAGGCAAAGATAATGATGATAAAACATGGGCCATTACTCTCACCTACCAACTCCCCAAATGTCTACTCCCAATCTGAACCTAAAGTACAGATGGAGAATTCTAGTATAAAAACTAAAACTCAACTCATGGGCCCTTCTGCTCTGCCTGCTGGGGCCTCTGCCTGTACCTGGAGAAATCTGCAGCAGAAGCTGCACCTCTGTAGTGATGATAGAGATCTCAGTGTGCACGCAGTTATGGGGCGATCTTGCTGTCCCTGACCCTGGGACTCTGAGTTCTCACACTTTTACATCTGCAGAAAGTCTGCAGCTTTCTGAGCAATGCAAGGGTGTTGCAAACTTGTAAAGGGTATGTAGCTCTGTAGGCTGCTGTTTTGACCCTAAAATGTCCACAAACTCTTAGATCTTTGTGTCCTATAAACCACTTATTACTCTGTTCTCATATTGCTATAAAGAACTACTTGAGAAGGGCAATTGATAAAGAAAAGAGGTTTAATTGGCTCATAGTTCCACACGCTGTACAGGAAGCATGGCTGGGGAGGCCTCAGGAAGCTTATAATCATGGCGGAAGGTAAAGAGGAAGCAGGCAGATCCTCATGTCTGGAGCAGGAGGAAGGAGAAGAGGGAGGTGCTACAAACTCTTTAACAACCAGATCTCATGAGAAATCACTTACTATCATGAGAACAGCAAGGAGTAAATCTGCCCTCATGATCCAATCACCTCCCACCAGGCCCCTCCTCCAATGTTGGGGATTACAATTCAACATGAGATTTGGGCAGGAATACAAATGCAGACCATATCGCCAGGTATCCCATGAACAGAGATCAGAGCTTGGTGCCTAGCCAGGCAGAATCCCCCTCTATTCACACCACCCAGGCCTTCAGGACCAGTGGGCTTGCTTCTGCATGTTTTTGCTATGTTGGGCTTCCTGGTGTCAGGATGGGCTCTGACACAGAACTTTTCCTTATAGCAAATCCAGGAGCTTTTGTCAAGTCCTTTGTTGGAGTGTCAGGCATGTTGATAATATCCACAATTTCTGCATAGTAATTTCTAATAATATCCTTAATGTGTTAGGCATTTCTACTGCTTTATCTCTCACTTCTTGGAGTTAAGCACCCTCCCTATAGAGCTTCAGAAAGAAAGTCAGTCTTTTCAATGTCATTCCCACAGTCAAGGAAGCCTTCTGCAACCTGAAGTTGATTTCATGTGAAAACCACCTTCGCATGGCCTCTGACAGAGCCTCTTCAAGGAGGGAAACTGCAGCAGACCTTTGTTACTTTTTACTTCACATCTTGGGTTACCCCATAGCACCAGCACCCAAATTTGGAAACCAATACTTATCCTTTTATTTGAAATAAAGTGTATTATACAGCTGAAAACTGGGTTGGGGACAGGGGTGTCACCTAGACTGAGGTAATCTGGTATATAGATGGTCCCTGACTTAACAATGGTTTGACTTACAATTTTTCCTCTTTATGATGGCCTGAAAGTGATTCTCATTCAATAGAAATAATTTGATTACCCATATGACCATTCTGTTTTTCACTTTTAGTACAGTATTCAATAAATTACAGTATTTGATAAATAAATAATTTCAATAAATTAAAGTATTCAACACTTTATTATAAAATGGGGTTTATGTTAGATAATTTTCTCCATTCTGGGCTATTGTGTTTTGACCATGCTTAAGGTAGGTTAGGCTAAGCTATGATGTTTGGTAGTTTAGGTGTATTCGATTCATTTTTGACTTATAATATTTTCAACTTATGGTGGGTTTATCAGGACATAACCCCATTCTAAGTCAAGGAGTATTTTTATTCTGTTTCTTTCTCCACAGTAACTGGATTCCAGATGGCTCCATGAACCAAGTTAGATCATGAAAGTCAACGAAAATCATTTCAAGGACTTCAGTAGGAGCTGTGCAGGAAGAAAAAAAAATCCAAGTTTTTCACAGGACTGGGTGCTTAAATATACGTGGAGGGAGGAAGTAGATGAATTCTTATCCAATTATTGATTAGCTGAGATTTATTTTCATCATGTAAGGATGACACAAAGTCCAGGAAGAATTATTGCTGCCCTCTTACAAGATCAAAACCTTAGATACTTGCTTTAAAAGTCTGTTTTCATGCTGCTGATAAAGACATACCCGAGACTGGGCAATTTACAAAGGAAATAAGTTTAATGGAGAATTCACAGTTCCACATGGCTGGGGAAGCCTCACAATCATGGCAGAAAGCAAGGAGGAGCAAGTCACATCTTACGTGGATGGCAGCAGGCAAACAGCTTGTGTAAGGAAACTTCTGTTTTAAAAACCATCAGATTTCATGAGACTTATTCACTATCATGAGAAAAGCATGGGAAAGACCTGCCCTCATGATTTAATTACTTCCCACTAGGTCCCTCCCACATGTGGGAATTCAAGATAAGATTTGGGTGGGGACAGAGCCAAACCATATCAATCCCCCCGGCCCCTCCCAAATCTCATGTCCTCATATTTCAAAACCAATCATGCCTCCCCAACAGTCCCCCCAAATTTTAACTCATTCCAGCATTAACTCAAAGGTCCACAGTCCAAAGTCTCATCTGAGACAAGACAAGTGCCTTCCACCTATGAGCCTGTAAAATCAAAAGCAAGTTAGTTGCTTCCTAGATATAATGGGGATACAGGTATTGGGTAAATACAGCCAATGTTTAAAATGTCAGCAACTGTGCCACACATCTTATATCTAAAGCTAACTGGGTCCCATGCTAAGTTTTGAGATCTTTGTGTTCAATTAACTGTGCTTGGCAACTTCTTAGTTGAGTAAAGTATGACAAATCTTAGCAGAACAAAATAATATAAGGAAATATATCATTAATAAGTCTACCACAAATAAACCCTTTTACAGATTTGTCTATCTGTAACCAGACTCTGACTTAGTTGATTTGTAATAATGCTTTTTTTCTTTCATAAGCCTGAATGTGATATAAAAACACTGAAGAAGTGAAAAATGAAAAATGTAGATTTTTCTCTATACTCCTGCTACATCTGTATGTTTTGGGAATACCCAGATAGACTAAGATTTTCATTTTCCTTTCAGATAATATTGCAAGTGGTTTGTTTAATCCCATATTGTACAAAAGTTTACATTTAGTTTGCAGCCCCAAATTAAACATTTTTTACTTTTTTTTGCATTTAAAAACACAAATAAGATAACTTAATTATAAATTAAATAACTTAATTTTTAAAGAGCCATTCTGTTTGAGTATGCAACTTAGCATAGGTCAAGCTGAATTTTTCCTCTTCATTGCTCCAAATGTTGATATTTTCAGAATAGATTGGGTAGCATATACATGAGAATAAATTTCTTAAGCATATAAAGGTCAATGTCATGAGAACAAAAATTGTCTACCCCACATACTGCCGGGACTGCCTGGACACTGAGGACAAAGCCACCCCTTTCTGTTTACATTACTGTGACTTTGCTATTTTCACAGCTTCATTGTCCCTTCTTTACCTTTGCAGGACTGTTCCTCCCACACAAATGGTATGATTACTCATAACAGGAACTTCCTTAAAATCCACTAACTCTTCAATGTACCGCATCATTTGGAGTCCTGAGATGCTTTCAGTCTTTTACCTCAAAATCCTCACCTTGTGATTCCCACAAATTCATGGCTATTGTATTGGGATTCTTATCCAATCTTCACCAATTTCCTGTGGCGAAAGGCCTGCTTTAAGCCAAATTTTCACCTCTCAACAAATTCTGAACTTATTTTCCTATTTCTAACATCCAAAGCTTTGCGGAGTTGGTGCCTTCCTTTACTGCAGTAAATAATGAATTCAGCCTTGTCTTATAAACAGGTCATGTTGGTCCTTTTTGGGTGTTGGTCCATATTTAGTATAGAGGTTCACTTTTTCAGATGTCCAGAGAGCCCCTCAGAGCTGGCTCCCTGACTGCCTCCCAGCCTCGTGTGCCTGGCCTGCTGGCCTCCTTGTGCTAGCAATGTGAGCCACTCAGCTTCCCTGGGACACCATGTTCTTCAATATCTCCACATCTCTGCCCATGCTGTTTCCTCTGCATACCCAGGAGTCTTCATTTATGCTTAAGTTCCAGAAAAAGCATCATTTCCCTTATGAGAACTTCGCTGATCGACTCCACCCTCAGACAGAGGTAATCATTTCCTTTTCTTTCCCACTGCTATTTTGTGCCCATGTATTTGCTATCAGATGAATACAAAACTCACTCTCACACTGTATTGTAATTACACATTTTCCTGTCCTTGAAGTACTTGAGATCTGAGTGTGTGTGTGTGTGTGTGTGTGTGTGTGTTTTAATATCTGTGTCCTTAATAGCAGGTACAGGAAGGCCACTTGGATAAGTGATTTAAGAGAAAGCAAAAACAAAAGAAATAAATGCATAAATGGAGAAACCAAGAGAAGTAGAGGCAAACAAAAGGAAAAGAGGGAATATGATTTGCCTAAAATCCAGTTTCTCCAACATTCATTGACTCATTTCATGTATCTGCCAACATACTTAGAACTTTTGCTATTTTTGTTTATTTACTCTTCATAGCAAGCCTGTGCAGTATCTACTGTACACTTTTACTTTACTCTGTTTTGCAAATAAAGCAGATATAAAACCAGGGACAGTAAAGTAAAATGTTCAAGGTCACAAATCAGTAGGTGGTTTAGTAGGGATTTCAGCCAAACAGCATTTGCACATAGGTATCTTTGTGGAGATTTCACAAAGATCAAGGTAAGTTTTCACAGATATAAGCTGCACAGCATGCTATGGAGATAAGGGAGGACCCACACACATTTATTTCCAAATTGACTATGGGATAATGAAAGAATGAAATTTGGACCATTAAAAAAAGACAACACCTAAAAATCAAAGCAACATACATACTCCAAAGAAGCACTGCATTTCTGACACAAAGAGTAGAAAGAAGGTCCCTGAGTCCCCCAGTCGGTCCAGCATTTTCACAAAGAAACAGTGAGTGCTGTACACCCAGCGCTTTTCCAATGTCAGTGCAGCAAGGTGATCCCTGGATTCTAGATTACAAGGGATCTCAATGCTCTTCAACAGCATCAACCCCCATATGTAATTTAAACCATCACCAGGGAGTGGGAGAGAAAATGCTGTCCAGATACACAGGTCTAGAATAGATGTTCTTAATGTAGGTGTAAAATTTAGGTCATCTGGAGAAATGGACACACTGCAATTCCTGCATGTATGAGATGGAGAAATTTAATTCCATAGAGCTCCTCTTGGAGATGGAAAAAGTTTGGCAAGCTGTTTGAGATCAGAGAGAGTACCCCAAGGACATGCTCATTTAATAAAACATGGTCACTAAGCTACTTTTCAAGAACGAGTCTTGCTATTTAAATAGTTCTTGGTTTTGTGAAGCACTGAGCACATTTGGTGTCTAGAAGCTATGGTTTCAAGAACTACTCCCTGGTAAGTAATCTATGCTGCCAGTTAAATGAAGGCCATATGCGTTTACCATCTGCCAAAGTGGGGTAAAACAACAGTATAAGTGCCATATGCTTAGTGCCAACTGAGTGACAGAGAAGAGGTCAGACAAAGGAATGCAGTAAGGACGGATTGCTCCAAGTGAGTGGTTTAAGTGGGACATGGGTGGACTAGAAATAAAAGTCATCCATAATGAATAGAATACTTTAGGGTGAGGTTTGGATAGCTCACACATGTCCAAGAGCTGTACATTTAATTCATGCAGTGGGTCTAGTCTGGATAACCAGTGTCTATTCTTTATGTTAAACTTGGTTCTGGAACAGTACATTACAATATCCATGTATTTATTTTGGAAGCACATAATCAAGAAAAGAGTTTGGAAATGCAATTCAATTGACCGCACATCCCACTGGTGGCTAAAAAACACACAGAACACTGTAATTGTATTTCCTAGCCCTAGAGGCCCGTGGCATGTGTTTTGGCTAAATTTCACAGTCCTGCCATGAGTAATGTCTGCAAGTTCAATATGCTACACACAAAGGGTGTGGAAAATATGTTGTAAGGTTACACATGATCATCTGCAGGTAGGCAGGGGTGCGGGTCTGGCTCTATGATGTGACGCTCTTTTGACTTTGTTATTAAGGGATAAAGTTTGGCCCTCCCATTGTATATGTAACAGTCATGACATATAACTTCTTTGTAATGCTTTGGGTCACCCCCACTGTTGTAATCATGAACATGCCCAACACATTTTCCAGAGAGTCACTTTCGTAGGATTGTCCCCACATTGAGGGAATTTCTGAATCGGTAAAAGCCATAGAGAGTGAAGAATGTCCAAGGAGGATGAATTTGGATGACAGAGGCTCAGGTCTGCTCTGTTACATAGTAACTTTAGGAGAGTTACTCATCCGCTTACCCTCATTTCTTAACCTTTAAAAGGAAGTCCACAATACACACCCTGACCACCTGCAGAAGATATTATGAGAATCAAACTAATGTCATATGTCAATGAGATTTTTAAAGCTATAAAATACAAGTCCAAAGCAAGATTCTTCAGTGCCATGTTTTTTTAAAAGAATCTAATACATTTGGTCAGATAGTTGCTCCATTAAGAAATTCTTTTGAAACAATGTTGGGTTTGATTGACTTATTTGATTGAATTGGAAGATTAACTACATTGCTTCAATGGATGTAGTTCATGTGGTCGACTAACTGTCTGGGATAAGCTGAGCAGGCATGTGATGAAATACTATCTTGCTCTTGAAGGAGCATGGCCCACCTGCACTCCACTGAGCTGCCCATCCAGACATCAGTTATTCTCTTGAGCCTCTTTTGAACTGTATTCCAGGGCTTTATATTCTCTTTCCCTACAGATGTTTCTATGGAAGGAGGAGTTGGAAGAGAGGGTACTCCAGCTACAAGATAAAAATGGTACATCTTCCTGGAGATTTAATTTTACACAAAGATTTTTAAGGGAAAAAACCACCCTACAAACATTATATTATATATACATATAAGCATACAAAACATATGACTTCATGGAATAAACACCAAAGAAATTTCATATGTAGATAAATCTGTCCAGATTGTAGAGCCCACTCCATGGTCCTATCATAACAGAGTGATGTCAGGGTATGTAACTATAAGGTTGTCCCATTTGGCCCCATCTTTGTTTGGCTGAGGCTTCCCTTCACAGAGCTTTGAGATAATAAGATAACTAATATGGTTTGGCTCTGTGCCTCACTCAAATCTCATGTGGAATTGTAATCCCAATGTTGGGGGAGGGACCTGATGGGCGGTGATTTGTTCATGGGGGCAGATTTCCTCCATGCTGTTCTCATGATAGTGAGTGAGTTCTCATGAGATCTGGTGGTTTAAAAGTGTGTGGCACTTCTCCCTTTGCTCTCTCTCTCTCTCTCTCTCTCTCTCCTGCCACCATGTGCACAAGGTGCTTGCATCCCCTTTGCCCTTCCACCATGAATGTAAGTTTCCTGAGACTTCTCCAGCCATGCTTTCTGTATAGCCTGCAGGACTGTGAGTCAATTAAACCTTTTTCCCCCCACTAAATTACCCAGTCTCAGGTTCTTTATAGCAGTGTGAGAATGGAATAATGCAATATCCAAGTCCCTTAACTTCATTTCCGGGACGTAATAATTTCCAGGACCTGGGACAGTATGTTGTCCTCTTGGGAGGGTGCCCTGGGAGTCTGTGCTGAGCACGGTCCAGGTGCTGATGGGGCCAAGACAGTAGCTTGTCTCCTTGAGTGGACACTGGAAGGCTGTGCTAGACAGGCCCAGAGCCCTGATGAGTGTCCTCAAACCTGACTCTCTGTGAGCGCATGGCTGATGATGCGAGTGACTGGTGGCTGTTTTTGGACGGCAGCATAGCCTTGTCTGTTGGGCAATGACTTGGCTTCTTTCCAGCCCCCAGGTACTCCTGGTGGAAACTCCTTTCCTCTGGAGCTCTCCCAGGCCTTCATTCTTCCCTAGGGACCACATGGTCTCTCTCACCAGCTGGCGCTGCTCTCCAGCTTCTGGGGGCAGAGGAGCCTCTCTTTGCTAGGCTGCATCTGATCCTCTCAGTCATGCAGTGCTGCCAGTCTCTCAGTGTGTCTTAGTCCATTTGTGCTGTTATAGCAAAATACCTGAGACTGAATAATTTTTAACAAATAGAAATTTATTTTCTCACAGCTCTGGAGGCTAGGACGTCCAAAGATCAAGGAACCACTAGGTTCAGCTGTCTGATGGGGATGATCTGTGCTTCCAAGATGTCGCCTTGTTGCCCTTGTTGCCCCTCTTCTGCAGGCGAGGAATGAAGAAGAGAAAGTGAGCCAAACACTGCCTGCAGCCTCTTTTTTAAGGGCCTTAATGTCATTCACGAGGCAAGACGCTCAGGTGGCCTGATCACCTCTTAAAAGCCCCACCTCCTAATACCATCAGAGAGGCCATTTAATTTCAACACCTGAATTATGGAGGGAACACATGCCAACCATTGCATTTTCTTTCTTTTTCTGTTCTGTATTCCTGGAACCGAGGAGGAGGGAAGAGGTCTTTGGGGTACAGGTGCAAGAATTTAGTGAGTGGGCTGGAGGCACATGCTAATACCTAGAAATATGATCCACAATGAGTGATGATATTTCAGAACTCCCTTTTGCAATGTTTATTAGTGTCTCTATTTGAGGATTTCTATATTTTATAATATAAAACTTCTTTACATTATTCTAAATTGTTGTTCACTTCAGCCAACATTACTGAGTAGCCTCCACAGGGTAAGTGCTGAGTGAGGGTCCCCTGGGATGACAGAGGTGGGAAGGTAGAGTCCCTGCCTAAGGGGCTGCCCCTGTGGAAGGGCATGAAGTACACATGTGAGCAGTGTATGAACAAGTGCAGTGGGACCACAAGGACTTCAGAGTCCAGGTCTGGATGGGATGCCTAGGGAACGGACAATGTCTGGAAGGGCTCCAAGGAAGAAGTGTCTTGAGATGTGGCCTAAAGTTGGGCAAGATTTCTCAGATTTCTCCAAAGTCTTTATCCCCTTTCATTTCTTCTTCTCATGAACAGCATGTAGTATCCCTGTGGATTGGCATTTGTCACCTCACATGCTTCCTTCACTCACTGCCTTCACATGCTCCCGCCACCATCCCACCTGTTCTAGGGTGCATATTTTCCTTCTAAAACAAGTCATTTCTACAGGCAGAGCCTTCTGTATCCACATAAACTTAGACTAACAGGCTTCTCTGTCTTTAGTTTTGACTGGGTGAGAATTCACTGGTTTGGCACATGGTGATCTGATTTGCTGAAGAATTCACCAGAAATGCCCATGGGCATATCACCATTGAGAGGGTAGAGGCATTGTCTCCTGTGGAGAACCACACCAGGAACATGTAAGTTCCCACACAAGCTGATTTGTGAAGTTCTCCTCCTCTTTCTCTTTCTTTCTCAATTAAATTTTATAAACCAAGCTTGGAAAAATGTTTCAAGCTAAGTAGCAGTAAGTGTTTTTGAATGATGTCATTGATGATTGGGGTCTCTGAAATCTAGGACTCTAGTTCTACTCCCAGTATCCCAGAAGAGGAGTGAGCAGCACACAGTGCACGGTGGGCTCTGCGGGCTGAGGCTGGCGAGTCCCGGGGCCGTGTCTCACGACACGCAGACATGCAGCATGGACGGCGTTCTGAGCAGATGCGAAGTTCCAGGCAGTGGAAGAATTCCCCTGCTCAGGACTCACTCCCCAGGGGGATGTCCATGAACATTGTGCACGGGAGCAAGAAAAACCTGAGAGGGAAGTGGTATGTTGCTCAATGCGATCCTCATGGTCAGCCTGGGGCAGAAGCCCCTCCTCAGAGGGCACTGCGAGGGCCCCTGCGTCAGGAGCCGAGCTGTGGCTCACGGGTCTGATGATGCAGTTGTGATCCATGGGTGCGTGGACGGCTTGCTGCGGGGTTTCCTCGTGCAGCAGGAATCGACAGGGAAGGGTCAGAGACCAGCTGTCGCGCCTTCGAGACCTTGCTGTGAGGCCTCAGGCTACGTGCATCAGGAACTTTCCTGGCCTTATTTCTCTTACGATTTTTTCCCTTAACTTTATTGTCCCCAGCGTTTTCCTAACTGCTTGATAACTAACCAAAAAAAAAAAAAAATCACTTTAGATCATTTCTAATTTCCACCCGTATGAAGTCTAGGCCATGAAAATTCAAACCTACATTTGCTTGGGATGGCAAAGCTGTAGTAAATTATGTAGATTTAAAAAACAAAAGGAATTTAACAAAACAGCCTGTATTTGCTTTCTTGAATTGTGAAGACTATCATTTACTATTAGTTTGGAAATATACCCTGATTGCTTTAGTCCTAGAACATTTCAGATCTATGTCAGTTTCAGCCTTTAATGACTATAGAACAGGAGAGCCATTTTGTGCACACATGCTCCATCAACGTGCAGAATTTTCTAATGCACCCAAGGGTTATGGATGTGTATTTTTTAAGTACAACTACAGGCTACTCCTCAGAGACAAGTATTTTATATCCTTGGCTTGATATGTGTTAGAAAGATACATATTTTTAAAAGACATAAATATAGTTGAGAATTCTATATTTTTATGCTAAGGCTGTCCTGGAGCAAGACTCAGGATGATAATGTGGAAGTTATAATAATATAAGCAATAGTACTAGCCCTGACACTTATTTCCAAAATCAAGATGGCATTAATTTCTATCAGGCCTTTGAAAACTTTAGGATATTTATATTTCACAGCCCAGGAACATCTGCCACTCAGATAAGAAAAAGGTGCAGATTCTTTTGACATAGAGAAAATCACGGCCTTTTTTAAAAAATCAATGAACAGAGACAGGATACAGAGAAAGGAAGTTATAATATCCAAGAAAAACGAACACTTTGTATCTGGCTGCACAGAAAGATCTGGACAAAATATGAAATCCCCTGGCTGCCGACAGGAGCAGAATTCCTCGAGTTACTCACTTTCCAGGGCTCGTTTCAGTAGTCAGAGGACCGATGAGTAAGAGTAATTCTCTTTTAAGAAATTCCAAAGCATGCAACTTAGCTGAGGTGACAGCAGCTGTTGAGGAATGAGGCATGGGCTCTTTTTCAGCTGTTGGAGGTGGCAAAAATGCATTTCGTACATGTCATCTACACACCCCGTCAACACCCATGCCGTGCATGGAGCTCGTCATTTCACCAGGAGCGGCGAAACCCACTGCCCTCCCTGGGCCCCCTTGCCCTGTGTCTCCCCAGCATTCCTGGGGTTTCCAGGCTGCACCCCGCTCTGCAGCTCATGCCTGTGTGCATCATGTGGACGGCTCGACAGGGAGAGTGAGGGAAAGAAAAAAAAAAGCATTTGGCTGGCGGTCAGCGCAGCAGGAGCAGTTGCAGATGCTGCTATTTACACCATTTTCACATTCTGGAGAACAAAGAGCGGGAGGCTGCCAGCAAATCTCAGGAACTCAGCCTTGCCCCGCACAGCAGCTCAGCCAGTTCAGAAGCGCGGGACAGACAGGCCATGGCGGCACAGACACGGGGCATCTCTATCCTAATGGTGCACTCTGCCAGCCACCTCTGCGCGAGGCCCAGGGAGGAAGGACGGCAGGACTCTCCACTTGTCACTGCTTCAAATCTTCTTTGGGAGAGACAGTGCTGGAAGCGCCGGCTCTCGCCCAGCCCGGATGAGAGCACTGGGACAGATTGATGACCTCAGCCCTCATCGCTCC
Organism: Homo sapiens; assembly: GCF_000001405.40. Classification (NCBI taxonomy): domain Eukaryota; kingdom Metazoa; phylum Chordata; class Mammalia; order Primates; family Hominidae; genus Homo; species Homo sapiens. Next base: position 75,639,120 of record NC_000018.10, read on the forward strand.
TTTGAATTGTAGATGCACCGAGTGGGCCTCTCCTCAGTCCTGCACTGAGCGCCTGTTGTCGGGGCTGCATCTTGCTCCCTGTGAAACCCAGGGCAACGTAGAGAGACAAAAGTTATTTATTTTGGGACCAGATTAGCACAAATTAATTCCTGGACCAAATCCAAGAGAGCCTGTGCAAGAGACCGGGAGGAGGAACGGGGCTATTACTCACCATCAATGGCACTATTTTGAGGACACGTGCTATATTTAGCCCAACGATAGCACATCCTAGGAGACTGGTATATTATCACGAAACCTAGAAGCTGCCTGGTTGCGAAACACTCACCAAAGTGGAACCATCTCAGCTAGACTGGAGAGACGAATGGGGGTCCTGGGAATTGTGTTGGGTCCTACTCACCAGTCATATCACTGGGCAGAGCCCGTTTGCTTTCCCGGTTAGGAGATCTGTTGAAAGCATTGCAATAAAAGTTATTTAAGTCACATAGTCTTTAATCTTCCAGCACAATATTGCGCCCATGCCAGCAATGAATCATATCGCATTGTTATGCCTTTTTATAGTCTGATAATCTGTATTGTGTGTTTATAACCCTTGTATGCTGTATTTTATGAGGGGAAAAATTTCTACAACTCGCAATCCACAACCCATGAATTTACCACCTTAACTACTTGGGTTGATGGTGAGACGTGGAAGAAAGATTCAAACGCACAGAGTTGAAAGTTGTCTCTACATCAGAGACTTAGCTCTCTACTTGCAGAGAGTGGCCAGCAAGGGGTGGTGGAGCACGGGTCTCCTGCGAGTACAAGCCCAGGGTATGGATCAGCTGAGGTCCTCCTGCCTGGCAACTTTAGAGTTCTTCCAAGACCCCAGAGTGCTGGCCTGTCCCTTCTTGTCCCTCCTGCTCTGCTGTAAAATGGTGACTGGGAAGAGCCTGGTGTTCCATGCCCAGCATTGGGTATATTCTGGTGACCTGACCATCATTCGTCCCTGCTCCCTGCTCCTAGGAGGCCTCGTGAAGCCATCCTTGGAAACCTTGGCCTAGTCTGGGCCTCCTCGGCCAGCCTCCCTGAATAAACGTGAGAAGGCTAGCAAGTCAACCACTAACTAACTCGCTTCCTATAAGTCTCTTCTCCCAGGGTTTGGGTTTTTGCCTGCTGATGCTCTGATGCTGACAACCACTAGCCCCACTCCCCCACCCATCCCAGAAGCCCATGGATGGAGGTTTTGCATTTTTGGTTATGAACCCCAGTTTGGATCAGTCTATTTTCCCTAGACTCGGCCTCACAGTGGTCTTGGCTTGGCCTCAGCTCTCCTTTCTGGAACATTGTCCCAGCATAAAGCTGCTAAATCATGGGCCCCACCACGATCCTCCGCCCAGGACTCCACAACCACTGCTGCCTCTGATTGGTGTCCTTCTTCTCTTTCCTTCCACTTAAACCTTACAGAGAAATATTCACCACCACAGAACACTGTGGTTGTTTTGTGCACTAAGGACAGTGCTCATATCCATTCACCTATAGATGCATTTGTCCAGTTTTATTCATTATCCATGGAGCCGTCGCTGTGTTGCAGAAACCCTGCTATGCATCCAGTAGTTGACGTGAATGGTAAGATGTGGGCCCCGTAGTCCTGCAGGGCAAGCACAGCACATGTGATGGGGTGCATTCGTGGAAGTGGCAGATGCAGGCAATTCAAGGGAATCTGGTGTCTGACAGAGGAGGCTTTAACTACAGATAACAGTCCTCCAAACTGAAAGGGACTCAAGAAATGGGGGTTATGATCCCACCTTATAAGGAATCAGTAAACAAACAGTGTGAGGGTTGGCTCAGGAGCGCAACAATGCTGTCAGGGACCGAGTTTTTCTTTCCTTCCCTGCACTCAGCAATCTCCACCTGGTTAGCTTGGCCCTTAGGCTTGTCAGCTTTGGTCACAAAGTGGCCATCATGGCTTAAGCATCCTGTGCTCCTGTAGCCGTGTTCAAAAGGGGAAGGAGGGCACTTTGTTCTGAGGATGCTTTCCTGATTGTGAGACAAGAAAAACATCTCCAGGGGCTCCCCACACATGTCAACTCAGGCCTCCACAGCCAGGGTTAGAACAGATCCCCATGTTTCTAACATGACCACAAGGTAGGCTTGCTCCCGTGGCTCTGACAGCTGAGACTGCTTCATAGGGGACTGTCCCAGGCATTTGATGGGCAGAAGGCAGGGAACATTGGTGTGTGTATGTATGTGTGTGTGTGCATGTATGCGTGTGCACACGTGTGTGTGTGTGTGTGTGTGCTTGAGGAAACAGGATCTGTAGGGGAAACTCAAGAAGTGTGGGTGTAGCAGCCTCCCAAGTTTTGCAGCCACACCCGCAGCTGTGGAAGGAAGAGAGGAAGCATCTGGGGAGTCTCCAGGACTGACAGCGGGTTGTCTAGATGAGGAAGAAGCTCTCAACTGCCTAGTGCTGGGGCACATAATTTGGTAAGCCCCTTCATGTTATGTTGCCTTTCTCCCTTTTGTCAGCTCTAAAATGGAGTTAGTGGAGCAGAGATGAACTGAGGGACAGCAGTGAATTTTTGTGCTGCTTTTATTGGTTAAAAGTAGATTAAAGTACATATTCTTCTCTACTCACCCAACTCCCTAACTCCTCCATCGACTACCTGAATACGTGCCATTTAATTGATTTATTAGTTTTTGAAAGTCATCTTACTGTTTTTATAAAAATGATATCCTGCTTACTGTAAAACTTTCAAAAAATACAATATAGGACATAAAATAATATTAGGAGCAACTTAAATCTAACCAGTTACTTTCAACATTTTGGTGGATATCATTTAAGAAATCTCCATCTATGTATCTATACATAGAAATGGATTGATTCAATGAACACATATTTATTGATCACCTATCATGATCAGGCACCATAAAGCTCTGGGAATAAAGTTGCAAGCAAAGCCACACACAGCATAGGTCCTGCTCTCATGAAGTAACCCGGTCTTCACAGGAGACATATGTTAATCAGCTAATTACTAACATGTGGCTATCATTAAAAAGTAAATTAAGAGCCACAAGAAATGGGGGATGTTCCACGGCAACACAAAACAATATTATCTAAGCTAGGGTTGAGATCAAAGGAGAAGGGAAGCTAGCTGGGTAGATGGGGAGGCACAGCCTCTAAGGGAAGGGAAAATATGCACTAAGGCACATGGCAGGTGGGAGCTGGCCAAGGCTGGAGCCTGGAGAAAAGGCAGAGAGGCTGGAGTAGACCCAGCAAGGGGCAGAGGAGTGGAAAATGAGGCTGGAAATTGGACAATGGCAAGGCCAGTCAGGGCTCTCCAGGATTGTGACGTTTAAGCAATAGGAAGACGTCAAGCTATTCTAAGCATACAGGGAGGGTGGAGGCAGGCACAATGCAGACAAAGGCAGGTGATGATGACATTGTAGGATTTGGAAGCTGATGGTAGAAATGAGAACCAATGACAGATGCAAGATACATGGGAAGAAAAATGGGCAGACGTGGTAGCATATTGGAGAGGAGGTGTTAAAAGTCATCCGTGTGCTGACTTGAACAACTGCATGGCCGGTGGGTCATATGCCAACAGGAAATGCATGAAGACCGGGTTTGTAGGCAGAAGCTGAGAAGTGCACTCAGGGCTTGTTCCAGGGGCCCTCTGCTTCCAAGTGGCGTGGCCATGTGACAGCCGGATTGGGGGACTGGAGCTCTGAGGAATAGTTTGTGCTGGAGTTAGATGATATTTAAAAATTATTAGTAGCTATTCAAGCCTCAGGCTAGGTATGATTGCTGAGAAGGAGCAGATATAAAAAGACGGTCTTGTGAAGAACTCAAACATTTAGTAGCCAACTAGGGAAACCCAAGCCTGACAGCAGGCTGCGGAGTGGACAGGAGGAAAAGGAGAACCCAGGGAGGAGGGTCCCCAGAAGCCACGTGGGTAGAGGGGAGAGGTGGCCTCAGAAAGGGGCGTGTGGCAACATTGCCAAACATTGCTGGAGGACAGCAAGAAGAGCCCAGTGAACACTGTCCTTTGTGCTTAGTGACATGGGGGTTATTGGCATAGAAGAGTGTTAGGAAGTGAGCCAGGTGACCAAGACTGCTGTGTGCAGCGGTCACTGGCAGATTGGGAGATGCCATAGACTCAGCTGTCCTTGCCCTAAGCTTTGCTTCCTTGCACAGTTCTGCAGGTGGACCAGGTCACGTGACTGCACTCCTCTGCCCCTCGCCCTCCTGTCTTTCAGAGGAAAAGTGAAGATCCCTTTGTCGTTCACCAGGCCTCCAAGAACTGGCCACGGAGGGCAGTGACCTCTCAGCCTTCACTTTCTTCTGCTCCTCCCTCACCCCTCAGCTCCAGCCTCGCTGGTCCCCGGCTCTTCCTTGGTGGTGCCAGGGATGCTCCTTCCTTGGGGCTTGCCCTGGTGTTTCCTCCACCTGGAATGTGCCCCTCACAGATGGCTGCAAGGCCAAGCCCTCCTCCTTCAGTCTCTGCTCCATCATCAGCTTCCCAGTGAGCCTGCCCCGACCTTCTCATCCAGAAGGGCAACCTGCGCCTCACCGCACGCCTGGCTCCCTCACCTGCTGCTGCTCTCCATGGTGAACATCACCTTCTGACTAATACACTGTCTAGGCCTATTGTTTCTATGGTTATCATTTCTAGTTTGTCCTCCCAACTAAACATTAAGCTCCATGAGAGCAGGACTTGTGTCTAAACAGTGTCTGGTGCATGGTGGGCACACAACACATATTAGTTTAATAGTAAATCTAAGAAGCAAATGGCTTACTTTTCCTCAAAAGTCAAGACCAAGAAGGTTCATTTTTGCTATGAATTATGAAGCATGCAAAAGGTGCTCCAGTTCATTCAACTTATCTGAAGGCAATTGAGTGAGATCAAACAAATTGCAAAATGTACTTGTCTTTGACTCTGCACCCAACTTCTAGGATTCAGCTCAGAGGAAATAACTGCTTAGGGCCACATAAATGCTTGTGTGAGGATGAGCATTGTGGTGCTGTTTATAATAGTGAAAATATGGTGGGGAAATCGACCATTAGGAGACTGGCTATATACAGTGCAGTATACAGAACAGGGATACAATGAGATGTTTGGTAAGAATTAAAATGTATGGTGCCTTGAATCGGGGTAGTGACAATGGGGGTGGTAAGGAGGAGTTAAACACAGGATGCATGTGTGCACATGTATAAATATCTATATAAATGCACTCTCTATACAATATCTATATAAATACATGTATACGTAATATGCAGTAGATGTGCAATCCATATATGTAACATGTAATATATATCCAATCAATAAGTATATCATGTAATATATAATACTAATATGCAATATATATAAAAATTCATATGTGTGTAATACATAAATAATTCATGTACTGTTGTATTATAGAAATCATGGTGAAATATATATAGAGAGAGATTGGGTATGGGACATGAGGAAAGAGGAGTGGAAGAAGACTCCGTGAGTTTTGATCTGGGTGACTCATAAAGCAGGCATGGTATCAAATGGGAAGCGGAATTGCCAAGGGAATGTGCTTGGATTGGGAAGCTCAGAATCTCAGTTTAGACGTGCTAAATTTGCAATGTCTAGTAGACGTATGTTGCAGGTTGAATAGTGTCCCCAGGAAGACACATTCAAGGCCTTATTGCAGGTGCCTGTGGATTGGTCTTCTTTTGAAGCAGGGCCTTGCAGCTGTCATTAAGTTAAAGGAAGACATACTTGATGAGGGTGGGTGGGCCCTCGCCTAATGTTACTGGTGTCCTTATACAAGGCAGGAATGCCTAGAAGGTGAGGAAGAACAGAGAAAAGCTATGTGGCAATTGAGGCAGAGAGTGGAGTGATGTCTACAGGCAGGGCACATCCAGGGTTGCCAGCAACTTCAGAAGTTGGGAGAGACGTATGGGGCAGATCCTTCTCAAGAGCCCTTGGGTGAGGGTGGCCCTGCCAACAGCTTGATTTCAGGCTTTTGCTCTCCAGGTGGTGAGAGAAAAAAATCTCTGTTGTTTTAAGCCACTTGGTTGGCAGTAATTTGTCATGGCAGCTTTCGGACACTCGGGCGACACCAAGTGTGGATGGGTATCAAGGAGGCAGCTGCGTGTATAATTCAGGAGCCCAGGAGAGTTCTGGATGTATTTAAAGCTGATGTGTGAAGTCGTGAGACTGGGGACCATCCAGGCTGCAAGAGAAGATAGAGAACGGGGGAGAGGGACTGGGCCCTGGCATCCAGGAGGCCGAGGTAGATGAGGACTGGGTTGAGATTTAGACATCACCAGGTGGAGTCGTTGTGGCCCCGGGGAGAGCAGGGGCCATGGAGGGGTGGGGATGTTGAGCTGACTGCGGTGTATCCAAAAATGAATGTGGGAGGTCTATCTGGGTGGGAAGCACAGACAATTATGTCACAGAGTTTTGCTGCAAAAGGCAGAAGAGTTAATGGGGCAGAGGCAGGTGGGGAGGTGTGGACAAGAGGAAGTCATTGTTGGTTTTGTTTTGAATGGGAGAAATAATGGCATGCTGTCGTGTTTGGGGGAAGGACACAGAAGAATGAGGAGGATTCCGGCACTGGAGTGTTGCCCTGAGTAGGCAAGGGAGCACACGTCCAGTTGAGAAGCAGAGGACAGGTTTGAACGGGGGCATGGAGCCGGCACCTCCCAAGCAGCCAGGTGCAGGTGCTGGAGGGCGAGTGGGTGCTGGGGAGAGTCTGCGCATGAGCTCCTCCGGCCGCTTCAATTTCTCAGTGGAGCAAGAAACAAGGTCATTGCTGAGAGAATGGAAGAGGAGGTGTTGAAAGTTTGTGGAGGGAGGAAGGTGTGAAATAATTGTCTGGAAGACTTAATTTGCCTTTCAATTAATGTGCAAAGGATTTTTTTCTAATTATATGAAATTCAAAATAGAAAAAAGTACAGGGACAATATAATAAACACCCATAATACAATATAATAAGCGTTAAGAAAGGCTAAAATTTTGTCGTATTTGCCCCAGATACATGTCAGCCATAAAATAGCAGAAATGAAATTGAGCTATCAGAATTTAAAGTTAATTATTTATTTCCTCTTCTTCTGAACAAGATGAAGAAACTTAGAAAGCTTTAACTCTTAGCTGCCATCTTTCCTCTCTCATAGTTTTGCTTTCAGTATTTTAGTTCTATCTTATGTTTACTGTGTCAGATTAGATATCATTATTTTTTACTGTCAATATTTATTTAGATTTGTCAATATGTTGACCAATTTATTTGTGTGCCTCTGCTGTATGCATTTCTCTTCATTATTTGGATTCAATTTCACACTGCCTGAAGTTCATCCTTTAGTAGTTCTTTCAGTGAGTCTGTGAGTAGTAGAATGTCTTAGTCTTTGCATGTGTGAAAATGTTTCTCCTTAATTTATATAATATTTTAGGTGGGTACAGAATTTTAAGTTGGCATATTTTTCTAATAGCACTTTAAAAATACTATTCCATTTTCTAGTGTATCTTATACCTTGTAAATATTTTGTAAATTAAATTTGCTCTTTCATGGTATTCTAATTACCTTAAGCCTTTCTTTTCCTTTTCTCTTCCTCTCTCATGCTTCATTTTTCTTTCTTTCTTTCTTTCCTTCATTTAGTGTGTAAGTGCCTTCTGAGATGGACATAGGGACATAAAGGTAAGTCCTCGTCCATTCTGCTTTCCATGAAGTGTGATGCTAATAAGAACAATGATAATACAAAAAGGGGAAAGGATTCTTTTAACTGTAGATGTGTAATTTTTCTTGTGTGGCCAATATTCTCTGAGAAATGTCATAATATATAAGACAATCTATGAATTGTTTTAGGAATTCATATGAGTTGTCTAGTGGTTAATATATGCCAGGCATTTTATTAGGCACTTCGGAAACAACACATGAAACAAACCTGGTTCTGCTTTCAGAACTCTTTCAGTCTAACAGGAGAAACATACTTAAAAAAAAAAGCTCAAAATACTTGGAAATCATGGTCCTTGGGCAGGAAAAATAAAATGATGGAATGGAGACAGACGAATTAGGGGTGGCTGCCCCTAGGTGAGCATCAACAGGAGTCTGTGGACACGGTGGTGCAGGAAGGCTCTAAGAAACCGGGAAGATGAGGAGAATCCACCTCTGAGGAGAACAGGGGAAGGTCATTCTAGATGCCTTGGCTCTATGATCTGAGAAATATGGAGGTTTAACCACCCCAATTATTTTTTTCTCATCAAAACAGTGTATGTATTACTAGAAAGCTTTATAAATTTCAGCCCAATAGCCAATATGTTGGAAGGTGTACACTGGTTTCATAAAATTCTCACTTGCTTCATGAAAAGCACCTCATCTTTCCATAGGGGTAAAAAGCACGTGAAGTTATAGTGAAGTTAGAGAGGTCTCCAAATCAGCCTTCCTCCCTCCAGCCATCTTTCCCTTCATCCTTGATTTCCTTCCTAACCCTCTCTCTAATCTCCTTCCTCCCTCCCTACCAGTGCCCTCTTTCTCCCTCCCTTTCTTCCTTGGCTTGGTTTCTTAGAACACGATTCCAGGAATGCAAGGGAAGGGACGGCGTTTGCCTTGTTCTGCTTTTTTTCCTAAGCTGGGCCCTAGGCAAGTGCTAAAGAGAAACTCTTTTCCTGCACTCTCCTCCATTTGCCTGTACTCTCCTTCCCTTCTCCTCCTTGTGCTGCTCTACTTTTCTTCTTTCTTTTTCGTTGTGATTCATTCATTTATTATACATACATAGACTGTTTCAAAAAAGAATTAGAAGCAGTCTCTTTTCTTATTAAATTTTCCTTCCAACCATTTTCCTTCTTTCCTTCTTCCTACTACCCAAATCATGTCCCTCTGGCAGGACAATGCCAAGATAATTAAAGAATGCTGGTTCCTGAGCATTTCACTAAAATTGCCTTCTAGAAAATAGAACTCCCTGTATATTCAATGAGATTGTGTGAGAAAATAACTCATCTTATGGCTCAGCTGTTTCAGGGTTCAGATTCAATTTGGCTATCCATCCAAAAGTTGGGATTTTTAATAAAAGCTTTTTACAAACCACTTGGGTATTCAAAAGTTTAATACATAACAAACAATAAAAATCATACTTGGAAATACGGGAGAGTAAAAATGCTACAAATATTCATGTTCATACATAATCTGTACTCCCTAGGACTTGGTATTGAAATTTGGAAAACCCATTGTAAATTCCATTAAGCACATCATATTTGCCTATGCAGTTGTTGTCAGAGCAAGATTTGGAGAAAATTTGAATTTTTTCATAGTTTAAGTATCCCACATGCTTTCCCTGCTCTGTGCTGAGCTAAAAAGTTTGACATGCTCCCTTAGGTAAGGAGGAAGGGCGAACTTTTTAAAGATGTTTTGAAATAGTGATGGAGTAATAGCAGGAACCCTGGTTAGCGTCACATGTATCTCCGCTCCTGCCTCTTTCAGGTACCCTGAGCCAGTGGTTCATGTCCCTGGCTATCTGTTTCCTCTGTACTATGAGAATAATAACAACTTCCACAAATTTTGTTGTGGTGATTAAGTGATAATGTACACTAAAATGCCTTAAAACCTGTAGAGTTTGTCCAAAAAGACTTCATTTATTATGTATTTAACTATCTTTTGTGACTGCCAAGTAGAAGTAGAGGGAGATGGACACATAACCAAGTACGTCTTGTGTTCTTATGTGTGTGTGTGCATGTGTGTGTGTGTGTGTGTGTGTGTGTGGGTGTGTATCTAAGAAGTCTAAGCAGTGTGCAGAATGGCATGAGAAGGGCCATTATAATTTTTAGTCATCCTGATATTCCCTGTAAACATCCTAGAATACCTTTGGGCATTGTTGCCCTATGTTGCCATTCCTCTTCATTCGTTCATTTGTGTACAACTATTCATTGAATATTGTTATGTATTAGGTACTACTCCAGGCAAAGATCAAAACCCCTGACCTGGTTGAATTTTCTTTCTAGCAGAGAAGGGGCAGGTGGGGATGGAAGACCAAATTGTGTAGAGGCCTCTTGTCCTGCCTTTTCTGAGGATGTGCACGAGGGAAGGGAAGAGAGATAAGGCCTTCAAAAGAAGCCAGAGAAGATAAGAGTGTTTCCCAGGCAGAGAGGAGGTGAAGCCTTGTGCAGCCACAGAGAGTCATGGCTGGTTATCTCCTGGGTTCCTTGCATTACTCCAGGAAGGTGGTAAGAACTCAGGGTGGTGGTGGTTAGGCTCTGGATGCTAGGTTTCTCAAACTTCTTGAAGTGTCCTGTGTCCCTGCTGTGCCCAGAAGCAACAAAGTAAAGCATTCTGAAGGAATGCATCAGCCGGTCATTGCATCTCTCAAGGGTAAACCAGGGGACTTGATGCTAGTGGTGACCTTACACAATCCTTGAGTGGTGGGAAAAGAAGCCCAGTGGGAGATTTCTTGCCAGGATAGTTCTTTTTGTTAAACTCAACTTGATTTTAAGAAAAGAAAACAAAAAGACGAGCAACTTTTTTTGCGAAGTAGATTTGAGATTGTGAATTCATGCAGTACTAAGAGGTTAAATGACCTGTTTAAGGTCACACAGATGGTAAGGACCAGAGGTGGGGGAAAAACGCACATTTTCTCCTTCCTGAACAACCATTTTCCTCCATAACTCTTGTCTTATGAGGTCACGTAGAGTTTTGTTAATGGAAAACCACATAGGATATGGAAGTCATGGGATGTTAAGACTGGCTGAAACTATTGAAATATACAATAGTAACTACAGTTCTGCCCTCAATTTCTAAAGTAAATAGGACATTTTATTCTATCCCAGACAAAACTTTCCATAACTTCTCTTAGATTCAGCACATTCTTGTAAAGAGAACAGAGAGGAACAGTATCTGCTAATGTATTTCATTGGCTATATTCTAGAATAAATACAATGACTAGAAATCTGAGCCACTCCACAGTCAGGTTTATCTATATAAAATCATGAGAGAAAAGGCTCATCATAGGTTCAGGTTATGTTTCTAAGTGCATGTGTGTGGCTATAGCTCATTTCCTACTGCACTGCTCACCTTCCACCAGCTGAAGCTTCAACTGGAAACACCTTCTTACCTTACACCTGCACCTTGTAGAAAAGCTAGAGGCAAATCCTCCATCTCTGTCCCTGAGGAAATCTTGCTGTCCGTGCCTCTTGGGGAGCCCCAGTAGTCTTCTCAGTAAATAATGTCAAGAAATAGACCTCATCGTGGTACATGGCACTGCAGAAGAGGTGTCTGATACTCATTCTTTAGTTATCATTCATTGCTTACCCTGTGTAAGGCTAGCAAGCTGTTGTTAGAACAGGGTAAATGAAGAAAAGCCAGAAATCGATGGGTTTTGGTCCAGTCATCATTGGGAAATGGAAAAACAAGCATGATACTTAGGGAGAGTGGGCTCTGTTACATTACACATCTTTATGTTGGATACTGCATGCAACAAATTGAAGACACCTGTGTATCTTGTAGGAGTTTGTCATCTGCAACAGAGGAATACATAGTAAATGGGAGAAAGTGTGCCTCCTTTCTAGGGAGGTTTGGGAAATTTGCCTCTTTCACAATGTTTGCCTAAACCAATTACAAATAAGGAGCTATTTTTCTCTTTCCAACCTACCATTTTATCCTGATGAGCCTTTTTTCGTTATGTGGAAATTACTTGCATTAATACTTTTACAAATTGGAAGTGCAGAGTTTGTTTCTGGGGTGATACAGTTGCATGTTTCTACATGTGTCACCATGCCCAAGATAAGACCAAGAATCGTGCTTGCTTCCTTTTGCAGGCCCTCTGCGCAACCTCAAGGGAGTTCCAAGCCCGCAGACTAGGGAGATCTGTTCAGGGCACCACATGGAGATTTCACAATCTGTTCTCACTCTGTCCTTGCTTTTCTGTTCTTTCTGTTACTCTGTGTGCTTCAAGAGTCCCTATCAGCTTGTGCTGTCTAACTTGAACTCTTTCTCCTCCCCATCTTTATTACTTAGCCCTGATTTTTTGGTTCCGTCTCTAAATGAGCATCATTTATGTTGCTTTTGGCTACAAATAATGGAAGATGGAACAGAAGTATCCCAAGCAATAATGATATCTATGACTGCGCCTAATAAGTTCTTTGTAGGGTGGTTTCACAACATCATTGAGGATCCAGGTTCTTCCAGATCTTTCTGCTCTGAAATCCTCAGCTTGTGGACTTGGTCCCAGGATGGTTCTTGCAGAGCAAGGCAACACGTGTAGATGGAAGCATCAGGGGCATATGAGTAGAGGGTCTCTGCTTATGCCCCCTTTTTGGGAGCAAGATGAAGCCCCACCCAACTTATAATAGCCAGGATGGTCTCACTGCCTAGGCCTAAGTCAATCATGATGACTAGAATGAGGTGACAATGGTTGATTTTTCTTCAGCCAAAAACCACCTGCACCACCCCCCAACCTTAAAAGACAGGGCTGCTGGAAGGTGAACAAGATTCGATTCTGTTTCAGCCAGAAAGATGACAGGAAGTATGGCTGAAAATTGGGCAGGTGACTTATTCTATGTGCCAAGACCCTGCTCAGACCATAAGTATGAGCTGCTCTTCTCCTTTTCAGACTTCCCTTGATATGTTGCTGCCACCTTAACCCATCCCAGACTCAAGAGATTCTACTTCAAGAATCTCTCCTTTCTCTTTTAGCTCTACAATCTTCTGATACCCCCTGTGATAAGAAAGATTCAGGGAGTTATTGGGTAATTATTCATTTACCATATTGTAGAAATCTCTGAAAAATAAAAGTAAAAATATCAATGATCTCTTTGGTCAAATCTCTTAACCTTTAAGTCATGGTGTTTTTTTCAGCCTAAAATGTGCATTTATTAAACTCATGAGTTTCTATGGTCTCTCAGGGATTCTCTCATTTACTCTCTGCAGATAGAGAAAAGATCCCCTTGAGAGAAAAAGGGGCATGATACTGAGTTGAATCACATGAGAGGCAAGAGGAGTGTTTCTTCAAAGATTATCTTAAGCATCATCAATTTTGATGTTTGTAGGACCATGGTGGCTTATATCTAAGCACCACGCCTGCTGTCCCAGCTGCCTTGGTAACCATGTGTTAAAATACCCCCCGCCAACTTACTCTTATAACTACCCAGTCTGGAGCCATAATCTTATGGTGAGTCAAACATTACTTGTGTCAACTTGTTGGTGAAGAAACTGACAGTGGCACAGGTCAGTGGTGGGCTTTGGTGGTGGGACAGCAACCTGGAGATCAGTGGGGGATGGGGGTAAAGGAAAATTGAGAAATGTAAGAAAGGAAGCACTGGAAGTGTAGACCTAAGAATCAGTCCTTGGACTTTATATCTTATCTTTACAACATATTGCAGGCCCTGCAAAGAAGAGTATTGACCAGAATGATCACTTAGAATATAGCAAGGCAGGGAAGGCCTGGATGGTACACGCTAGTGCTGTCCTCAGATGCAAGTGACCCAGTGACCCAAGGCAGGATGATCAGAAAAAATTCAGCAAGGTATCAAGGGCCCACTCTGCAGCCATCAGGTTCATAAAGTCAGCATAGAAAACAGTGGTCCACTAGAGTTGAAGGAGAATGACTGCATTCTGCCAGCTCACTCTGGGAGTGCACAGAGTGAAACCAGGGCCCTTATAATATAGCGATCTTTCTGCAATTTCTTTTCTCTGAAACCACACATAACTTTTGAAGATGTAAATTTGTAAAACGTCATGCTTTATGCATTGCATTTTTGGCATCTACTTTAGTTTTTAAGAATGGATGTTGTCTAATTATGCAGAGGAGCTTTGGATGAGGAAATATACTAAGTGTGCATTAAATAGACAACTTTAAATAATGGCACTTGTGCTAAGAAGTGTATTTTCTGGCAAGCAACTAATTTATAATGGTCATAGATAAATGCATTAGTGTATGAAATGCCTGTCTTTATTTATTGATTTGAAGGGGCAGTATTATATTTTTGAATATGTCTTCTTTATTGGGTCTGTTTTCTATCTTTTACTAAGTTGCTCATATTTTATGCTCATTGACATTTGCTACATTAAATGTTGGAAAATGAAGGCAATTTTACAGTTAAAAAAATCAACATTAATATGAGTCACCCCTTGCTTTCTGGCATCAGGTAAACAGACAAGGGCAGAATGGTAGCTGTTCCCTTTCTCTCACCTTTTCCCCATGAGCACTGTGTTCTTTTTAAGTGTGCACATCAGAGGTAGGGAGAATGAGATTAAATGACCAAATTTACTGCATTCTTAGTGCATAAACCACTACCCTAGATCTTTCTGAGCCAATTTAATTTTTAGCTTTATTCTTGGCCTAATGCAATGTTTTAGTTCATTGCGCTTTTTGGATGTGCAGAAGCAAAGATAATGTGTTACACTACATTCATTTAATGTTTCATCAGGCTTTTTTGGTGTATCTACCTTTTGGTTATTTTAAAATGTTTCATCCTTATCGCTTCAGTCATGAAATGTAGATTCATTAAATCACTGTGCTGGGTGATTCCGTGGAGCAGGCTGGGTGAAGAAGTAGCTCAGCTTCAGCCGTCAACATGCTGCAGCACCTGCAGAGCCAGGCAGGTTCCTCCCCACACAGCCTTAAAGACATTTCTGTTTCAAAGAACAGAACAAGGGTGTTTTCTGACTGGACCAGGCAGTGTCTAGGACTTCAGAATTTTAGTGGACCCCTTATAGACATAAGGCCAGACAAAGGCTCCTGGAAACTCACACAGGATTTGCTCTCAACGTGTACAAATAGTAGGTAGTCGTTTGCCAACAATAATAACAACGGCAAAGCAGATATCATCAGGATGATAATACCCTACGTGTGTGTTGCCTCGTGTTTAACAATGCTTTCACATATATCACCTGAATAGCTGTTATCTTCAGAGTTGAATGGATTGGGAGAGACGTAGCCATGTGAACAGAATAAATAAAGCTTCTGAAATAAGTTTGTGCCAACTGCATATTCACCTAGAACTGGATTTTACTCACCTCTCATTAACAACTGGATCCTCTACCAAGAAGCAACTCCCTCTTACTTGAAACAGGGCAAGTTTCTTGTCCCTGTCAAAGAAGTGGACCAGATTTCGCCTTCTCTGCTCGGAAAATATGTTTGGCTGAACAGTGTCCTCGCCAACAGGGTAGGGAGTGACCAAGAGTCACATTTTGGTCATTCATTTCATGTGACATATTACATGATACAGGATAAGACATTTATTGCCCGGAGAAGTGCTGCAGTTCACAGTCAGTAAAAACAAGTGTGTCCAGCTATAAATGACAACCACAGGACACTGTTTCTCAGATATGAAATTCACAATGTTGTAAATCAAGGCTTCTGATTGGATTAAAGGGTAACGGAAGCCAGCCGGAGGCCCACCTTCTGGGTTAGCATCATGGGATTACGTATGTTTTCAGGAATGGCGTGCAAGGCTTCCCTGCTTCTGTTTAAAACTAGGCCCCTAGAGGAGCTGTTTTCTGGGGATGGTGGGGGTCTCTGCAATATCCCTGGGCTTTTCACAGTGAGCACAGAGGAGAGAAAGCTTCTGTACCCACAAGTCGCCTCAATCCAAGCCTGAAGCCATCAGAGAAGATTGCAGCCATCAGAAGTGCTTTGTGTCAAGGCTGTTTCTGCCTGACTGAATCCGAAAATAAACACCTTTGCTCTCTATCATTACTGTTTCATTAACACCTTGGCCAAGTTCTTTGGCCAAAGAGACTGGATTTCAGTGTGATACTAAATTATTCCAGGCCCGTGTGTAATAGTCCTTGATAATTTCGTATCCACAGACCCTCTCTCCCAAATGACATATCCGTCTCCTAACACACACACACACACACATACACACACACTCACCATGAATAAGCACATACAAATTGGAGACTGTGCACAAAAAAAAGAAAGGAAGGGGAAAAAAACCAGGAAAGCTATTTAGGGCACTGTTCCCATTGGGTTTCTCTACAAAGCAGTTTAACTGTAGTTAGTAAGTGCTCAGTGTAATCTAATAAAAGGCATTTTGCAATATTAAGCAAAAAACATCTGGTACCCAGAATTCCCTGATCATTTTTAACTAGATGCAATATCTCTCTCTTTCTCTTTCTTTTACAGACATGTGAAAAATAGCCTAATAAGGATCCTTGTGGTAAAATCAGATGGAAAACAGGGAGGAAGAGTTCCACCGTCTCCAGCAGCTCATTTGAAGCAGCTCCTCAGAGTTTCACAATAATAATCAGTGCTGGCCCAGTGCCGCCGGATTATTTTGTATATTCATGAAGCTGCTCATCAGCCGTCAGGAGAATGTGCAGTAATCCTTGGATGAAATAAGGCCAATCAGTGGAATAATGAGGAAGGTAATATCTCCCAAGAGGCCTGGAGTGGGTTTTCATCAAACCCGGCTGTAACTCTCCAACTATTTGCTTTACAAATGCAGCCTTTGATCTTTGATTTGGGGAGAAGAGGGGGGGAGACGGACCTGCTGGTGTATTGTCCGGCCTGCAAGGATAACAAGCTGCCTCTGGAGGAGGAGCGGGAGGGGGAAGAACCTGGCTTTCAAGTCTCAGTCAGTTCTTGTTAACTAAAACCTCATGGCCTTTTTATTTACTGTGCCCTAATATACACTCACTTAGCAAGTCAATGGCCTCAAGCCTTCTTTCTTTAAGAAATTCTTCCATATATTTATGTGGACCATAAGCCTTCTCTAATCAGGAGGTGTTGGGCCTATATAAATACCTGCTCTATTTTTTTTTTTTTTTTTTGGCCAGGAAACAATGAAGACTTTCAAATGAACCTGAAAAACCATTTCAGAGCTTTAAGATCATGCAGTGAGTCAAAGACGGAAGTATCTTAATTATTTTAATAAAGTCTTATTTCCTCTTCATCATGCCCAAAAAGCAAAACCAAAAGCAAGATGAGGTGCAGTGGAAATAAATATTTAAAGCATTCATGTTGTTGTCTTTTTACAAGATAAAACAAATTTAGTCAACAAACGGAATAAACGACACACACCACTTGTTCACTCTGTTTGTATATTTGTGTGTGACAAAGAGATGGCTCAAACGGATCCTAGAATAATCTGCCGCACAGAGACATCCTCCGTTAGACCACAGGAAGTGGCATGAGGGGAAGAAAATGCCCGCTCACCATCATCCCACTGTTGCCTTTCTTCCCCCATCCGCCTTCCCTTCCCACCTCCATTTCCTCTTCCTCCTCCTCATGCACCAGTTGCTCTGAGTCTCTTATCCTACATGTAGGCATTGTGAGCCTTTTCTTACTTCACAAATGTTAGTTTCTTTGTTTTTCTCTCTGTGTCTTTACACAACAATGGAAATGACAATGTTTTGTATTAGTTGAAGAGACAAGTTAGTTGCATGTTGAATACTAGAGTTGTACATCTGAATTGTCCCTTTTAGAGCCATCTACCTAATTAGACAAATTGCATATTAGACAAATGAATGCATGACTATTTATTTACTGCAGGAAAACAAAAGTACTACCCAACTATCTAATAGAAAAGGCCTGCACGCTTACTCAAACCAGTCATATATCTGATATTAGCCTCTCTGGGTTGAGAAGAATAGACATTTACATTTTCCATATAGTTCTTAGTGAGGGAGATTTTGTTTAAAGTTTATTATGGATTGTTAAGCCTGGAGAATTTTTGTTTAAACAAGCTATGACGCAACTTGATTATGAGTGAAGTAAATCTGCTTTTTAAAACAATGTCTTGTAAATTTTTGTGTAGTCTATTATGTGAAACATTTTTAATAAGAGTTCCTATTAAAAAGAAAGATAATATATGGGCTCTTACTAATATTAAAAAACTAATAAGAAATTGAAGAAAATTTTAGTATATTAAAAGCACTTCTTTGAAAATTAAGTATAATGAGGTGTACAATAAACAAGGTCAAACAAGTTAATTTGAAACGATCAAATGAGGTGAAAAGGAATTAAAGGAGATTGCTGGAACAGATTTATTCACTTACTGTATGATGATGTCATTAACAAATGCTTGTGCTGCATTATGGGCAATTGACATTACCCGCAGCACAAATGGTCTTTCGACAGAAGAGATTTCCTATTGCTCTCCTCAATGGGTTTATTAACTGTATTCCTGAGCACCTTGGGACAAGGCAGGAGGATTTCCATGAAGTATTTGAAGCGGTATTGCCTTTGAAGCCTGGGCTTTCAGGAAGAGGTGACTTTAGCATCTTGCTTTTGATTCCATTGGACTGGGTGTTAGAATGAGACTATTTTGGAAAATGTGAAAGGGCTAAATTTGACATTTGATTCACCCTATGCTGGGATTTTAAACTGTGATGTAAATTAGTTTGAAACTGGTCTTTCTTCCATTTTCTCTTTTCAAAATGTAATACAGTTAAATGACAGAGATTAATTACTAAAGTAATTACTGTTCAAAAGCCAGGAGACAGTAGTATGAGACGGTCTTTCTTGTGATGACCAAGTCTTTCTTGACAATTATGCTTAATTCCAACAATGATTATTCTGTGTGGCAAAATCTACTGGCACAAGGGCACGCGAGCATTGATGCGTTCTCACTCACAGGGAACTATGAGAACGAGGTAATTATATTTCAAGGAGCTGCAGCCGCTCCATTCCCAGGGGTGTCACCAGGACCTTTTACTTCTGGGAATGTGTCTTCCCCAACCCATGGTCCTATCCCCTTGTTTTCTGCATCATTTGCTGGTGCGAGGCTCACCATCCCTCTGTGTAGAAATGAGCATAGGAAGGGTGTCATGAGCCCTTTGTACTTTCTCCTTGACACTCTCTTAAGTGCCCTTGATGTGTGTGAGTGCAGAAAGACATTCTTGAGAAGGGCTTAGCAAGGGATCCCTCCATCTCTGTTACTTGGATCTGTAAGTTAGATGGGGAAGGCTCACATGAGATGCATCATAAAACTCTGCAATTCTAAACACTTGCACATTTCCCCATGAATTAATGTTGGACCATCATAAAAAAAATATGAGTGGATGCTCCTGTGGAAAATGCCCACAGATGATTGACTGAAATAATTGGCTTGAAGATCTCATGTAGCACTTGACCACCTTTGACTCTATCCTCATCACCGGCTTCATCGGGGCCACTTCCTAGGACAGGATTACGTCTTGCTGTTAACATTAGTCTCGGCGTGGCATCTGGATGATTGGCCATGCGTCTTATAAATGGCTAACATAAACCCTGCAGGCCTGTCGCAGGCCACTGTGTAAGAGACAGCATGGCTCCACACGACAGTTACTGCTGGGATTCCCGCAAGGGCGCAGTCAATGCCTGGGCTGCAAGATCCCGAGGCTGAGAGTGGAGAGGTGGAAGCGGTGGGGAGGAGGGGGAGGAAAGGAGAGCAGGATAAAAGGGCATCCTCTTCCACAAACATTCAAGTGTGAGCATTAAAAAGGAGCAGAACTGAAGAGCCCTACAGCTGGCTGTGGCTTGTGGCTGTTCATTTCCTTCCTATCACGATGTACTCATGAGGCCACCCCAAGAACTGATGTTGCTTTCAGGGCACATCCAGGAATCCCCAGAATGAGATAATTTGAAGAATAGGAACATTTAATGACTGATGATGGAGGCATAAAACAGTGGGCAGATGAGAAGGGGACTGGAAAAGGGAAAAAGAGGGAGAAATATGGAGACAGCTGGAGGGAGGAAGATGGAGGCAGAGCAAACGGGGAGGGAGTGAGAGAGAGAGGAAGGAGCAGGAGGAAGACTTCAGGCTCGGCTGCTTCCTTCCAGGTGTCGATGCAGGCATGATTTCATCCGTGAACCATAATCAACTTCCTTAATGAAATACGTAATTAACATATTATAATTGTGGTAAAGATGATTTTGACAGAAATCATTTTCCATATCTAATACTATGCTAATTTAATCTGTTCCTTACTCCCCGACATGACCTTTAGTGATTAAGTTTCATGGCAGAATTGTTTTCTTTCTTTTTTTTTTTTTTTGAAAGATTGATTTATCCACCGTGGTTGAGACCCCTCTCTTGGCATGGCTGTCATTCTTTCTCTTTCTAAAAATGTCTCACGGACATGCATGTCCACACACACAGGCACCAGGCATGCTTATGCACAGAAGAGAGCAAAGCATGCATGTGCAAGGAGGCAGGCTTGGCTTCTGCACGTCTGTGACTTCCAAAAAGCCAGCCATCAGCAGACACTTAGAAGGTATTGGTTACACAGATCGTGATGAAAATGTTTTGTTGCTCCCTACCACCTGTGTTCTAGCACTTTTTGTGTATTTTTTGAGTCATGGGTGTGACAAATGTGATTGGTATAATTAAAATAAAGTAAATCCATCAAACTATTTAGTTATCCAATATACGAATAAAAAGAAATTCAAAGAATTATGAATTTTAACTAGATTTTCTATGTTATACTGCACTTAATTTTGCATCTTGTCAATATAATTATGTTATCAAAAAACAACTTTACCGAATCATTTTATAATAATTTAGTATACACATATATAATTAAATAGAGGTGGCTGTACTTTTTTCTCTTATTTTTGACATCATGAGATAGATTTCTTAAAGGGATCTAAAGTGTTTAATAATAATTTGGAACATGTGAGGAGACAGAGGCAATGATGCTTTATTCCATTGTTTCTCAAATATTTTTACTGCAACTCAAGAAAGGTATTGTGCAATGTCACCAAACACATACATAAGAATTTCATGAAGAAATAATCTTATCATGAAGGATATACTCTGATCTAGTCTTTTGTCCTATCCTATCCTACCCTATCCTTTCCTTTCCCATCCCATCCCATCCCATCCCATCCCATCCCATCCCATCCCATCCCTTCCCATCCCCATTCCATCCCATCCCATCCTATCCTAACTTATCCCATTTCATCCATCCAATCCCATCCTATCTTATTCCATCCCCATCCCCACCCCATCCTATTATATCTTATCTCATCCCACTAAAAAATGATTGTTGAAAGCAAGTAAATAACTTTCACTACCTTATGAATTATTCTAAATTATAATGAAAAGTTGCTAGCTGAAGTAATCAACTTTCATAAGTACATTCTTCTGGCTTTTGCATGTGATTCAGTTCTACCCAACTCCTTCAATGATTAGTGAAGTCTGTGTATTACAGATTTTGTCACATTTAGGAGGTTATACTTAGAAGATGTCGATGAGGAGCTTTTAATTCTGGTTCAGCCTTATCAGTAATTACATATGTGAAAATTGTCAAATTAGTCACATTATTTTCTGCCTTACTGTCTTGGTGTATAAAATAAGCCCCAAATTATAAACTTTGTATGTCATATTTTTAAGTCATAAAGAAAATTATGAAAAAATTAGGAAGTTGAACACATTCAACATTAAAAAGACAAAAATTTGGAAATATTAAAAATTAAAATAGCTGCCTAATTTGTTTACATCATAATTTGGTAGATTATAAAGAAGAAACTAACTGAGATAGTTGTAGTAAGTGCTCACTGAATTCATTTTTATGTATAAGAATTGTTCACAAGTAACATCTAAACCTGAAATGATTGGTCTGCATGTACTTATAATCACAAGTTTATTCTGCTATTTTAAGCTCATATTTAAAACATCATGAAAATGGCAAAGCACATTCTTTTTATTTCTGGATGAAAGGCAACATCTTTAAGTATACTGAAAAGCACATCAAGAATTGCAGATGAAGGTTTGCTTGTAACTCATTCTCAGATAAATTGGTCTTGTTCAACAATTCTGAGAACTTGAAATTGAACTTTCATATCAAGAAAAAGAAGTGGGAATAATTATGAAAAATGGCAGTCATAAAGACAAGATTATATGATCACATGAGTCTTCATGTGAAAGGGAAAGACAGTATCTTTTCCTTTGGTATATGGGAATGTTAGCTTAGAAGTGCTTTACAGATTTACAGTAGCCTTCCACCCTTCCAGCAGAATGTCTTCATGTCCTTAGCTTTTAGGAATACATACCATTTCCTGTTTTCATTTTTTTTAAGTCAAGATTGAGTTTAAACAGCATAGAGTTGAAAAGTCTCTTTGTAATCTATTGTTTGCCAATCTCTGCCTTTTTAATGAAGTGGTTAGTCCATTCACATTTAATGTAATTTTTGATGTGATTAAAGGCACATCAGTCATTTTACCGTTTTCAATGCCTTTTGTCTTTTTGTTCCTTTATATCTCCTTTACTGCTTTTTTTGTGTGTAAAAGAACAATTGTTTTATCTTACCAACTTAATTCCCCTGTTGATTTTTATATTATTGATTTATGTATTTGTTGTTTTTAGTTGTTTTCTTAATAGTTACTCTAGAAATTTTATTATACATCTTATCACAATCTACTTAAAGTTATACTGACAGATGTAATAAAATATAGAAACTTTGCTGAAATATAGCTCAATTTCTTCCCATTCTTTGTGCTATTATTTTTATATACATTGCATCTATTTAGGTATAAACCTAACAATGCAATGTTATGGCATTGCTTTATGCAATCTTATAATTTTAAAAATAATTTAAAAGAGCAAAATACGTTGATATCATCTTTACCATTTCTGGTGGTCTTTATATCCTCCTAAGAATCTTAATTACTATTTTGTGTCATTCTCTTTCAGCCTAAGGGATTTCTGTAGTGCTTTTTAAAAAAAAATCTGCTACAGATAAATTCTTTCTGCTTTTACTTATCTGGATATATCTCTATTCTGCCTCTTTTTGGTGGGGGTGGGTATAGAATTTTGATTTGACAAGTTTTTATTTCTTTCAGTGTTTTGAATATGTAATTCCGCATGCTTCTGACTTTCACTGTTTATGATAATATATTCACTATTTATTGCATTGTTTTCCTCTATATAATGAGTCTTTTTTTCTACCTGTTTCAAGATTACATTATCCTTATCTTTGGCTTTCAGCAGTTTGATTATCATGTGACTAGATGTGAATCTCTTTGTGTTTATCATAGTTGAGATTTGTGAAGCTTCTTGGATCTGTAGATCCATATTTTTACAAATTTGGGAAGTCTTCACGATTATTTTTTGAAATATGCATATTTTTCTGCTCCTTTCTCTTTTTCTTCTCATTCTGGAACTCTCATTACACATATGTTGCTATACTTTATGTTTATCCACAAGTCTATGAGGCTTTGTTCATTTTTCTTAAATCTTTGTTCCGTCTGTTCTTTGGATTCATAATTTCTGCTGATCTACCTTCAAGTTCATGGATTCTTTTGCCATCTCAACACTGCTCTTGAGACCATTTAGTATATTTTCCATTTAAATTATTGTGTTTGACTGTATAATTTCCATTTTTAACGTCTATTTCCCTGTTGAGAATTCCTATTTGTTAAGTCTTCAAAATAATAATTTCTTTCAGTTATTTAAGGATAGTTTTCTTTAATTCATTGAATATGTTTACAATAGCTGCTCTGAAGTCTTTGACTGCTAAACTAACATCAAGGCTGACTTAAAGTTAATTTATGTCAGTTGCTTCTTTCACCTGAGCGTGGGTGGCACTTTCTTTTTTCTCAGCATGTCTTGCATAGTTTTCTTGAATAATACAGTTCTAGAAAATAGATTGTAGCTACTCTATATTTTTTTTCCTCCCTGAGGTTTTTTTTCTTTTTTAGTTATTTGTATAATCTTAAAATGTGGGATCTCTCTCCCCTGTGGTGTGTGGCCACTGATGTTTCTATTGAGTTTTTATTTATTTTAGTCATTATTTTGTAGACCGCTTTCTGTGGGATCACCCCATGTCTTCACAGCTCAGTGATCAGCTCATGATTTTGTCAGAGGTTCTACTCCAATACCTTGTGTCTGTGTGTTACTTCTGCCAATGCGAGTTGCTCTGTGTAGGATGGGGGGCACAGAGCTCAGCAACTTCTCCAATATGCTTTTGTAGCAGGACAAGCTGCAGACAAAACCCCTCAGACATCGAGTTAAAGAAGGAAGGGCTTTATTCAGCCACGAGCTTTGGCAAGACTCACATCTCCAACAACTGAGCTCCTCGAGTGAGCAATTCCTGGTCCTTTTAAGGGCTTACAACTCTAAGGGGGTCTGTGTGAGAGGGTTGTGATTGATTGAGCAAGCAGGGGGTATGCAACTGGGGGCTGCATGCACCAGTAATTAGAACAGAACAAAACAGGACAGGGATTTTCACAGTGCTTTTCCATACAATGTATGTAATCTATAGATAACATAACCGATTAGGTCGGGGTCAATCTTTACCAGGCCCAGGGTGTGTCGCCAGGCTGTCTGCTTGTGGATTTCATTTCTGCCATTTAGTTTTTACTTCTTCTTTCTTTGGAAGCAGAAATTGGGCATAAGACAATATGAGGGGTGGTCTCCTCCCTTACCCTCATTTTATACTCCTTAGCTCTCCCAGGTCTCCCTTGCACATAGGCATAGTTGATAGTCAGTAAAGCACTTGTTGGGGGCTTAGCTCTATCCCTGTATGACATTCTGTCACTTCCAGGATTTTCTGATTAAATTTATTCTGGTCTGCTGTTTGTCCAAACTGGAACAGCAACCCTGGGCTAGAAAAGCTGTGGGCTTCATTCATTTCCTATATTCTTTGTCTCATTTATTAACAATACCCCCTGGGATTTTCAGCCTCCATTCTAAATCAGCTACCTCCCCCCACCCACACTGACCAGCCTTGGACTTGGAAAACCAGCATGTAATGAATTGGGTGGGAGTGAAAGGATGGACACTGTCACAGACAAGAAGGCCAGATATTTCTACAGTTCTTTAAAAAAAAAAAAAAAAAAAAAAACTCAGTTTTTGTAGTTGTTCCTGATTAAATACTTTTCAATTTGTTGCTTAAATTTGGTTAATCTCCAGAGCCCTGAAATAGCTGTTTTACACTTGTTCATATTTGTTTACATGGGAGATGATTTCCCAGCCTTTTTACACTGCCGTTGCCAGAATTCTCTCTCTCAAAATTAGATTTAAAGAAGATTTTTTATTATATCAAAGAAGAGGAAGGGGATGAAAATCACTTAACCAGTTCTCCTTTTCAGTGTTCTCTCCCAGGTCACATATCTGCACAACAGCTTAATTGTTTGCTCTGTGTGTCAAAACATCATGGTGTCCTAATACCTTTCTGGCATCCTAAGAACTTGGTCTTTGATTGTGAAAAGCCATTTTTCACTTTCCATCTGTATGCCTAGAGAGATTAAAACTTCCTTTCACTCAGCCCCACCCACTAACACAGGAAAATAAAATGGATCAATTTTTTTTCTTTCTTATACACATAGGGAAACCATAAAGTATGTTATCTTAAGAAATTGCATCACTTACTGTCTTACATAAAGGTTTTATCTTCTTTATTCATATTTTAAAAAACAGCTGAAACACAAGAGGAATTAAAAAGTGTTTTATAGAATATTGCATCATGGTACATATTTTGATGGTGATCAGATAGGAGAGAAAAGAAGTATGATAGGGAAGAGTTGTATTCTAAAACATGATGAAATGCCTTCACAGGGAAACCAATCATACATCACAGAATTTCATTTATTGATAAATTATTCTCAATAAATATAACTCATATGCTTAAAATTAAAAGCAACTAAACTTTTATAGTTTCTATATTATATTTTTCATATGAGCAAATTGATAAATGAGAAAAAACTGCTTTGTTAAACTATGTATTTTGATTTTGTATTCAGATATATGATAAATATAACTATAGATAATACACCAGAAAGAGAAGCACTCAGAGAAATTGGGAGCTGGCATTTGAGGATCTTTATTTTTCTTTCATCACTGGAATGTCAAAGTGAGATAAGAATAGTTGAACTTTTCTAAATTTATAAAACAAATAGATTTCAGTTAAAGCAAAGGGAAAAGGCAATGGCTGAGAAGATTCTTGATTTATACAAATCTATTTGTGTTTTACTTGGCAATTCATGGTTGTCTGAGTTTAAATTATATTCATCAGCATCTTACTTTCTTAAATGTACATTTACTTGTAATATAATATTTTGAAATATATGTAATATGTCTTTTTATAATTAACTTTTATAAAATGTAATTCCATTTATTCTGATCCTTTCCTTCATTAAAGCTACAGGAGATAGATATGTTTTTATAGAAATCGGATAACACAAAGATCCAGTAGAACTAAGATTCAGCTTCTTGACTTCGAGATCCAAAATTCGGCCTTGAAATCCATGGCTCTCATTTGCAAGTGCAAGCACTTGAAAGTGGTAAAGACTCTTTTTCTTCCTTCTTTTAAAAACTTTCCTAGAAATTCCGAGGGAAACGCATGGTAAACAGCGTTGTATGTGGATGCCCTAAGAGTCACATGGGGAAGGCCTGAGCATTTTCTGTGTCCTGCAGAGGAGACTTAGAAAGTGAAATCCCAAGAAGAGAGCCTAAATCGGACCTGCCCATTCAAAGGGGTGAAAACCACAGGAAGGTGAGGTGGGCAGAGAGGGGAATTGCAATATCTCACCTCTACCTACTTCTCAACATTTGATGCCAACCCTGAGAGCATGAGGCCAGGGCCAAGACCAGTTCCAGTGTCTATGACATAAGTATCATTCTTTGCACCATGCCACCCCTTCCACCCTCATGAAAACCATACCTTAGGAAGGAAAAGTTAGCTACTGCATAAAGCCACTTACACAATGCAGTCTGCATTCTGGAGGCTTCTCAGCTTTGGGTAATGAACTTCCTGTGTTAGCATCTGCATAACTAAGCAGGGTCTCAGGATCCTTAGGGAGATTCTCCCCACCTAAGAAGATGTATTTCAGAGGGCTGGAGGTGTCCATCCATAGTCATCAAGGCCCTTAGCATGTTTATCTTTGCAATGAGGCAGGGAACTGACTTTGGAATTTAGGCATTTCAAGTCATATTGATTTATTTACTATAGGGAAGAGAACAAACATCCAACTAAAATCATGTAAACCCAACATTAATTCATCAGGAAGATCTTCCCCAGAATTGAAGAACAATATACATGTTGAAAAATAATACGTGAAAAACCAGTTAACATTTTCTTGAGGAAAAATACATGGGCTCCACATTCCTCAGATGTAAAGCAGATCATGAAAATCGTGTTTGTAGGTGTCAACGAGTGTGACTTATATAGCAAAGCCCTGAAGTTTCTCTCTTTTTTAAATAGCTGTTAGATGAGGCAAGGGAGATTTATCACTTTTTAATTAAGCTCATGTCAACTCATGAAGTTTATTTCAGTACAAATCTGTTGACCAAAGTCTTTTTTGAAGAAGCTGCCCCGTTGCAGCTTAAGTATTCATGGGAAATTTCACAATAAGCTTCGACTGCTCCTTGGACTTAGCTGCCACATTTCAACCAGGAATGGCATGCATTTTAGTGCTTCCTATGTGCCCAGCATATTTATGGAAATGAGTTTAAGATCAATCTTTGTTGTTTTAAAATCCAGAGCAGCAGGTCTTATTGCCCACAGGGGGAAAAAAGAACATTGAAATAAATCTTACGAAACTCCTATTGAACCCTAAACCAAAATATGCTGCACCCATAACCTAATTGTTACCCCAGACTTGGAATTTGGAGGCCACTGAACACAACTTAGAGCATCACTGATTATATGGAAATAAAATTAAAATGCAGATTGTGGTCCTTATTACCAAGGTCCAGTAGTTTTCCTTTTAATAACAATTACGATATTTATTAAAGTTTGAAGATGAATGTTTATGTGACTCTGGTGAGTTGAAGATATTGGGAACACAGGGAAAATGGTTAGCAAACTAGTCACCTAATTTCAAGTCTGGAAAGTAATTAAGAATATGTATTAAATTCAGATCACAGTTAAGCTTATCGAGATCGAAAATGACTCCCACTTGCTTTTCAAATGCTACTTGCCATTTAAAAGGCTGATTCAACTGTTGTGAAGATCCAGAATAACCACCATACACATCATGAAATCCAAGAGAGGGTGAACAATCTTCCCCAGGGCTTCTTGGGGAACTCATGGAGGAGGACACCCTGATATGCAGTCGTTGAAAACTGGAGTCAGGAAGGGTAATCAGAGCACCACGCTTGTGGGAAAAGGCCCCATGCCACCCATACCAGGGGCTGGTTCCAACAGGGTTTCCAATTTTTACTTCCAGTCTTTCTATGAAGGCCTCTTTCTCCTCCCTGAAAGGCTTTGTTTTTGCCATTGATTCCTTCTCACGGTTTCTCTGTGACTATAAGCATTTTCATCCGTCAGTATCCCTAGCACTTTTCCATGCCTTTGCCTTTCATTCAATTTCCATTCTGCTCTCTTCCCTTTCTGCTGTGCTAATGGAGGCATTCCACAGTTCAGAACAGGGCTGGAGCATAGAAGAGAGGAGATGGAATGTGTCGTCCAACAGGGCTGGCAAAGCCTGCAGGAGGAAGGCCCTGGAAGAAGGGTGCACACGGCAGTGCTTTCTTTCCCAAGCCCATAACGTCACCCAAAACGAAGTGGGAGTCCCCAGATTTCCATCTCAGTGAAAGTAGTCCAAGGGAGAAACCTGGAAATGGGTGATCCTCTTCCTCTTCCCACCCCCGCCACCTCCCACAGCAGCGGGTTCTCTGCTTCCACCCTGTTCCCAGGAGCTCTCATTTCTATCTGTGCCTCTTCACTTCTGAACTTTATAAAGGACAGGTTTGGGTGTGCGCCTTTGCCATTTCCTGCTGGAGAACTTCCAGGCCTTCTCACTCTTCTCTTTGCCTCTAGCTCTGTGAGGGTCTGAGGCAACCTCTCTGCTGCCGGAGGCCTCTTTCTAACACACAGACGCACCATGAAGGCCACAGGCTTCTGCCCTGACTCCAGGACGGCCGGTTAAGCACACTTGCTTATCACCATGCTGGCTCCTGCCTCTCAGGGCGTAGGAAGCTGTTATTTTCATGTTTAGAGTGTAAACATCTGCATTGCACCTAAAAACAGTGGGCACAGATATAGAAGAGGAAATAGGTTTGTGTATATGTCATTGGTCCCAAGCAGAAAAGAGTTTTAAGGCCACTCTTGTTCATGTGGGTTTACTGGGCAGATGGCATGGTCAGATTCTTCAGAGGAAGGAAGTGAAGGAAGGGTTAAATGAAGCATTTGAAATTGGAGACTAGCACATCACCGATAACCTTCTAAAAGGAACTTAGAGGAAAATGGGATGTTAGACGTCAGGTCGTCAGGTCTGGAGGGTTAGGTAGGGAAAGCATCAGGTCTGAAGTGGTCTTCCAAGCAGTGGAGAGGGAAGGTAAGGAGTGGGTGACTAGCTCCACGGTAGGACAGGGTCAAGGGAGGACTTTAAAGTAATTTTATTTATGGTGAAAAAATAAAGAATTATGAACCTGTAGTTTCCATGCTTTAGGCTATAATAACCTTCTCTCTCATGATTTTTTTTTTTCTCCACACTTTGTATAATACCTGCCAAGCTCTGGGGTCCCAGGTTAGCACATCACACGGGGATGCTTGTTTTGACCTGGTCTAAGCATGATATACAAACCAGGATTTTAAAGGAAAACAGCACAATTTAAAATGTCACTATTATTGCACCATGTTTTCTTTATTTAGGAGCAGGTGGAGACTAGGGCCTAAGGCAAATAAATACTTCCTTGTTATGATATGAAAGAGAGTTTTTTTTAATTAAAAAAATACATATTATTATGACTTAGGTCATTTCATTAAAATTGATCAGCCAGGTTTAATACAGGATTGACTGCTGTAAATTTACCTGAAAGAAAAAACAATTTGTGTCAAAAAAAATCTACAAAAGAATAATTCAAGCAACTCTTGGAACATGCATTTCTGTACTATGTGAGTTATCCAGTGGGATAATATTTAAATATCACGTTTCTAAGACTGGAGGCAGGTCAGTGGCAACAGGGACAGAGAGGGACAAGTGGTTGGCTCAGCCAACTCTGATTTTTGCTGACTTTTATTCACTGAAAGATGATGCCCATGTCCTCTTGCTCACCAGTATCTATCAGGTAAGGCTCTGATACGTGGATGCCACATGCTGAGTGGTGTGCAATTTGAAGATAAGCGGTGTTCATTTACTTGATAACTCTTAAAGTCCATAGCAGAGGACAATATTGTGCTTAAAGCGAACACTGTGGGTGTAGTATGACAGCAAGTCTGTTTTCCTTGTACATGTGAGAAATAGATTCCTGAAGATATTACTAAATTTAGAAATTGTAAATAAATGTAAAGAGCCAATGTAATAGTTATTATTTGCATTTTAGCTTTCATCTAAAGACTATTTAGTATTCATTTTTATTTTTCAGTCTAGATCTGTTTCTCATTCCTGACATTTACTTTTATTGGGGGCTCATACTATAAAGAGAGAACCTGAGAAAAAGGAACCTGTATCTCGTACAGAGAGTTTCAATGTGAGTTTTGTAGCTTAAAGGATATTTCCTAATATATTAATTTATCACAAACTCTTCTATTTCCCCATGTATACTCCTATAATATTTATTTTCTCATATGACAAGAGGCTTCAAGGGGCTGTGGTGACATAAGTAATATAGAAAAAATTTGTTAAAAGCTATTACAACCGTCATTTTTTTTGTATTCTAATGGCATTGATGTTGAGTTGGTAATTATTTTTATACCATTCTAAGTTGCTCTATTTGAGTTTCTTAACAATCTTAACTTGTTCTTTTCAGATATTCATCAAGAAAATCAAGCCATGGGGATTTCTGATTATCTAAAATAAATATTGAGGGCGAATCTTTTTTCATTAATGTAAATAACAACTTTGGAGAGTAAATAGAGCCTGTAACTTTGAAAACTGTTAACAGATAAGCCCCATAAGGTGGAGACTATTCCTTCTCTATTACATTTCCCAGAGGTGAGCAAACGTTTATTACACCATTGAAGTAATCGTATCTCTTTCCATGGGCAAAGATGCCTCTGTGTCATTTCATATGCATTTATTTTATTCTAGTAGTGTTAAACGAATCTAAATTTGATTTTAAAACTACACACATTGATATATATTATATTATATGCATATAATATATATTAAATTATATAGAAATGAAAACATCTATAACATATAACTTAATATGTTTAACACATATATCATTTAATTGTAGGTGTGTTTATGTGTTTATATAATATACATATTTCAAAGAACTGGATGATAAAATCATCCAGAAAATTAAACAGAATTTTAAAATTAATTAGGTGACAAGGCACACTTTTGAGTTTTATGGGCATTTTTCTCCAAAATTATGTAATTACTAAGAGATTGTCTCTCTTGAACTTAATATTCATGTTAAGCGTATAGCCAAGTGTTGGACCTGATCTGCTCCCCTTGGCTCATCGATTAACCAGATAAGTGAACATTTAAAAAATAAAGTTATGGTCAATAAACCATTCATGAGCCAATTGCAGCAGCCACTGTTGGCTGTCAGCTCCACACCCATGCCTTCCCTTCCTTTCTTCTGTGGACAGCCCCCCAATTCTGTGGACGTGTCCATGCCTTCCATTCCTTTCATCCACGGATAGCCTCCCAATTCTGTGGGCGTGTCTGTGCTTCTCCATGAGTTTCAGGGGAAGCACATCCTTTTGCAGCTGTAGTGGTGAATCCTGATTAGCCTACGCCAATCATGGAACACATGGTACCTTTCTTAGTCTTGTTTAGAGATGGTCATGACATTTTTGTCTAGCTAGTGGAACTTCTCTCTGTTAGGGAGTTGAAGAAGAGTTTCCTTGCTCCCGAGTTGATAAAATAGGATATAATTGCTTCCTTTTCCTGGATGCTATCTTGTTCATATGTGACTCAACTGCTCTGGCCATCAGGGTGAGCCTGGGACAAAGTTGGCACGCTGAGCACTGCAGAGCAGGGGGATGAAATAAACCCAGGCCCATCAGTTCCCCACCGTGCTGCCCCATCAGCCGGCACTGCAGCCCCTTGAAGCTTCTTGCCATATAAGAAAGTAAATTACTTTGTTGTTTAAGCCAACTTGTGTCAGGGTTTTCTTTCATGAAGCTGAAGATATCCTTATTGACACATTATCTGCTTAAGCTGATCGCAGGCAAGGATAGAAAGATTGGTGCCCAGTTGGGGCTAGTACTATTTAGCATTTACTAGGATGAAAAAAAAAATTCTCATTACTTTTGCTGATGCTGTAACTCTCCAAGGAAAATGAACACCCTGGATAACAAACTTACAAATCATAATGATCTTGGGTTGGGGATTAAAACAACTATAAGATGGAAAACTGTAGTAAAACATCTGTGGGAGCACCTACTCCGACCTAGCCTAAGACTGCAAAGTGAACATGAATTCGTAATAGTTATGATTCCTGATGTGTTGGGTATGGTGATAGGTTCTTTCAACTCAGGAGAGGCAAGATGGAGTGAGTGAGCAGACCAAGCTTCTACAGCAAATCAGAAATAGAACTGAGATTCATACCCAGGAAGTGGATTCTGGAGCTTGTTCTTCAAGAGCCTGTGCTTCTAGAATCAACTTCCTATGAAACTCAAGAGGCCCACAACGCTGGAGGTCAAGGAATAATGTGGTGCTATGTCCACAGGTCATGGAGGAAGCACTGTGTACCCGTGTTCACGTGAAGTCGTTTGCATAAGATTCAGGCATCCCTTTCTGAGAAGCTTTGAAATGTGTCCAAAAGAGCACAATAAAATGAATTTCAAAAGATTGGAATATTAGGGGTCACTTTTTATAAAAGAATTTTTAAAAATACAAGGAATTAAAATTATTTAGATTGAAAGAGATCCATTTTGAGTTCTCAAGAATTTAAAGTTTTGTTGCCAGAAAAATAGTGATCAACTATTCTCTATAAGGTAAATACCTTTTTTTCAAAAAATATTCCAATTTACCAGATACATATTCTTTATATAATCATTTTTGTTCTCCAGGAATCAGACTGTGACTTTATCCTTGCTCACATTTTTTTTTCATTTTTTTCTGTTCTGTTTTTGGTAACAGTGTTATTTATCTCATTTTTCCTCATCGTGACATATTTATTTTAATGTTAATATACACATATGCATATTTTAAAACATAAGAAGTAAAAATAACTTTATTATGAAACTATTAGAAGTTAATTGTAGAAAAACTAGAAAATAATAAAGAAAAAATTTAAAGTCATTTAAGTCCAAAGATAATCACTGTTGATACTTTATATTGATTCAAAAATATAGGTCTGTGAAGATTTCAGTATTACAAAGATGGACTAATGCTGTATGGAATGCTTTGCAATTTGCTTTTTTACTAACTAAATCTTGAAAACCTTTTGTGATGTACTTCTCATGAGCAGGATGTACATAATTTATTTTATTCTATCCTTTAATATTGGAAATTCACTTGTTACTAATTTTCAGTTTTACTAAGAGCTTTGAGTATAAAATTCTGGTGACCAAATCTTTGGCACATTTTTAATTAACTCCTGGGTACAAATCATTCAAAGGGGAATTATAAGGTCAAACTGAATGCATGTTTTAAAAACTTTTGATAATCACCTGCTTGTAGACCTTTTTTGTTTCATCTTTTTGAATTGTCAGTTGCTGCATTTTCTTCACTTAAAACTGAAGAATTTGTTTTTGTATTAATTTATAACATATTTACATATTATGTCTATTAAGTTTTTGTCCTATGTACAAATATTTTGCTCATTTTCTCTCTCGATACTGAGATTTCTAAGATTTCTAAGAGAGTAGATTTTAAGTATTCTCACCACAAAAATCTATAAGAGGTAATGCATATGTGAAATAGTTTTATTTAGCCATTCCACAATGTACATATATATAAAAGCATGTTGCGTACCATAAATATATACAACTTTCACTCGTCAACTGACAATTAAATAGCCAGGTGTGGTGGCTCATGCCTGTAATCTCAGCACTTTGGGAGTCCGAGGCCAGCAGATCACTTGAGGTCAGGAGTTTGAGACCAGCCTGGCCAACATGGCGAAACCCTGTTCTCTACTAAAAATACAAAAATTAGCCAGGTGTAGTGGTGCACACCTGTAGTCCCAGCTACTCAGGAGGCTGAGGCAGGAGATTTGCCTGACTCCCGGGAGGTGGAGGTTGCAGTGAGCCAAGATTGCGCTACTGCACTCCAGCCTGAGTGACAGAATGAGACTCCATCTCAAAAATAAATAAATAAGTGAACAAACAAAAATAGTGTATTCCTTTTTATTACCAAGTGATATTCCACTGTACGAACAAACCAAGATGTAATAATCTCCTGTCGATAGGCATTTTGATTGCTGCTAGTTTTTGGCTATTTTGAATACAACTACAGTAGAATGGATATTCTTGTTCAAATCTTTTCGTGGATACATATTTCATTTGTTTTGGGTACACATTTAGAAAGTAACTTACTGAGAGTGCAGACCTGTGTTTATCTTTGTATAAAAATACTAAGCAAAGTGTAACACTTTATATTCCCTCCAGCAATGTCTACCATAGTGCTCCACATCCTGACCAACACTTGGCATTACCAATGTTTTACTGTAACCATTCTGGTAAGTGTAGTATGGTATTTCACTGTGGTTTTAGTTTTTATTTGTTGGACTAATGATGTGATATTTTATGCATTTGTTCTTCATGTACTTTCTTTTGTTAAATGTCTGTGAAATGTCTCTTTGATTTTTATTGGGTTGTTTGTCTTTTTATAGATTTCTAAGAGTTCTTTGTGTATTTTGGATGCAAGTCATTCAGTTATATGCATTGCAATATTTTTCTAATATATGACTTAACAATTTATTGTCTTAATAACATCTTTTTAGAAATGGAATTTTTAATTTTTGTGATTTCCAATTTATAATTTTTATTATTAATGCTTTTAGTGTTATTTCTAAGAAATGTTTGCACATTCTGAGATGGCAAGGATAGTGTCTTATAATTTCTTTTAGAAGATTTCTGATTCTAGCTTTTATATTTAGGTTTATAATTCATCTAGAATTAGTTATTTTTGTGTGGAGGATCTAGAGGTTAGGCTTCACTATTTTTCATATAGATATTCCAGCATTATTTGTTAAAATGACTTTCTTTACCCCATTGAAAGGACTGATTATCTTGCTTAAAAATAAATTGACCATATATGTGTGAGTCTACTTTAGACTCTATTCCATTCTAATGATCTATTTCATCATCATTATATCAATACCACACTCTCTTGTTTACCCTAACATTATAGTAAATCTTAAAATCAGATAGTGTAAATACTCAATACTCAAACTGTGTTCCTTTTATACAACATTGTTTCAGCTCTTCCAGATCATTTGCATTTAAACACATACATATATATGCCCATGTATCATTGTAAAAATGTCATTATAAGATTTATATGTGCATGTACACACACACACACACACACACACACACACACACACACACCAATTTCTTTGAAAGGCCTCCTTGGAATGTTATTGAAATTGCACTGAATTTGTAAATCAATTTCAAATGAAAGGACATCTTTCATTACTGTGTCTTCTAATCCATGAACATAGTATACTTCTCCATTTATTTAGGTCTCTCCAGATTCTGTTCAGGCACACTCTCTTCTTTTTTAGGTAGCATATTTACTCAGCAGTACTTCTGAGCTACCATGCAGAAGCTGGGGGCAGAGATACCTACCTGCTTCTCCTGGAATAACAATCCCTGCACTAAGGGTGGTTGCTTGGGGAGTGTGGTAGCTTCTGGTTTTCTGATTGCTCCTACTGATAAACTTCTGTACTGCAAGCAACCTGGGGCAGAGACTGTTGGGGGCCTGGCACCTAGGGTAGAGCTTCTACCCTACCAGCAGAGGCTAGGTGAGGAAAGCAAGATCTTGTCCTCTTGGTCATGTTTATCTGCAACATGGGGCAGGTGGGGGTGAAAAGCCCTGTTGCCTTTCCCTTCCCATGGTGTAACCATAGCCCTAAGCTGGGAGCTGGGGATGCAGAGAGACCCTATCTTCTTGGCTGTACCGACCTGTAGTGGAACACCCAAGTAGAGCCTCTGTAACATTGACCTGTGGTGGGGGAGACAGTTGTGCTTCAAACGCTGCAGACTCTCACTGTTCTTAAAAAATATTTAGTAGATTTTTAAAAATAAGTGTTTTGCCATTTGCTGTATATCCTTAAGAAAATTTCTATGAACTTTAAATAATTGATTTTTATAGTTTTTATTCCAGTTAAATGGTTGTTTTGCTGGGGAGAGGATCTGATGGGCTCCTCATTCCATCATTCCAGATGTCTTGCCTCTAAACTCATTGGTTTTTTTGATATCTCATTCTAAGGATGAAACAGTCATAAGGAGAGATGGCTCTTCCTGAAGCCATCGTGATTGGGAAGAAGCCAAGTTCTGTGGATGGACAGTGGAAACTATGCTCCACACCCATCCTACCCCAAAGTCATTCTCCCTAGAGCTCTCCAGGTGGCCCCTCACCTGCTCACAGCCTTGCGCTCCAAGTGCCCTGTTATCTTTCATGGTTAGCCTCCTAAAACATGTCAGTGACATTTGTCAATTATATCTTTCTCAATTCTAAATTATGCTGCTCAATATGTGATACCCTCATGGTCAGTTGCTCTATGTTTTCTTACACAGCAATAAGGTCAACTCATAAATGAATTCATGTTGATATTCTAACGGGAAGAGCCTGAAGGAATCCCTGAGCACACTCTCTTTCTTTCCACATAGCAAATATACGGCTGAATAATAGGCAGTGGGAGACCATATTCCTATTTTTATAGTGTTGGAGAATGGTTTCCAAATCTTAGTAACTATGGTGAAGCTTTAATCCAACCCACAAAAGAAGAGGGAAATAATGACAATTGCAACGAGTTTCATGAGACTAAATTTAATCACTTTAAGGGACTGCTTCTGGGCTCATGGGTGTTTTTTTTTTTTTTTCTATTTTTGTTGTTAAAATGACCTTTCTGTAATGAAATGTTGGTTGTGGTAGATGGTAGTTTTGCCTGGTTTAATTTTAATATTATTATTTTATATTTCTGCTGTGCATATGTTACTGAATATGTTTGGTAAATTTCACTCTTTCTGGAGTCAGGGAACTGCAGCTCTAACCCACAGTTGGAACTAATGGAAAACATTTCAGATTGAGTTAGAAACAAACATAACACCATTGAACTTATTGAAGAAGGCATTTTGGGCCATGCAGAGCTTTTCTCCACCATTCAGATCTACATATCTGACTGAGGATCTCATAGTGGTGTTCTATTATAGAAGATAAAGCAAATAGTTATAATCCAGCTGACATTTTACCTTTTGCTAATAAATATGTCCTATCTGAAGCCAAAGTCTCACTAAATCAGAATAACGTCTATTGTTTCCATTAGATTGCTGGCCACATGGTTTTCAGATAAAAGGAAATCTGATTAATCTAACAGTTTACATTCCATATAAAAAAGATTTTTTCAGTACCATGATAATTTCCAGGAGGTGATAATGAG
Organism: Homo sapiens; assembly: GCF_000001405.40. Classification (NCBI taxonomy): domain Eukaryota; kingdom Metazoa; phylum Chordata; class Mammalia; order Primates; family Hominidae; genus Homo; species Homo sapiens. Next base: position 75,676,439 of record NC_000018.10, read on the forward strand.
ATTTTTGTTATTAAGGAATAATCATCCAATTTATTTAATAAAGTCTAAAAAGCATGTAAAATAGAATACTTGCCAAAAATACAGCTATGCAAGCTATGCACTTGTTTCATTTTCCAGATTTTATAGCAATTGATACAAAAGAAGGTTTTGCCTTATCATGATGCTTTTGTCAATAAAATCTATCTAATTATCGATTGGCAAAGATTTGGTTAAATCAGATGTTTTGCATTATGTAGAAAGCATATGTACTTAGTAAAATCCTTTTTCATGAACTGAAATATATAATGATGCTTGAATATACTTTACTTTTCTGAGGTAAACTAATGTTTTCTTTAGTCATTTGATTTTATTTGGATCTTATTGGTAGAATCTAACTATTTGACAGTTCTACATGGTCACTGGTTACTATCTGAATAAAATTAGAAATAAAAGTGGCACTAAGAAGCTGGGTTTTAATTCCATTTCTCCCTATCTCTATCATTCCTAGTTCTATATGACTTTATTTTGCATCAGCAAAAGATACTGCTTTGAGGAAATTTCATGAACCACATTTGACTATCTTCCAATCCAAGAGTAATTTGAGTCAAACTGTCCAAGAAGTGCCTTTCTCTATGATGATGATGACAGTGATGACAGTCATCCCTCATGGAGCCTGTACTGTGTACCAGGCGCTGTTGCAAGCACTTCATACATATCAACTCATCCAATACTCATGACAACTCCATGGAACTTTAAGAATAAAATAATTATTTTTTTCAGATAATAATTAACTTGGAACTGGATGAATAATAAACTGAGAGTTTCTATTTGCCAGAGCAACACTCTCAACCCTGAATGCATGTGTACACACCAGGAGAACTTTTTTAAAATGGAGTGCCTGACACTAACTCAAAGGTTCTGATTGAATTGGACTAGAGTGGGGCCCAGGCATTGCTATTTATTTTAAAAAGCACCTGATGTGGGTTGACTGTGCTGCCAGGGGAGAGCACTAAGGCCTTATGTTCCAGCTTTCACTTAGTAACTGTGTGTTTCGGGGACATCACTTAACCTGTCTGAATATCATCTGAAAAGTAAGAACAATAGTTCCCCATTATAACTCACGAGTCAGATGTGTTTCAAAAAGGCAATGAATTATTGTTTGCCAACACACTTTAAAAATTGAAAAGTGATCATATAAAATATTATCATTAACTGCAAAAAGTACCAGTATAAAATACAAAAATAGCAAACTCTATAAGCCCAATCTTGTAAAATGCATAGACAAATAATCTCTGCAAGTACTTTTGTTTCATACAATGAGATTCTGAAGGTACTGCAGAAAGCTAGGTCATTGCACTTTAACACATCTTCTAAGAATGAAGCACATCATTAGTTTCTTGGATTTCAGAGATTCATTTGCAAAAACTTTGTCTTTCTTTGTCCTATCCTAAGCAATCCAGCTAGTTCTGGGAAGAGACCCAGAAAACATAAATTCAAATACAGGAAGAATATATACATAAGATAATGGAACAGCTGCCAACAACAAATATATTTTCAGAACAGAGCCCTAGCTCTATGCCCAATTATACAGCACAAAGTAATCATAATAAGGTTGATAATCAGCATGAGAAAAATCACAGGAAAAATAAGGGAACCTTTACTCTCCATTAGCCACTTGATAAAATTTCAACGATCTTTGGTCACAGGATACAGCTATGGATCTGCCATTATGAACCTGAATTTTTGGATAATGCATGTTTAAAAAGAGAGTTGTATTTAAATACTACTAGCTCTTCAGAACGCTAAAATTTGGAATAGGCTTTGGAATTCTTGGTAGAGCAATCTGGCTTTTCATGAGTTTCAAGAGACACCAGGCAGCAAACAAAACTCAGGACTGCTGACACAGTCAGCAGGAAGAATTTTAGGCTGGTGGCAAGGTTGATGTCTTTGGAATTCTTTCAGAAGTCCAAGGGGCTCTTGGCTATGAGAAACTAAAATTTCTAATTACTATTCATTTTTTAAAAAAACAAATTTTAGTAGGTTGTTTCTGTTTTGATTTTACATGTAACACAGTATCAAAACTAGCATACCAAAGAAAAAAAAGGAAAGAGAAAGCAAATTATTTAATATTGGGAAGAAGGGAAGCAATGCCTGCTTTTTAAGTGCTATTCCCAAAGGTGGGTTATTTCCTGTCTTCTAAATTCAGACACAAATACATTCATAAGGCAGAGTAAAAGGAAAACTTTTTTTTCATTTAAATATGTTTATAAATTGCATAAAATAATTCAAGCTTATAACATTCTTTTGGCAAACATTGGCCGATGGAAATTTTTGTCACATGCATTCGTTATAGTCTGAGCCAAGGACGTTTCCTCTCTTTCTCTCTCTCTCTCTCTCTCTCACATATTTGACAGTAGTGTACACAAGAGCTAAACGATGCCAAGACTAATATTGTTTTAAATAGATACACTCTACATTTTTAAAGGAAAGGAAATAAATGTCAAACGGGAATGTTGCATCACAAATAAGTTAGGCTGTACTCACGGGCAGGAAGGAGTACAACGCTAGTTTTCCAATCCATTTACACATCCTGATTGATAACTATTGACTTTCTAATTAGCCTTTCAGATAAGCCAAAAAAAAAAAATCATCAGCCCCCATTTTTCCCGAGCTGCCTTGTTTTCATCAGCATCTTCCATTCTTCCCACGCCTAAGTGAAGTTGCTTCCACTCTGGGACTCTGGGATACCATCTGGGGGCGATGGGGTTGGGGGGTGGGTGGTGGGTGGTGATTGCACTCTCCAGCTCCTCCCTGTTCCTTCAGGTGACCCCAGGCACGTTTCCTCCACCTGCTCCTTGCCTGCTGAACTTCCTCTTACCTCTGCCCTTCTTAGCTACACAGGCTCCTGGTCTCCACAATTTCATTGACCACCTGTGTTACTCTCCCGGGGCTGCCAGAACAAAATACCACAAACTAAGTGACGTACAACAACCAAAATTTGTCTTCTCACTGTTCGGGAGGCTGGAAGTCCGAAATCAAGGTGTCCAGAGGATTGCGTTCCCTCTGAGTGTCCGAGTAGGATCCCTCCCCGCCCCGTCCAGCTGCTGCTGTGTGTTTGTTGGCCACCCTTGCATTGCAGCTGCGTCACTCCGGTCCACTCCAGCCTCTGCCTCTGTCTTCACGTGGCCTTCCCCCTGTGCGTCTCTGACTTCACACAGGCATCTTCTCATAAACATACCAGTCATACGGGATTAGGGGCCCAACCTACTCCAGTATGAACTCATCTGAACTAATTACACCTGTAACAAACCTCTCTTCAAATGAGGTCATATTCTGAGGTATTGGGAGATAGCACTTCAACATATTTTAGGGGAACACACTTCAACCCATAATACCATCTTTATACTGAAGACTCGTAATGCTTCCTCTAGCATGAACCTCCCCCATACCCTCTATATTTTAGACTCTTCAGGTCATTTGAATTTTTCTGGTGAGCATTTCACACTGGATGGTCTACAGATACTATGAAATCAATGTGCCTACATTGGATTGCATTATTTTCCATAGTCTCTGCTTCCTTCTGTAGTTTCTCTCCCAGTTAGTTGTGTTTCAGGCATCCACTCCAGGATGATGGGCACCTGGGATATCCCTGGCTGGTTAGTCACTTTTGACCATGCCTCTGACCCATCTGCCCCTCCACATGCCCCTGAAATGCCCTCTAGGCAGAAGCATTCACTTCCCTGGCAACTTGAAGTGCTGCTGACTTCAGTATAGTCATCTCCCGCTGACAGCATAGACAGACATCTCTCACTGACAGTATAGACATCTCTCGCTGTCAGTATAGACAGACATCTCTCACTGACAGTACAGACATCTCCCGCTGACAGTATAGTCATCTGCAGAAACAGCCTTCAGTGGGAGACAGAGCTTTGCCCAAAGTTTGAGCCTGTGTCTAATGGCTGTTGTGTGAGGGGGAATAAGGCTCAACCTCCTCGCCTCAACTTGGGAAGACTTGCAGAAGCCCTCCCAGCAGCGGCATTACCTGAAGGTTGGTTTAGTTCTTTGTGGAGATGTCCTTGCAGTCCAATTTCCCCCTCTCCTCCACCTCACTTTCTTCCCTCCCCGATGGATGTCAGACCTAGAGTACGCTCCAGGAAACACTGCCTGCTGCTGGTCTCCGCTTCAGGGCCTCCTGAGGTATGTTTTGGTGCTGGTTCACCCACTGGCCAAGGAGCTTGCAATGAGGACCTCAATTCTGGCATACGCAACAGGCACGGCTCCAGCACAGGAGTGAATGCAACTGTTAAAACTTGCACCGTGGTGATCTGGGATGGTGCAAGAGGTGAAAAAAATGCAGTTCTTAGAAAACATATCAGGGACTTGATAAATATGGGGAAAGGGTAATGATAAGGACACAGGATTTAGCTAGCTATTCCCGGGGGGAAGCTGATGCTTTGGAAAGTGGTGACAGAATCTGAGAGGAATTAAGAAGGGGAACGAGAAGCAGAGCGGCCTCCTTGGCGACTTATGCAGAGACTCTCAAGATCTTCAGCCAGTGGTGGGGAAACCGAGAACCAGGACCAGCTTCTAAATGTGGAACACAGAGTTTCAGAGAAAGTGGAGTTCTCAACCTAGGGAAATCTATGGCTAAGGTCAGGGCCCTACTTGGAAAAGCATGGAACCCTGAGAATAAAATAAAAATATGCGTTTGGTGCACTTGAAAATCTTATCCCCGGTGTCTTTTAATCCTCAGAATGCAGAAGTACTCTCCTTCTCCCTGGTAGAGGCTGACTCTCTCACATTAATTAGACATACAGGGCCTCTTATTTGAAGACCATGTATCACCCTATAAGGTCGGAACCTCCTGGACAGGAGGGTAGCAGCCAGGGTTGAGTCACATGTACACTTGGCCAGGGAGTGATTGGGCCTGGCTGGGGCAGGAGCAGCCTCAACACCAAAGGAGGGGCCAGGACCAGAAAACACCTGCCCCTAGAAGCTGAGAGCACAATAAACAGTGCTGTTTGAGGGTATCTATTCAAGAGCCGGGAAGGCAGGCAGAAGATAGTGTTATAAAAGAGAGAGTTCGCCAGTGCTGGACGACTCTCTTCAGATACAGCATTTAACATCATGGCAAAGTCCCTGGGAGAGATTGCTAACAAACTGCTCAGGAGGCTTTTCAGAAGCTTTGAGAAAACCATGACCCACACCCGGCGAATAGACAGGCAGGGATGGAGGCAGCTGGAGAAAGAAGGGGTCAAAGCCTCCAGAACCTGGGTATGTGAAGGTTGGCGGGAGCATGACGTCAGGGTGCTTTGAGAAGGGGCCTGTCTGTGTGTGTGTCTGGGTGTTTGTGTGTGTGTGTGCGTGTGTGTGTGCACGTGTGTGTGTGTTTGTGTGTGTGTGTGTGTTTGGGGAGAAGCTCTGAGGAGTAGGGTTGGGAGTGTATGGTCAGGTGCTCAAAAGAGAAAGGCCAGCTGTCTTCCCCATCAGTGGGTTTGGATCAACCCCAGTCCACAATCCCACGGATCCTTCACAGCCCCCTCACATAGAAATGTTCCCAGATCATTACACACTCTTTATAGATGTCATTTTAATGCCTGGTTAATATTTCATGTATGACTTGGTCATTTGTTATTTAACCCTTTATGTCCTATTCAGTGTCTACTTCCAGTTTGGTGATTTTATTAAAATAATACTATGAAGAACTCACTTGTGCAAGCTTTTTTTTTTTTTTTGCATTTTCGTAGGTTTATTAGAAGTAGAATTATTAGGCCAAAAATTAGAAAGATTTTTTTTACTTCCTGGATGTAATTTTTTGAATATATAAAATATTTTCATGGTTCATACATCAAAAATATGTAAAAATATAAATTTAAAGAATGCTGACTCATATCCCTATGCCCTCCACCAATCCCATCCACCCCACAGGCAATCATTCAATTTCTGGTTTATCCATCTTTTGTTTCTTTTTAAAATATGATACATACATGTGTGTGTGTGTATAAACATATTTCTCATTCTTTCTTATATGAAGGTAGCATATATATATATGCCTACACACACACACACTATTCTGTATCATGCTGTTTTTACTTGTTTGCTCATAAAGACCTTCCTCATTTTTTATGGCTGCATGATATACCATTATGTAGCTATATCATAATTTATTCAACTTTTATTTCCTTATTGATGCTCATTTGGATTGAGTCAGTCTTTTGCTTTTGTAAATAATGACACAATAAACAATCTTGTTCTTAAATCCTGTTTTTGTTTTGTTTTGTTTTGTTTTTTGTTTTTGTTTTTTTTTTTTTGAGATGGAGTCTCGCTGTCGCCCAGGCTGGAGTGCAGTGGCGCAATCTCGGCTCACTGCAAGCTCCGCCTCCCGGGTTCACGCCATTCTCCTGCCTCAGCCTCCTGAGTAGCTGGGACTACAGGCGCCCGCCACCTTGCCCTGCTAATTTTTTGTATTTTTAGTAGAGATGGGGTTTCACTGTGTTAGCCAGGATGGTCTCGATCTCCTGACCTCGTGATCCGCCCGCCTCGGCCTCCCAAAGTGCTGGGATTACAGGCGTGAGACACCACGCCTGGCCTTAAATCTTGTTTTATATTGATGTGGCAAACTATCAGAGTAGACTCCCAGATTCTTAGAAAGAAAATTGGCAGGTAAAATGGTAAATATAGAGGTAATTTTATTAGGTATTTCCAATTCTCTTCTGTAGGGCTTATATCATTGTTTCTTATGAGAGTTCCTGTTCCCCCCACCAGCTTATATAAACATTTTTAATCCACATGACCAAATTTATTTTTTTCCAAATCTGCCCATTTGGATCCTTATGTCTTGGTGGGCAAAAACTGTCACTGCCTCTGAAATAATGACATTCTGGCATCTTCTGAGGAGAGTGACCAAAAGGATGAAGACTCCAGTCCAATTGGGAACATGGAGCCCTCCTGGCATTTTGGGGAGGACGATATTTCATCACTAGAGACTATTCCTTTTTGCAGAAAGTTTAGTATCCATGACCCCTGCCCCATAAGTGCTGACCATTCAGACCATCCAAAACTCTTCTACATTTCCTAACATCCCCAGGACTCTGGCTGGGAGGTGCTAAGAGGAACAGAGATTCCAAGATTAGGAAAAGGAGACCCAGGGAACACATGGTAGCTGTCTGCAAATAATAAAGATGCTCAGGTGCCAAATGCCCAAGGGCACAAGCAGGTGAGGAGTAACTGGGCCTTCACTCAACACAGCGATCATTTCCCAACCACGACTGGCCCACGCTGGAGCTTCTGGATGGCACGGAGCTCCCCATTCGGGAAGCTTGCAGAGGAATCGGTGGGCATCTTCCAAGACTCCTGGAAAAGCCGTCACCACATGAAATGACAGGCTCGGCTGACTGATTCTATTTGTAAGATTTTTTTTTTTTCATTTTAAAGCGTTTTTTTTTTTGTTTTTTGTTTTGTTTTGTTTTTTTCTTCGGACCCCTCTGAAACGTTCAGTGTTGAAAAGCTGTCTACTTACTCTCCCCTCCTGCCTGAAGTCTGAGTTTCTCTTCAGTAGGAGACACTTGGATGTCTGACCTGCACTGGAGCCTCCCTAATGAAAATGAGCTCACTGCTTCCCAATACTTTCCCTTTACAAAAAAGAAAAAGGAAGAAAGAGATAAAGAGAGAGCGAGGAAGGAAGGAAGGAAAAGAAAGATTGTCATTTGACTAAATATTGAATTTTCTAAGAATTAATTTAGATATTTACACATACAGAAAAAAATTGTATTGGTATATTTCTAGTAACTAAAGCAACAAATCAAACAATATATTTTGACTATCCTCTATGCAAAAATTATGTGGAATAGGATCTCTAACAATACAGCTAAGTTACAGTGGAAATTTCTAGCACAAGAAAAGCTGGTCTCCCAGGCCCATAGTTCTGTATGCCACTGAATTCAGACCTGGTAAATGTAGAGCAAATAACATGATTGCACTAAGACTTGAAATACAAGCGTCAGTCTGGGTGCCAGCTCGAATGAATTAATCCTATGTTTAAATGGAATCGGGTGTTTTTCTCTTGCAGTTGGATGCTTTTTTCCTTTACCAATCAAAGTAAAAAATGGAGCAATTAAAAAGAAACCAAAATATTGCAAGCGCTTAGTCTTTTGTACGTAAGGGGGGCTTTTTAATTTTATTACTTTTTATTTCAAACATAACATAAACCAAAAATTAATTACAGCAATTACATAAATTATTTGAAAATACATAATGCCAATGATTTCAGTGGCTGTATATTTAAGGAATCCATATTGTACACATATTCTTTGTCAGGCGTAATGGGAGCGGGGGCAATAAACCCTCAGAGATAGCAGGAGCATCTGCCTCGGCGTTAGCCAGGCACGGTTAACCGCTGGCTGCCAGGGGTTCTTCACCTGGACTCACACAACACATTGGGCAGGGATGCAAATGCCACTCTAAAAAGCTCAATCCCTGCTACGTGAAAGAAGCTAAGTGCTGTAACGGGGAGGGGCCAGTCTACCGGAACGCCACAGAAAAGTCAAGTTACAACAAAAATGAAAAGATTAGTTGGAGGCTCAGGAGCAGTGGGGTGACACAGGGAAGACAATTCACCCAAGTCCTGGGCCAGTTCACAGCTGCAAGATCCAGGGCTAGCACTTCTCTCTGGGCTCATAATGCATTGCTTCTGACAGGAAAACTTCTAGATATGACTCCAAGATTTTGTGATTTACTTGACCACCCATATGATACAAAGACATTAAATGTAAAAAGGCAAGTTCAAAACAAACAAATGGACACTGCTGACAGTAGAAGAACTCAGACTCTCAGTCGATGAGGAATCCCTTGCCCCATTTTTGCCGTTCACCCATTAATATATATTTTTTCACTGTGTCCCTTCCTTTAACACTTGAGCTGGAGCAAGATGAGCATCTGAGAAAACTGCCACTCATGCTTGGGAGATGTCTCAGGAAGAGAGCGCAGAGCCTTCGTGACGACAGTGCCCAGTTCTGAGTGTGGAGGTGCCGGGTCCTTCGGGGGCTCCTGTGCCAGCCGTTAGCTCCAGTTAACCATTTATGCTCCTTTACTCTCTTTCTCATAAGAGATGGCTCCATCTTGTTTTATCTACTGACTTTTTTTCCCATAGTTTTAAGATTATTTTTAATATTATTATTATTTGCATTTCTTATTTGTATAAACTTAAGGGGTACAAGTGCAGTTTTGTTACATGAATATAATGCATAGTGCTGGGGTCTGGGTTTTTAGTATAACGATCACCAGAAAAATGTACATTGTCCCCATTAAGTAATTTCTCATCTGTCACCACCCTCCTCCCCCGCCACCCTTCCAAGTCTCCATTGTCCATTATTCTACACTGTGTGCCCATGTGTACAGGTGATTTAACTTCCTCTTGTAAGTGAGAACACGTGGTATTTGACTCTGCTTCTGAGTTGTTTCACTTATGATAACAGCCTCCCATCTGTTAGTGTCCTTCACTTATTTTATTTGTCACATTATTTCATCATAAGTAGCATGAAAAGTCTGAATAGGAGATCAGAAATATACAACTTAGCAAAATAGCAAAAAATAAAAATCATTTTTATACATAAGTTTGAGATATTTGACAGAAACGTCATTAGGTACGTGTCTATTACATTTCTCATCCCATGTTGCTGGTCTGCATATCTACTTCAAAATGTCAACTTCATTCCATATCCATCAATAAATATTTACTGGGAGTTACTCTATAGCAAATATTGTGTTAGGTGTGGTGAACACAGAGGGGCACAAGACAACCATAACCCATATCTAACTGTATAGACCCCCAAATACATTCCTTATTCAGTACAGCAAAGAACATGCCATATGTGCAGAAGACAGCACTATGTGAGAAATCTCTTTTCTTAAGACCCAGAATGGTGAAAAGAAGAACATTTTGTTTTTGTCGACAATGAAGTTTCTTCCCTGGCTCTAGAACGCAAATAATGTTAAAAGCCCCACAGGATGGAATGCAGGAAACAGACCCTAAGGAGCTAAAGACTGGCTTCATCTCTGGCAACCTAGGGGTGAAACCTCAACAAAACTCCAGACTTATGTACAGGTGGTTCAGGCCACAAAAGTGTTGGAGGAATATCTCCAAGATGCCTGATGCTGTTCTCAGATGCCTCCATTCTCTCTATTGTAGATCCAGCCTCGGCTCAGCAGGGACCACGTGGGTGCAGAGCAGAGAGGAGCCTGGCGGAGAAGGAGCCCATGCCACGGGGGGCCTGGTGGATAGGAGGACTCCAGGGAGACCCAGAGCTCCTGAAAGAAGCAGTGTTGAAGGGCGGGGAGGGTAGTGCACAGAATGGGAAATGGTGTTGCCTCATAGAGAAGGAATAGGTAGGAGAGCAATGTTTCAAGTCTTCAGTATCTTAGGATAATGGGAATGCCAGCATGTTGTCCATAAGAACTTCCTAAGTACCCAGAATAACAGAAGAAGACAGATTACCCAGTGCTCGCTGCCACTTTTATTGAAACAGCATTAACTGCAGATGAATTTCATAAAGTAGTTTGTTCTGCATACAGGATCTCAAAAGGTATTCAGAGATGAGTCATCCAATCTCTTTATTTTGTAGAAGCCACACAGAGATTTTGATGCCTGTATGAAGTAAAAAACCCAGGATGGGAACGGGAACAGGTCTTAATATCTCTTATCTCCACAGGTCACAAGGAGGAGAAGACTGGATTTAAATGCTAAGTCCAGCCAAACACGCAGGGGTTACATCTTTGCAAGGGTTCTTAATGGGAGGGTGCTAACTGCCTGGTTTAGTTCTAACTGCCTTTAGAAATAGACAATGTTTGTCCATTCTATTTTTAGTCTCTTACACAAAAATGAAGGGTTATCAGGAGAAAAAGTTCCTAGAGTCAGCATTTATGTTGAAAAAGATTTCTAGATTTAAGTGGATCCAGTGTGAGTATCAATTGTCGGCATTTACTTCTATAACCACTCTGTCTTAAAAACTTTTAGCTCCATTTAGAAACTTATAAGTTATATATCAGACCCCTGTAGACAGAAAGAATACATAGTTTGAATAGATTGCTTCAAACAGACATATCTACGGGCCTAAATACAGTTGAACTCAAGCAGTGAAAAACAGAATTATTTTACAGATGTTAATCTTCTGAAAAATTTTGTCTAAAAAACGTCTATTGCCAGAGAAAATAGAGAGATTAAAATAAAAAAGGAAAAGCACTGATACTTCTAACATCTTTTATGTATCCATTCATTTGGTTGTCACATAGTCAGCTAAGAACACTTTACAACCTAAGACATGTAACGCTTTCTGTGATTGCCAATACCATTTTTGGAGAGTGTTTTTTATAAACGGAGCTGCTTGTCTCATGAGTCATCTGTTTCAGAGATGACAAAGAGCATCCCAAAGTTAGCCTGCCTCCTCCAACTCTAACTCTGGTTCCTACCTATGCACTTTAATATTTAAGGTGAGGCTTTCATGACCAAATATGAGTAATAAGTTTAAAACATTTGAACATGTGTTCCACCTGCTACCAAGAAGGAACTTGGAGATCAATGCCTAGATGTTCATTGACAAACCTACATATCAGCTATCTTATATGTCTGCAAATCATTTTTGTCTCCCTTCAGCTTTGCAAAAAGTCTAGCTCTAAGAAGTGATTTAGAAATATGAGAAATTTCTTGAATCTCTTTGTGCGGAGACTTAGGAGTAACCCATGTTTCCTTCTGGGCTGATATACAGCCGTATCTCGATTCCAAGTCATCCTTTGACAATGATCACCAGTCCCTTTGGCATCATCCTCCTTTGTGTGTTGAGGCCCCTGTAAAACCTCAGTCAATAAGTGCTTAATACAAAAATTGACAGTGGTTTATGGGGTACTGATTCATAAAGGACTCGGGCTGACAGCATCGAGCCTTGTCATGATTTGCATTTCCAACCACTTAGTAAATAACAGTATTTGTCTAAAAATAAAGTCTAAAAGTTAAATGCAAAAGAAATGAGTTCTCAGGAAGGTGGTTAAGTATTAAAACAAGCACTATAAAGTAGATTTATGTCATCTTAAAAGATCCTAGTCTACATAGGAGAATAAAGAAACAGATGGAGGTATACTGAACAGTTATAGGAAGTCTGTGCTTGTTTAAAAGTCATGTGTTGATTGACATCATCTTTAGGTCTATGTTCAATTTTCAGAGAAAGCTAAAGAATTGCATTGGTTTTCCTGATGGTTGCATAATAAATTAGATAAACAGGTCCTATAATCATGTCTTTAAATCTGATTTGTAGCTGCAAAGGGAATTTATGCTTAAACATCTTTAAGTGTAAACAAACACAAGTCAGAGGAGAAGGCATGGATTCTCAAGTTTCCTTTTCATGCTACAGAAACTTCAGGAGGCTAAGTCTGCTATTTTTCTCCCATCTCCCCACCTTCATCCTCAGTTAACAAAATAAAACATTACTTCGTCAGCCGGGCGCGGTGGCTCATGCCTGTAATCCCAGCACTTTGAAAGGCCAAGGCTGGTGGATCACTTGAGGTCAGGAGTTTGAGACCAGCCTGGCTGTCTCTACTAAAAAAAAAATTAGCCGGGTATGGTGGTGAGCACCTCTAATCCCAGCTACTCAGGAGGCTGAGGCAGGAGAATTGTTTGAACCCAGGAGACGGAGGTTGCAGTGAGCCGAGATCGCGCCCCTGTACTCCAGCCTGGGCGATAGAGTGAGATGCTATTTCAAACAAAACAAAACAAAACAAACAAAAAACTTCTTCGAGGCTATTATCTTTTTGAAATGAATATAGCTGAATTTCCCTGTACTTGGAGACTGGTGAGGACAGAAGCTCTGTGGCTAATCTAAGGCTTTCTATCATTAGTGCTGATGTTTATTCTTTGACAAATAAGATGAGGGTAGAAACTTTTTTAAATGGTAAAACCATTGTCTTTATTTCAAATTCAGGAAGAAAAGAATTGTAATAACAACAGCAAAACTATAACTTCATAAAATATATCATCCCAGTATCTCTAGTAAAATCTAAGAAAAAAACAAATCAATCCCAAATATAGTATTATTCCCGAATAGTAGACAAAGCTTCCATTTCCAGATAGAAGGGACTAATGGGCATGAGCAAAGGAAGGATGAAAGAAACTCCCTATGTTATGGATGTATGCAAAATGACTCATGATTAAGTACGAGGTAAAACAAAGGTATAATTCAGGAAGGTATTGTTCTGCCAAGGTGTTGCTATGCTTGTGAATTAAAATTGTTGATCTTGTTTTAAAACATATATGAATGTCTGTGTGTGCTCTAAAAAAACTTGAATTTGCATGCGGACCTGGTGTTCTGACATAGACTAAAGAGGTCTCACATGGACTCTGTTTTCTATGTATTTGCATAATAACTGAAACAGACATATTTTGATAGGCATTTGGAGTATTGTTTTAATATAATTTTCAACTTGACCTTTTGCTTTATAAACTAAGACTATTTAGTGCTCACAAACATTTGAGAATAAAATATTTTAGAGGTGGATCCTAATTTATACTAAGGTTGTCTTTCTAGGCTAATAAAAGATTTTCTTGGGATCCAATATGAAACTCCACAGGAATTTCAGTTTTCTAAAAATGTGAAATGGTAAAGAAGGTCTCCTATTAAGTAGAACAAGAGATGCATTCAAATATTAGGTGACGTTTTCTTAGAAAGTTAGAGGAAACGTAACATCAAATGTAATTTTGCATAACTACATTTTTGATAAGTATTGCACTATCTCATTTGGATTCTTTCCACTATAAACATTGCTTTATAATAACTTTTGTGATTTTTTTTTTTGGAAAACACTTTAATCTGGATGAGCACCTAAAAAGAAAAATTGTTTTAAATGGTAAATAGTGATTACAATAGCATCAAGGAGGAAACCTAAGTTAAATTCCCAGATGTTGAAAACACACATAGTAGAATAATCACATAAATGAAGCAATTGTAAGCCATCAGATTATTTGGGGATTCAATGAGAATTTCAGTGCTCAGTTGTTTTTTTAAATTAATTAATTAATTTATTTATTTATTTATTTATTTATTTATTTTTTGAGATGGAGTCTTGCTCTTTTGCCCAGGCTGGAGTGCCGTGGTTCTATCTTGGCTCACTGCAAGCTCCACCTCCCCAGTTCACACCATTCTCCTGCCTCAGCCTCCTGAGTAGCTAGGACTACAGGCGCCCACCACCATGCCCGGCTAATTGTTTTTTTGTATTTTCAGTACAGACGGGATTTCACTGTGTTAGTCAGGATGGTCTCAATCTCCTGACCTCGTGATCCACCCGCCTTGGCATCCCAAAGTGCTGGGATTACAGGCGTGAGCCACCTCACCTGGCCTGTTTTTTAATTTTTTTTTTAATACTAAGCAACATAGGTGTTTCCACCCAGTAAGTCAAGGTTAAAGTGGAATTTTCAAATGAAAAGCCAATCTCAGTCAACTTAACTATAAAATCAGTTTGCTAAACTCTAAAATTGGAATTTGGCTGGATAATCTCTAAAGTCCACTAAATGATGACAAATGTGGGGTTGTGATAAGGTGAGAATAAGAACTGTGGTCAGCATAGGCCAGGGGCTTAGATGACTATGAAGAGCTGAGGGGTGGACTTCTCCTCAAGGAAGAGGGTGGCAGCCCACACGCCCAACCCAGAAGACACAGTCACATGCAGAGGACTCCAGGCTCACTCTGAACATCAAGAGGCAGAGTGTGGACGTGCTGGGTCATTGGTGGCTCTAGGGCAGAGTCACGGGACTGAACCATTTGCACTGACCAGTGGGGAATGAAGCAGACCCAATCCAGGAAGGAGGCCTGGGTTCAGGTGACCAGGCTGGTGTCAAGACCAGACTCATGTCCTAGTAAGATGTGGAATTCAGGTGGGTGGAAACGAGGGATAGAGAGGGAAGTCAGAGAGTAGAAGATTCTGCTTTGGATGGAGAGTGTAGAGAACAAGACGCATAAGGATGTGGCCAGCATCCAGGTGCACTTCTCCAGCTAAATACTGCTTGTAATGTGTTGTTCATTGATGTACTAATTGGGAGGGCAAAGAACTACACTGAATTATTCCTCTGCTTTCTCCAGGCATGGATAAAAACATGGCCCAACTTCTGTCTAGTTGTTTGTTCGTTTGTTTAATCCGTCAGGGCCTGCAAAGACCCAGGCTGTCCTGCAAGTAGCTCCATGAAGCAAGACGTTGTCCTGCAACATTCCCCGCAGTGTTCCTTCCCACCTGCAGGGGCGAGCTGTTCCTTTCTCCATGTTGAGCTTCTCCTTCAAAGTGGGGAGTGGGGCTGTCTTGGCGGGGCATGCTACCTGGGATCTCTGTGTGTCTCCCAGGCCCTACTGTCTCACCTTGTGCAGGACTCTGCAACCTACTGACAGTGGGACTTTAGGGAAGTCAACGTCCTGATTCGGGAAGGTGGGCAATAAAGCTCATTTTCTGGTTTTCTGTGTGGATTCTGCACAAGGGCCCATGGAGAATCCCTGATACACACTAATTCCCTTCCCTGCACATGCTAATAAATTCCCTGCACATGTGAATTCCCTTCCTTTTCACTTTGCCATCAGTCAGTTCGACTGAGTTTATTATTCATTATTGGGTTGAAGAGAAGGGAAGAGAAGTAGGTTATGGTTACAGAATGCAGGCTTTAGGGCTAGGAAGATATGGATTCAAATCTTGCCCCTACCATTTGAAGTCGTGTGGGCCTGAGTGTTCAGTGAAACCTTTGGAGCCTCTGTGTTCTCATCTGTAGAATGGAGGCAGGACTGATGTGAGGTTTAGAGATGATGTAATGGTATCGCAGCCTAAAAGACACTACATTAATGCTGGCTTTCAGTATGAGCTTGCCCTGGTATCATTGTGTATACTGCCACAAATCATTGAGGCTGAGAGACAGTAATTCAGATGGACAGTACCTCATACTGTCACCTGACATTGTCACTTTCAGTGTGTACATTCCATGGTCACCTCCTTTCATCCTGTAACAGTTGCTAAAGTAGTCACAAAGATGGTGCCATTGTCCCTTAAGATAAAGTGCTCTCTATTGACTGTCACTCAGTGAGTGGGTGAATAAAACATGGTGAATCCATACAATGGAATACTATTCAACAATAAAAAGGAATAAAGTACTGATACAAGCTGCAGTATGAATGGGCCTCAAAAACATTAAGTTATGAGAAAGAAGCCAGACATAGAGGATCACATATTACATGAGACCGTTTATATAAAATGTCCATCAAAGGCAAATCTATATAAAGTGATTAAGTTAATCTGTGGTTGCCTGTGGCTGGGATGAAAATGATCACTGACTGCTCATGGGTATCAGTTTTCTTTTGGAGATGATGGAAATATTCTAAAATTACACTTGATCTTAGCCAATAGGCCGAGAAGCAATATCCTAAAATTAAATTGTGGTGATGATACAATGATTCAGTTTACTAAATGTCATGGAGTTGGATCCTGAAAATGGGTGAATTTTATAGAACACAAATTGTGCCTCAGTAAAGGGATTTTTAAAAAATAAAACTGTCAACGTTGCCATACGATTGCACAGCTGGGGAGTGGAACCCCTGGGACCTGGGCCCCCCTTTGGCTCTGAGTCTCCTTCCCCTCTGTAGACATTGTCACGTGGCATGCCACCATGGCCTCCCGCATCATGAAGGGTAGGCCCAGTCCTTCTGCAGCCTTTGTCTCCTCTCGCTCTTGTCCCTGCTCCACTCTGCTCCAGAGACCCTGGCTTTGGACCGTTCCAGGTTCCCTTGGCGTGCCAAGCCCTGGTCCCTGGGACCCTCTGGGCTGGGTCTCTGACTTTTCACTTCTGCCACTTCTGCGACAATGTTGCCCTGTCTGCGAGGTTTTCCCAACCACCCAATCTGATGTACCCTCTAAATGCTCCATCCCCATTTATTCTCTGTCCCTCAGGCTTAACTGCCCTCTGAGCACCAGCTCATCACATACGTGTTTGTTTTTTCTCCTTTCCTCTAGAATGTGGTCGTCTTGAGAGCCAGAGCCATCCTGCTTGGGGTTCTGGTAGCACCTGAGGCAGAGCAGGTGTTGTGAAGGGGAGGAGCAGACAGAGGGAGGGCAGGAAAGACGTCCCCAAGTGGGCATTGAGAGTCACGGGAGGAGAGCCTGAGGGGACGCTGTTCCGACCTCACCAGCTTGGCATCCACGGTGCCCGATTGCACTCAGCTCCCAGGGAGGCCGAGCACATCCAGTGGACTCCCAACTCCCCAGGCTGTGAGCGTCAGGGCCAAAAAGCTCTCTGAAGCCTAAGAGAAGAACATTAGCCAAGGCAAAAATTTAAAAAAAGAAAAAAGAGGGTCGAGGTCATTTCGTATTATTTGAATGACTTGTCTCCTTTCTGTATTTAGACACCGCTGAAGTCCTTCCATACTTTTCTGAAATCATAAATGACTTGTTATCCCTCGAGGCATCAGGGAAGAACTCCCTTTGTATAATCTGTATATTAAAAGACTTTGAAAGTGAATTTCTGTCAGTCAAAAAGAAACCTCTCTCTCTCTCTCTCCTGTCTCTCTCATACTGGTTGGTTTGAACACAAACTTCCCTGATGCCTTTCACCGTTTGTTTCCCTCTACGTATTAAAGCTCAAGCACAGATGGGAAAAGGGCACATGGGAAAAGTGGGAGGACACGGAGCACGGAGCATCTCCTAGCTTGCAGCCCCTGAGATTCCCGCCCCCACCCTCTGCCGGCTCCTGATTCACGTAGGAGCTTTTGGGGATGCACTTCCCTGCTGCCATTCCACACAGTACCTGCCAGGATCCAGTTCCATGAGCTGTCCCTCTTGATGGTTCCCAGAACAGGAATGTGGAGCATGGGGACCTCACTAAGGACATCTGCAAAGTAGATGAGAAATTGATCCTCATCCCAAGCCCTGGACTTCCTGCATGCCCTCATGCAGGGGCCCTGCTTTGATTCCCATAGCTCTGCCTTCATTGCAGGTGCCTGGAGCGCCTCTGCAGCATCCAAGCACTTACTCTGCCCACACTGAGTCTGCTGCTGTGGGAGAGAACCCCGCTGCTCTGTGGGCCACACCCACAGGGAAAGGCAGGACCTGTTCCCAAGGGAGGGACAAGGCGTGTTGCCTGTCAGCTGCTGGGCAGCGCTCATCCGTCTCTCTCATGACACAGGTGCAGTTCCCTGGGCCCTTCCAACTCCTTCCTAAGGGCTCTCAAGGCCCCTGATCCCTTGATTTATTTCCTGAAGCACCTCCTCTTTTGGGAGTCTCCCAAATATCACAGGACCTGCTTGAGTGGGGAAGATCTTGAATCCAGTGCTCAGAAAGGACTCTCCTCTCTCTAAAATATGATATTATTGGATGTCTCCTTCCTGCCTGCTCTCTGCCTGTGAGCAGGGCTGGCTTGATAGCCCACTGTGGGAAAAGCCGTGTTTACTCGGAGTGTTTCTTGACCATGTTAGCCAAGGAGGTGGCCTTGGCCTTGTCCGTCTCCATGTCAGTTGGATCTGACAGCAGGGTCTGTTTTCTCTCTCTCACTCGGCGACACATTTAGCCACCTCTACTCCGCCTCATCTTGGTCCGGTAGGGAGGCAGGAAGGTGATTCCCCTGGAGGGATTTATGTTTGAATGTAAGACTTTTAAAGATGGAAATGAGCTCAAGGTGCTCACCTCTGAGGGCATGGCAGGTAAGCATGTCCCACCCAGACCCTCTCAGATCACTCTTGGTCATCAGTCAGCATGACAATAGCACAGCCAGCACCAGCTCTGTTCCTTGTCATGCCCAGGAGGCTCACTCCAGGGTAGTTTCAATGGATATAAGATGCCCTTTACAATGTAATCAGTTAATTCATTAATCCTGCATTAATGGGACAATTTCTTCGTGTGCAGCACTAATGATACACAAATAAGACGTGGTCCTTCCTCTTAAGAATCTTGTGTCAAAGACAATTGGACATTCAGAATTCCAGGGAGTAAGGTGTGGCATATTTCTGAGCCATTATTCTGTCTACGATTATGGGCAACTTGCTTTTCTGAAAGCTCCCCATAGTCTAGGCATGTAATACATGTAACACACCTAGGATATGGGGGAGCTTTCAGAAAAATAGGTTGCCCGTAGTGCTAGATAGAATAATGGCTCAGAAAGATGCCACATCCTAATCCCTGGAAGCTGCGGATAAGTCACCCTTCATGGCAATGGGACCTTGCAGGAGTGATGAAGTTAAGAATATTGAGATGGAGAGATGATCCTGGAAGGTCCAAGTGGGCTCAGGGTCATCACAAGTGATCTTCTTAGAGGGGGCAAGAGGGTGAGAGTCAGAGAAGATGTGATAATGGAGCAGAGGCTGGCGTGATGCAATCAGGAGTCTAGAAATGGGATAGGCTCCAGAAGCTGGAACCACAAGGAACAGATTCTCCCCCAGAAACTTCGGAAGGAACACAGTTCTGTGGACACTTAATTTTAGCTGGTAAGATCCACTGCAGATGTCTGACTCCTAGACCTATATCACAGTGTCTATAAGCCACTATATGTGTGATAATTTGTTACAGCAGCAATAGGAGGCTGAAACACTCTGCATAGAGGAAGACATAATAACAACGAATCTATGTTCAGTCATTGCCATGTGCGAGATATCACCACAAGTCCTTTCCATCTGATAGTTTATTTAATCCTTGCAACAATTCTGTAAGATGAACAGTGTCATTATTCTCTTTTTCTGATTGAGCAAACTAAATTTCATAGAGGCTAAGGGACTTTCTAAAGTCACACAGCTAGAATGCGGTGGTGTCAGGATTCAACTCCAAGCGGTCTGACTCTGCGGTCTTAACCAGTCTTAACCCACCTCTCTGGGTGATAGTCCAGAAATGCCACCAAGATCACATGTACAGCCAAGGCAGACATAATGATCAGCCAGGGCAGGGATTCCCTACCAAACACTTACTCCATCTTCACCACTTTTAGGATCTTTCAAATACTGTTATTATTCTTGTAATTGAGAGAAAATGGCTGTTTTCCAAAGTCTTGAATCTTCTACTTCTCTGCGTTACGATGACACTGAAAATATGATACTATAGATGAGAGGCTGCTACCAGAGCTTCCCTTTTGGAAATTCCCGCACCTAGGGCCACATCACCACACCCCCTGGTACCCCTCCCTTCTGATGAGGAAGCTCCCACAGTGGCTCGAGGCTGTGCGTCATGTTCCCACAGTGGATTGCAGAATCATTGTGAGGGTAGAGACCAATCATTTTCTTAAAAATAAAATAGAATAACAGAGAATATTAGGGAACATGGCAGAATATATAGAAAATATCAAAGTGCAAAAAAGCATAAGTAAACTTCAATTTTGTTTGACTTTACGTATAAATATTCCCTTATTCCCAACATAAAATAGATTTATCACTGTGGGTTATGTTAGAAAACTAACAGAGAGAAATCCAGAGTGAGCTCTCTTAGACCACAGCCATCAGAAAAAAACCAGTTCTTAAAGGGAAAGAGACTGATGTTAACAATAAGCTCACATGTGTACTCAGGAAAACATCTAGAAAAGGCAGCAGTAAAGTCAGAGATCTTTAGTCTAGAAGGGTCTAGAACCACAGAAAAGTAAAATAAAGAATGACTTGCCAATTTGTATAGAACCATAGCTTGAATAAACAAGGTTTGTAGAAGTGAAATATTTATGAGTAAACTGAGGTTAGTGTTTGAAACTTATTTTGCTTTTAACCCATGTTGTCTGTGATATATTAAATTGCTGATAAGTGGATGAGACAGTCATATGTAGTGCTAATGTAAAGAGGTCTATTTATAAATAGCAGGAGCAAATGCACTGTATGATACATCTTTCCTGTTTTCTGTCATCATGGAGTAAATATAATTGCTGGTCTAAACAGGTTACACCTGTGGCAGCCACCTCAGGTGTAGGCCTGTGATTTAGAAGGAAATTATTCACTTATGAGTGATTGGTGTATCGTTTCCATCCAAGAGAGACGCAGTACAATAGATAAGCAATGTGGCCAGGTAGAAGGAGGCAGCTTTGCGGTCAGCTGATAAGACATTCTTTCTTTAGATTTCTTCTTCAATACTCATCACTCAGCCCTATTGTTTCCTTCGGACCCCATCCGACTGTGTGGCACAGCTTCTTTATATCAGCTCACTCCTCTGGGCCTGAGTAAACCATGTGCCTGTAGAAAAAAAAAAAAATGAGAAGGGAGGCAAAAAGCTCATCTTCTTGTAGCTGTCACGGATGTAAAAATCCTGGCAGCAAAGTGGGACTTGTGGTAATAATTGTGACACAATAGATTTTGACAAGAGAGACTGTTGATATGTTCATTTGCATACTGATGTGTAGTACTCTTTCTTCACGTTATACACTCTGGGCCCAACTTGCAGGCCCAACCATTCCTCCAGAACAAGGCATTGCTCAATCACTTAAGTCCAAAAAACTCTACATAAGAAAAGTGGCATTTTTTGTTTTTGAAAGAAAAAGTTATAAAAGAGAAAGGATGTAAAGATAAATATAAAGCAGGATTATGTGTGGCTGTATATTTCCTATTGGAAAGTATGGGCAATCTTTCAAGCTCATATACAAATGACATTGACTGAAGGAGATTGAAATCCCATAAGAAAATATGTAGCTGACTATTTGAGAACTATGAAAACTATACACCTAACCATTGACGCGAGAGCCTAGAATCCATTGAGAATTGATTTACTCCTAAAATTCTAGCAACAAGCAGGTCTTTGTAAGTGGATGTCTAGACACTGAATGAAAAGAACAGGGAAGACATTCATCTCTCTTATCCTACAGTTACAATCTTTCTAAAGATGCAAGGTTGATTTCTGTTGTTGTTTTTGCCATATTAGTATTTTTTAAAAGAAATATATTGTGACTGCTATAGAGCTAAGGCATCTTCGGAGTGGTGGTAACTGGCACAGCTGAATTCCACAGCTAGAATTGCACATTTGAGACCCATCTGTTAGTTTCTGAATTTTGTTATAAACTAATCAGGAAGAACTTAAGTGGAAGCTCACTGGAATAAAATGGACGAGGACAATAAACTTCATGGTCATTGACTCAGCAAGATCATAATGATGCATATGTGTGATATACTGTATATAAAGATTTAAATAATAACTGCTAAAGTCTGTCCTCTTAAAAACCTCCACATTTGGCCGGGCGTGGTGGCTCACACCTGTAATCCCAGCACTTTGGGAGGCCGAGGCAGGCAGATCACAAGGTCAGGAGATCGAGACCATCCTGGCTAACACGGTGAAACCCCGTCTCTACTAAAAATACAAAAAATTAGCCAGGCGCGGTGGCGGGCGCCTGTAGTCCCAGCTACTCGGGAGGCTGAGGCAGGAGAATGGCGTGAACCCGGGAGGCGGAGCTTGCAGTGAGCAGAGATCGCGCCACTGCACTCCAGCCTGGGCGACAGAGCGAGACTCTGTCAAAAACAACAACAACAACATCAACAACAACAACAAAAACCCTCCACATTCACTGGATCGGCATGAGATAAATGTTAGTCTCTGATAAGAATAATGGTGTCCAGCCTTGGTCTATAACAAGAATGGGAAAGCTCAGTTTTTATAGACAGCAGCTCCACTGATGACGTCAGATGTTTCCTTGATACTTCACATTCCCAGCGTCTCCAGCAGAGCAGCCAGCCGATGCCTCGCAACTGGCATCCTAGGGAAGGCTACTTCAGCCACCCAGTGGCTTCCTGGATTCTAGGCTCTCGAGTCTATGCTGAGCTCTAGAAGACTTCCTGGAAAACATATTTTTGTCACAACATGCAGTCATCACCTGTTTATTAAAAACAAGATTTTCTTTATCTCTGACTGAAGCATTTTCTAGAACATCTGGTTGGTTATACTTTACATAAATTAACAGACTGTCATCTCCTCTTGACAGTTACCTGTTTACTTTCACTTCATTAAATGCCATTTTTCAGAAATAACACAAGATATATGAAACACAACATGTAATTAAGCAAAACAATACAAATAAACATAAATAATCGTAATGAGAATGGGAAGGAAAAAATTCACTGGAGCATAAAACTGGGAATTTGTCTATTGCCAGGCCTGTGAAAGTAAACTCAATGATTGCAGTGATGTTCTAGGAAGCTATAGTAACTAATTTGCATGTAATGTATATAGTGGTTTTTTAAATAATATGTTAAAAAGCCTTCTATCTTCAATTTATACCTTAAGTAGAGCTGAATGCCCATCTTTTTTTTATTTTTTATTTTTTTATTTTTTTTTTTAGACAGAGTCTCTCTCTGTCGCCCAGGCTGGAGTGCAGTGGCGCGATCCTGGCTCACTGCAACCTCTGCCTCCTGGGTTCAAGTGATTCTCCTGCCTCAGCCTCCTGAGGACCTGGGATTACAGGCGCGTGCCACCATGCCAGGCTAATTTTTGTATTTTCAGTAGAGACGGGGTTTCACCATGTTGGTCAGGCTGGTCTCAAACTCATGACCACCTGCCTTGTCCTTCCAAAGTGCTGGGATTACAGGCATGACCCATCGCACCCGGCATGCCCATCTTTTAGTCAAGGAAAATCCAATTCCATGCATATATAACAGAAACAAAATACTGGGGATGACCTGCTGAGATAAAGATAGAGGGGAGGTTCCAACATGACCCCCTCCTGAATGTGAACCCAGAAGGCCTGTGAGGCTTTGGGAATGCAGAAGCAGTAGCTGGAGATCCCATAGGCTTAGCAGTTTCCAATCACTTATTCCCATCCTATATTCCATTCAGGGCAAATCATTTTAACAGAGAGAAACACCTATCCACATTTCCTATTCCCAGTTCAGTATCTTGTCTTTTTGATGAAATTACAGTATGTCTATTTTTGTCTTAACCAATTTTACCTATAGAGAAGGATATATATATGTAAAGTGCCTCATCATTTATATTGATGAGCAAACATTTTCAAGAGTTGTATTTTTAGATTTCTGCTTGTCATTTTTATATTATCTATCTATCTATCTATCTATCTATCTATCTATCTATCTATCTATCTGTCTATCTATCTGTCTACCTATCTATCATCTCCATTGCCTTTCAATGTGATCCCTGGGCAAATGGAGAGGAAAATATAATAATTCGATTGTATCTTCTATAATTAGCAATAGCTATAAATTTCCTGTTACTATTCATATCAAAATCACATTTAAATTATTTAGCTCTGTCTGTATTGAATATACATTACTCTCAACAGAACCTAACATTTTTCTCGTAATATCCATAATTCCATCTCATTTGCTCCCTCCACATATTGTCATTCTTCGGCTAAGTCTGTCAGTCACAGTTTCCGTCTGCTTCTCCTACTTCATGGGCCAATGTTTCTGAGACACACAGTGGGAGGAGAAAGAGAGTATCTTTCTGCCAGGTTTGGGAGGAAAGGGGCTCCACAGGCATGACAACTTTTGATTCCAGAATGAGAGTAAAGGATTAGGCGAAACACACCCAAACTTAAAATTATTTAACTCCATGTGAAAGTGCAAAATTTATACTCAATATTTTCTGGTCTAATTTCACTTTCTAGATGAACATTTTCCCCCCAGTAACAGTCCTAATAGACTTGCCAGACTTGATACATAAAGGTTGTTAAGTGAGAAAAGGAAAAACAAAACCAGCTGAAATAGATGAGACCATTGCTCAGCAGCCTGAATATATGGAAGCCTTTAGAAGAGAAGGACAACTTTATGGTCTTTAAAATACCAGGAAGCCCTTGGCAAACTAAGTTGGTTAGAAGAGGCATGTAAATTAAATACTTAATGTGTGTGAAAGAGAAAGACTATGTATATTCAACTGCATAAAGTTTAAACATTTTTCCATGGTGAGAAATGATAAACAGAAAGCAAAAGAGAATCAGAAGATTGGAAAACTATTTTTACACATATGACACAAGGTTACTATCTCCCATATATAAAAATCTCCTAAAATTAACTAAAACATTACAAATAGTCTAAGAAAATTGCTAGGATGAACAGGCAATTATAAGCGTTAATAAACATACAGAAGGTTGTTAAACTTTACTGAGAGTCGGAGGAATGTGAATTAAAGCAATAGTGAAATTGGACTGACAAAAAATTTGCAGAAAATGGTAACATGTAATACCACCGAGGAGGCAAGGAAGGAGATACTATCAAAGACGGCTGGGTGAGCAGGAAGAGCTACAGACTTTCCCCCAAATAAATTTCAAAATATTTCTTAAAATTAAAAAGTATAAGTACCCATGAACTCAGTAATTCCATTTTAGAAATCTGTTATAGAAATGGAAAAAAAAAACAAAAAATAGCACCAATATATGAGGATATAATCTCAAGATAATTGACTACAACATTCTTTATGGTGGTAAAAAGGTATGAATCAAAAGGAGAATGGTGAAATATATTGTGTTCCACCTTATCAAAGGGGGACAGGTCTATATACTGGGTTAGAGTTGGATGCACTACAGAATATTGCACACCTATCACAGGATGAGTTTACTGTCATGCCACCTGATGTACGTTTACTCCACAGAAAGCTGTGGAGTATTATGCATGCCATTTTTCCACTTTTTTTTTTTTTTTTTTTTTTTTTTGCAAAAGATCATATGTTTGCATGAGCATTAAGGGATGGGGCCAGATTGTTGGTGCTGGTTGTGGTGGGGCTGAGGGTGTTGGAGACAGAGAAGGAGCAGTGTGTGAAGGTAAACTAATGCCTCTCTTGTATTATTTCATTGATTTCACCATTTTATGATCATATACAATTTTTGTAATTTAGAAAATAAAAAATAAAAGTACATTAAATTTGTCTGTTAAAAAAAGAGAAAGAGCATGACTATGGATGCGGAAAAGGCAGGTGATGCACATCGTCACTTCACCCTTGTCAGGGAGAGAAGGGGACACTGTGCAGAATGAAGAACTGGGCAGCGGAGGGCCTGGGTTCCAGCCCTGGGTCCAGCATCACTATGTGGGAAAACTGGGAACTAGAGTAGCCTGAGAGTAGGATCAAGCCTGAGGGAAGTCAGTGTTAACATTCAGGGGCATTTGGGTTACCTGGAATGCCAAGGGGGAAGGTGGATTAGGGGTGTGGGCAGACAATGAACCAAATCGTCACCTGGCAGGAGGTGAGCTGAGGGGAGAGAGAGTGGGGAGGCTGCAAGAGGACTGGGAGCTGAGGGTGCTGTTGAGAGAGGATTATATGGGGCTGGGCAAAGGAGAAGGGTAACCCCAAATCCCCCAGCTCCCCAAGAATAAAGCCTGAGGCTCTGGAAAAGGGGGACGAACAAGGGGCTGGCCTGAAGGCTGAGCCGGGCTGCTCCAGGACAGAAAGCAGCAGCTGTGTCTTAGCCAGAGGAGAGAGGGCCCAGGCTCTGGGTGTTGGCCTCCTTCATGCTAATGCTCGGGTCTCTTGCTTTAGTGATGCTGCCCAGAGTGGCTTCAACCTCAGCTACACCTTGGCAGGGATACTGAGACAGAGTAACAGTTGTATCCTCACCTGGAGCTGGGACATTGAGGAGCAAAATTATGAACTCCTTAGGGCAAGTCTCCAACATGTTTGGCACCAGGGACAGGTGACATGGAAGACAATTTTTCCATGGTGTGTGCATGTGTGTGTGTGGCAGGGTGGTTTTGGGATGAAATGCCCCACCTCAGATCATCAGGCATGAGATTTTCATAAAGAGCAAGCCACCTAGATCCCTCACATGCACAGTTCACAATAGGGTTTGTGCTCCTATGAGAATCTAAAGCCACGGCTGATCTGACAGGAGGTAGAGCTCAGAGGGTAATGCTTACCCACCACTGCATACCTCCTGCTGTGTGGCCTGGTTTCTAAACAGGCCATGGACCGGTACCAGTGGGTGGGGAACCTTAGTTTAGGCTGCCAAAAGGAGCAATGGGCTGGGTGCCATGGTCCAGCTCCAGGAGGGCTTTGAGTTGGCCATGGTCATTGCCAAGTGGCAATGTTAGGACCAGAGCAGAACTGACCAGTGCCTGCCCTGGGGTCTGATCTTCCCTGAGGTTGTGTCTTCTGGAAACGTGGGTGGCAGTAATTAAATATCTGTGGCCCCCTTGGTTCCTCAGGATGAATGTTCTTCTATAATGCTGGAACTGTCTAATTTGATATCATTGTCCATAAAGAAAAAAACAGCAGGTACAAAAGGTAAAAGGCCAAGGGTAGGGACAGAGAAACAGAGTGTACAAGCTTCAACACTTGGGGTTAAGTGGAGTCTAAATCTAATTTCTTTAAGCCCAAGTCCATTAAAGGAAGCAGCTACATCCTTGCATAGCTGGCTTTGCATTCAGTATGTTGTAAATTCTTACTAACAGCAGCAGTAGGAATGTCCCCACACCTACCTGCCATGTCCTCTGCTTGGTGCCTATGAGAGAAGGTCACGGGTGCAGACACCTGAATGCACAGAGACCTGGGAGCAGAGCAACCTGGGAATTCAGAGACCTGGGGGTGCAGAGAGCTGTGGGTGCAGAGACTTGGAGGCAATGAGAACTGGGGTCACAGAGACTTGGGGGAAAAGAGCCCTGGGGGTGCAGTGACCTGGGGATTCAGAGCCCTGGGGGTGCAGTGACCTGGGGGTGCAGAGACCTGGAGGCAATGAGAACTGGAGGCACAGAGACTTGGAGGCACAGAGCACTGGGGGTGCAGACACCTAGGGGTGCAGAGACCTGGGGATGCAGAGACCTGGGGGTGCAGTGACCTGGGGGTGCAGGGACCTGGATTCACAGAGACCTGGGGACACAGAGACCTGGGGGTACAGAGACCTGGGAGTGCAGAGACCTGGATGCAGAGAGAGCTGGGGGGGCAGAGACCTGGGGGAGCAGAGACCTGGGGGTGCAGAGACCCGGGGTACACAGACCTGGGGGAGCAGAGACCTGGGTACACAGAGACCCAGAGGTGCAGGTATCTGGGGCCAATCCAGCAGAGGCAACAGGTGTGGATTCTGTTGGATGGAAACATGATTCCTAGACGATGTGCTCTCTCCAACAGGAAGCAGTTTGGTGTCCTCTAGTTTGTTATCATAGTCCTTTTCAATGTGCAGCTTTCTCTTCAATCAGCTCTAGCTCAGAACCGAGAGCATGCCAGTTTCCTTGGGCATAATCCCATACCAGGGATCAAGCAGAGCCTGTGCTTTGCGGGTCCCCACAGGAGACCTTGGCATCACCCACCTGCCCTCTGGTTTTGACCCGCCAGAGGCATTTTATATCTCTTTGTACCTTGCATGATGCTTAAAGAGTCTGGCTGTCTTTGAAGTGTGTTGGCTGCTCCTAGACGCCTCTGTGCTGTCTCCCACACTTCCACATGGCCCTTCAGCACTCAGCCTTTCCCCTCCCTGGAGTCTGGACACGAGCACACACATCACTGTGTGCTCATGGCCAGATTTCAATGGAACGAGATTTGGGCACTTAGATCCCTTTGGGCCAATGCCAATGTCACAGAACAGGAAGGACGGATGGCAGGAGGGCTTGTTCAAATAACGGGGCTGGGGACCCCCTAGACTGACCACTTAGTCAACAAAGACTGAGAGCCCCCACCCCAGTCCAGCCCACTGGGAAGGGAGCGAGTCAACCAGGTCCCTGCTTATTTGGCCTAAATGACTTGTTTTTGTTTTGTTTTCCCTTTTACAGTTTACAGTGTTGATTAAACTAGAGTTCTTTTATTGAATTGATTGGTGGTTTTGGAATTGCGCAGAGCAAACCACAATCAAATCCTGTGGGGTTGTCCAGAGTGCTCCTGCTGGCCACTTGGAGCAGAGAATGCTTGAGCTCTGCCCAGGCCAATGAGGTTTTGTTCTTTGAGAAAGGATGGAATGGAAACCAGACAGAAGAATAGTGGGGATGGGAGGAAAACTAAGGCAAGATACCGGAATCCAAGGAAAAAGAAAACAGAGAAAGATGGTACAAGGACGCAGGACAACTGAAGAAGGACTGTGGCCATGTCACAACCATAGCTGAGATAAAAGATCAAGAATTTGAAGGTGAGTACAGAAGAGCAGGACATATCCTCTTTGACAACTTGTTCACTCTAAAAATATTCTTTTTAAGTACTTATAGTATGCCAATTCTATAATGTAAAATTTGGGCTCTAATTATCTCAAAAAGAAGAGGCTTCATGCACTGAAATTAAACTTTTTTTTCTTTGCATAAAGGTTCCAGCAGTCCTTCAGGGAGATAAAAAAGTAATGCAGACTTTTTTTGTTCTCACTTTTTCCTTTAAAATGAACAGCTCCAAGGCATAACACCAGGCACCTTCAGTCTGAGGCTGCCACGAGATGGGGTGCAAGTTGTCTCATTTACATTAAGCTGAGTTAGAATTTGGAGAATTTACCTCCCTTCCTTCACACTTATGATTCCCAACTGCCCTCAGGATCAGTCCATCAGACCTGAATCCCAATCCCTGTGCCACCTCTGATTGGCACTACCTAATTTTACAGATGGCAAAACAATGTTTCAGAAAAATTAAGTAACTTGCTCAGTTGCACATTTATAAATGGTGGAGCTAAAATGGGAACTCAAGTCTATTTTGTCTCTAGAGTTTACACTCTCTCTTCCAAATTCCGTGTCTGCGTGTGCATGGAAATACATACACATGTATATGTATATATGGAAGTAGACAATAGCAAAGCATTGCCTTCTCTCCAAACAAGCACAAAATGCCAAGAAAATCTAAATTGTAATATGCATACTTTACATGCAAGTCAGTTTACTAATGACAATGTAACTAAAAACACATGGAACTAACACCTGTTTTTTAATAAAATAAATGCAGAAACATAATTAGTAGGAAATGGAAACTTTGCATGTTTCTACATGACGATGATGATGATGGGGATAGTAGATGCTCCCATTTTGGAGGACTCCTTTCTTCCAGTGTCAATCATCATATTTGGAGTTTGGTGTAAGTTATTTACATTATTTATTTAAAGGGCTCCAATACTTTAGGCTTAAGCAATTGTTCTTTGCTAGGGGCCTTCTAATTTTCCTAGCGGGTAAGCATACTGCATTCAAATTTGGAAGTTGCTTATGGAAACAAGATTATAAAGATGTCTGAATAAGCTAAAATAAAATTATTGGTGATAAACTTGATCATGCCTTAATTCTATTTAGTCCTAAAAGCCTAATATTTTGTCATTCGGAAGAGAAATGTATTCATTCAGCAAAGATTTTTGAAATGTTCTAACAACACACTCTAGGAATTAGAAAATGAATTTACCAGACAATCTGCAAGTGAATTTTTTTTTAACCAAATCTACCATTATTTGGAGAATGTTTGTTAGCATACCCACAGACAAATGTGTAGGAATATTTACTGTAATTCAGTGTACAGCTAGAGTGTCTGCGTTCGAACCCAGTTCCACCCTCAGCTGTGCGTAATCTTGGGCAAATCACATCACTTCTGTGGTGCGGTTTCTTCTGCTGTGAAATGAAGAGGACAGTAGCATCTATCTCAGGAGATTGCTATGAAGACTAAGCGAATCAATACGTGGTAAGCGTTTAGACCAGTAGTTAGCACATAGGATTAACGTATTAGCAACACTTTTTTTTTTTCGGACGGAGCTTCACTCTGTCGCCAGGCTGGAGTGTAGTGGCGTGATGTCGGCTCACTGCAACCTCTGCCTCCCAGGTTCAAGCCATTCTCCTGCCTCAGTCTCCCGAGTAGCTGGGACTACAGAAACATGCCACCACACCCAGCTAATTTTTGTATTTTTAGTAGAGACAGGGTGTCATCCTGTTGGCCAGGATGGTCTTGATCTCTTGACCCCGTGATCTGCCCGCATTGGCCTCCCGAAGTGCTGGGATTACAGGCGTGAGCCACTGCGCCCAGCCAGCATCATTTTATCAGATAGTTTTCCTACATCTTTTGAGATGATCACTTAGATTGTCTCCCTAATATGTTAATATGGTGACTTCCCTTAATAAATTTCCTGCTGATAAAGAATCCAGCATTTCCAGAATAAACTCAACTGCAAATAACATATCATATTTTTATATATGTAGTAAGTTAGTTTAAATTTATTTAAAACCTTTACAAGTGGAATTTTTCTTCCTTATTACTATACTCATGCAGTTTGAGATCAGGGATATACTACCATCAAAAAACAAACTGAGAAATGCTCATTTTCTCTAATTCCTAGAAGAACTTGTGCAAGATTGGAATTTCTCGAATGTTTGGTAAAATTGTGTGTAAAATTGTCAAGGGCAACGTCTTTTCTTGTAAGGGAATTTTAAAGTATTGACAATTTTAAAGCAAGATTCTAGAGTGTATTTTTTCATTTCTTCTCATGTTATTTACAGGAAACTATTCATTTTGTATAAACTTTCAAATATATTGGCATAAAGTTCATAATATTCTCTGGTTTTTAATATCTGCTATTTGTAGTTATGACTCCCTTTTCATGCCTTAGCTTATTTATTATTATCTCCTATGTCCTCCTGAGTTTTGATAATTTTGTGTATTTTATAGCTTTTTAAAGCTATATATCACATGTTGATATGTCCCATTATGTTTATTTTCTTTTTTAAAAAATTAATCTTTGCCTTTTATTGTTTCATCGTTTACTTTCATTGGATTTATCCTGTTAGTATTTTAATATCTTTTAAAATTGAATTAGTGGCCAGGCGCGGTGGCTCACGCCTGTAATCCCAGCACTTTGGGAGGCTGAGGTGGGTGGGTCACCTGAGGTAGGGAGTTTGAGACCAGCCTGACCACCATGGAGAAACCCCATCTCTACTAAAAATACAAAAAATTAATCGGACGTGGTGACGCATGCCCATAATCCCAGCTACTCAAGAGGCTGAGATAGGAGAATCGCTTGAACCTGGGAGGCGGAGGGTGCAGTGAGCCAAGATCGTGCCATTGCACTTCAGCCTGGGCAACAAGAGCAAAACTCCATCTCAAAAAAAAAAAAAAAAAATTGAATTAGCTCAATTTTCAGCTTTTAAAATTATATATTTCTCTAAATATAGTGTCATGTACAATTTTATAGCTTTTGATAAATAGTTTTTTGCTATCTTTTGGTTATAAGCATCTTATAATTATCACTATAATTATTCTTGACCTTTTAAAAATATATAAATGTAGGTTTAAAAAATTATATATATTTTAATTGTTAATTTGTAATTTAATTGCTGATAATCAAATATCTTGTTCTATATATTACTCATTCTATTAAATGTTAAAGCTCGCTTTATGGCCTAGTAATGGTTCAATTTATATGTCTGAGAAGACGATAATATTCTGTAAATGTTTAGTGAATTATTCTATATATATTCATTACATTATTTTTTAATTATGTTTTTTGACTCTTCTATGTATTTACCAATTTTTATTGCTTTATCAATAATTGAAAAAGTTGTAATAAATATTTCTATTACAGTTATGGATTGGACAATATCTTCTTTAAAATCTGAAAATTTTTTGATGTAATTCAATGCTTCTCATTAGATTTATATACAGTTAGATTTGTTATATCTTCTTGTTGAATTGACTTTTCATCATTGAGTTGTAGCAACTTTTATTCTCTTTAATAGTGTATTTTACCTTAAAGAGTTATTTTTTCTACTATTGTAGTAAAGCTATTCCAACTTTTTATTAAGATA
The DNA here is from genome assembly GCF_000001405.40 of Homo sapiens. Classification (NCBI taxonomy): domain Eukaryota; kingdom Metazoa; phylum Chordata; class Mammalia; order Primates; family Hominidae; genus Homo; species Homo sapiens. The sequence continues at coordinate 75,709,042 of NC_000018.10, forward strand.
TTTTTCTATCTTTTTTCAACCATTTATTTTTTAATGTCTTTTTGTTTTATATGCATATTTAGCAAACACACACTTATGTGCATACATAATAGTGGTCTTAATTGGCAAGTTTAGACCATTTGCGTTTATTATTATTACAAAATTCTTTCTAGTATTTCATATTTTGGTTTTTATTTGTCTTGCTTTTTTTTTTTTCTAATGCTTCTTTACTTCTGCTTTGCAATCTACCCTTGGTTTCCACAGTTAGTCCTATTACCATCTCCAGTTTGGTGAGTTTTTTTTCTAGCTGGACTTATACATACTATACTATGTTTAAAAACTCCCCCACTGAGAGATATCATTGCACTGATCTATACGTCTATACCTACGGAATATCACTGTATTAAAGACTCTATCTTTAAAGTATCCTTTGGGTTCTGAGTAAGTGTCTTTTTTGTTCTTTTGGAAATGGTTTTAAGTATTCTTGGTTTTAGCACTCCCAGATTAATTTGATAATTAGATTGCAAAGTTTTAAAAAAAATTTCTATTAGACTTTTTATTTGGATCACATTGAATTTATAGACTCACTATGGGAAACTTACTATCTTTAAAATATCTATGAGGGAATGCGATACAGGTTGAGTATTTTTTTATAAGATGCTTGGGATCAGAAGTGTTTCAGGTTTCAGATTTTTTTTCACATTTTGGAATATTTGCATAGATATAATGAGATATCTTGGGTATGAGACCCAACTCTAAATATAATATTCATTTATGTCTCATATACACCATCACATGGCATAAAGGTAATTTTATACAATATTTTAAATAATTTCATACCTGAGGAAAATTTTTACTGTGTTTTCACTGTGACCCATCACATGAGGTCAGGTGTGGAATTTTTCACTTGTGGTATCATGTCAGTGCTCAAAACATTTTAGATGTTTGGAGAATTGTGAATTTTGGATTTTTGGATAAGGAGTGTTCATTCAATTTGTATATCTATCCATATTTTCATGTTCTTTAAAAGTTTTAAAAAATTTTGTACAGCTTTACTTATATATCTTGCACATATATAAGTTTAGATTTATTTGTTAGCATTCATTTGTCTTGATTGGAATTTCTCTTGGCATTTTCAAATTATTGATATTAAAAAAGTCTCAATCTTTACATATTTTGTAGTCCACCATATTGCAAAGCCCTTTTATTTCTTCAAACTACACCAATTTATCTTGATATAGTGATAGTGCTGGAGAAATGGCAGTTTAAGCTCTTCATTTCTAATATTTACACATTTTAACTTTTTCCTTTTATTATTACATTGACTGAAATGCATAGGAAGATAGAGGTGCAACGAGCATACTTATCTTCTTCCTGACTTTTTAATGTTATTTCTAATGTTTCCCACTGAGATTACGTTAGATTTCTTCTAGCTACCATATATCAATGACAAGATGAGACGATCTCTTCGTTTGTGTAGATAATTATCTTTGAATCTAGAATTATATTTTGTCAAAACCATATATGCATGTATGTATGTCTATACCTATATCTATCTATAGACAGAAACAGAGACAGACAGAAGACAGACATTTATCTTTTCAGTTCCCTATATATGTTATAGTAGTGACAAAAAACTGACAATTTAAAACAATGTTGAACCTTTCTTGGTTTTTTGGGGAACCTACTTATTCACGCTGTATTATTCATTTAGTACATACTACGTTCAATTTTTAATATTTTAATTAATTTTTTACATTCGTATTTATAAAGGAAAGTGAGGGGCCTCAAATTTTCTTTGCTTAATATATCCTTGACAAATTTTCATAGCAAGGTATCTAGACCAATATAATGAGTTGTGTTTTTTTTCTTTTTTGCTGTTCTCACATATTTTATATAACATAGGAATGATCTCTCAAATAACATTTGCTATAATTTACTAATCTCGACATCTGAGCCTGTTTTAAAAGGTAAATCTTCAGTTTTTATTTAATCTCTCTAGCATTTTTCTGGTCAAGTTTTGTATAATACTACATCTTTGTCAAATTTTGTAATTTATCTCTTGAAAACAATTTTTATAGACAGATTGATATAGAGCTAAGTCACGTATTTTAATCTACCATGCACTGTGCCTATGCCCCTTTTCTCCTCATTGTTCTTTTCTTTCTTCTTTTTTTTTGACGGAGTTTTTGCTCTTGTTGCCCAGGATGGAGTGCAATGGCGTAATCTTGGCTTACCGCAACCTGCTCCTTCCTGGTTCAAGCAATTCTCCTGCCTCAGCCTACTGAGTAGCTGGGACTACAGGCATGCATCACCACACCCAGCTAATTTTGTATTTTTAATAGAGACGGGGTTTGGGCGTGTTGGTCAGGTTGATCTCGAACTCCCAACCTCAGGTGATCTGCCCACTTCAGCCTCCCAAAGTGCTGGGATTACAAGTGTGAGCCACTACACCCGGCCTCCTCATTGGTCTTTATTGATGACTTCCATCATTTTTTTGATACTGTTGTAATTGAATTGTTCTTTTTATTGGGTTTTAAACTAAACTCTTAATCTTTTTGAAGGATTTTACATTTTGTATGCTATTTTATTAAACCAGCTTTAATCTGATTAAGTTTTCCTCTTTTTAAAAAATTTATTTCATTTATTTAAGTTTAAAGACTTGCTATATATTTCCTTATTTTAGTAATTCAAGGCTACTTTTTCCCTCTACATATGGCTTTTCCCTTTTCTTTCCTTTTTTTTTTTTTTTTGGTTTGCCTTTCACAGATCTTCATAAGTAGTGCTCCTCTTATTATTCATTTCTGATTTGTAATCTTTTCAGTAATTTTTTGAAATTAGTATTTTACTTTCTAGGTGATTACATTTTAGAATCAAGCCTTTTGTTTTAAATGTTATTCTAAATTTTATAGCATTGTGATTTTTGTTTTCTTTAGTTTATCTTCTAGTATTGTTGAATTCAGTATCTCTTTTTTATGTCAAATTTTTTAAGTACCTGATGATCTGGAGAAATGTTTCATCTTTGCATTTGAGGTTGTCAATTTGTTTATCCGTTTTCAGAAACTGTTGGCACAGGATGCATTTGAAAGGAGGCAGGATGCAGAGTCAGTCTCCTGTGGGGCTGGGAGAAGGGAAGCATGCACAAATGGCTGCTGCATGGCCGACTCTCTCAGATCCCAAACGGCTGCTGCATGGCCGACTCTCAGATCCCAAACGGCTGCTGCATGGCCGACTCTCTCAGATCCGAAATGGCTGCTACATGACCGACTCTTGGATCCTTAATGGCTGCTGCATGGCCAGCTCTCGGATCCGAAACGCTGCTGCATGGCCAACTCTCTCAGATCCAAAATGGCAGCTGCATGGCTGACTCTCAGATCCAAAATGGCTGCTGCATGGCCGACTCTCTCAGATCCAAAATGGCTGCTGCATGGCCGACTCTCGGATCCGAAATGGCTGCTGCATGGCCGACTCTCTCAGATCCAAAATGGCAGCTGCATGGCTGACTCTCAGATCCAAAATGGCTGCTGCATGGCCGACTCTCTCAGATCCAAAATGGCTGCTGCATGGCGGACTCTCTCAGATCCAAAATGGCTGCTGCATGGCCGACTCTCTCAGATCCAAAATGGCTGCTGCATGCCCGACTCTCTCAGATCCGAAATGGCTAGTGCATGGCCGACTCTCGGATCTGAAATGGCTGCTGCATGGCTGACTCTCGGATCTGAAATGGCTGCTGCATAGCCGACTCTCAGATCTGGGGACTTCCTGTGTCTAGGCAGTACCCTTTTCAACAAACCAAGAACCAACATTCACTGCTTTCACCTGAAGGAAGGGAAGAGGGATGTGAACAGGCCAAACTGAATGGTTGTTTCCTTATAAATAGTCCCTTTATTAGTCGTCCTGGTCTCCTCCTGCTTCTCTCAAGTATAGAACACCCTTGGGACCTCTTCCACCTTATATATGAGTCCTACATTTTAAGGGGTTATATATGATTTCATCAATGGGAAACCCCACTGTTATTTATCTTCAAAGACTCTTTGTGGTCTCTGATCTTCTGAAGACTCCACATATATAGTGCAATTATGTGTGTGTGTGTATGTGTGCATATATACACACATACATCTTCTGTATTTTCTATAGGTATTTGATCAAGAAAGAAAGGCTACTCTATATATTTAGCTAGCCATCATATATTAACATGGACTGTGTGAAACCATAGCACATAGCCTAAGTGCATATGTTGGACATGAGAAAAGATCTCAAATCAATCATCTTCATCTCTCCCTGAAGAAACTAGACAAATAAGAGCAAAATAAACTCAAAGCAACAAGAAGGAGAGAAAAGATAAAGATCAAAGTGGAATTTAATAAACTTTAAAATCAATGAAACAAAAAGCAGATCCTTCCAAAAAATAAGGAAATATGATGTCAAATGCTTATAAACTCACAATTTAAAAGAAATGGACCAACTCCTTGAAAATCAAAAACTACCCAAACACCATCAATAAGAAATAAATAATACGAAGAGCCCTAAAACCTCAACCAAGTCATCATAAGTCAATATCAACAGTGATAAATGATGTTGACAGTATGTAGCCTTGAAATGATGTGGTCTTTCTCTCCAAAAGGCATGTCTGCAGTGCAACCATGGTAAGAACATCAAACAAACCCAAATCGAGGTGTTGGGAGCTGGGTCATAGAAGCTGATTGGAGAAGGCCTAGATCTTCTTCTGTGACTGCCTGAATATGCGTCCCTTGAAATGATGTGGACTTCCTCTCCAAAAGGCATGTCTGCAGTGCAACCATGGTGAGAACATCAAACAAACCCAAATCGAGGTGTTGAGAGCTGGGTTGTGGAAGCTGGTTGAAGAAGGCCTAGATCTTCTTCTGTGACTGCCTGAATATGCGTCCCAAGAACTTCCACTTTCAGTTGTTCCCAGTGACAGCACAAGGTGGACCTGCTTGTTCTGCAGCTCACTAGGTGTCTGTCCAGTGAGTGACAATCTGTCTCCTCACCTTTCAGGAACCCTCAAGTTCAATGAAGTATTCTCTTAACCCTCTTATGAATTTCTGGGGATAAAGAAAAACACTTCCCTTTTCCACTGTGAGGATGTGGCTGCCTCTCACTGAAAGTGCTGCAGCCCCAAGACTGCTTTGTAAACTGTTCTCCCAGTTCTTCCACTGGGCCTGGGGAGGTGGGGCCTGGTGGGAATAGGACTCCTTCTCCTACATCTTCATAATTCTGTGGAGATGTAAATGGGGCTTGTTGATAGCTTTTTAGAATTTGAGGATAATGGGCACCTTGGCTTTAGAGGTGGGGCCTGGTGGGAATAGGACTCCTTCTCCCACTTCTTCATAATTCTGTGGAGATGTAAATGGGGCTTGTTGATAGCTTTTTAGAATTTGAGGATAATGGGCACCTTGGCTTTAGCCTTGCATCTCAGCTGCAATTTCAGGACAACAAAGAAAGTCCCAATTAACATTCCACTGCACTTAAATTTTAATTATATGTGCTGCTACTGGCTTTAGCTATCAATTATGATTCCATGTTTTTACCCGTAATACTACTTTAACCTGCACAACTAGATTTGTGTATTAGTCTTCTCAGACTACCATTAAAAAAAAAAATACCCACAAGCAGATGGGCCTTAAACAACAGAAGTTTATGTTCTCACACATCTGGAGACCAGAGGTTCCAGACCGCGGTCCAACAGGGTCAGCGCCTGATGGGTTCTCTTCCTGGCTTGCAGACGCAGCCCTGTCACTATGTCCTTATATGGCCTTTCCTTGGGGTGGGCATAGGGGTGGGAGTCCTTGGTGTCTCTTCTTCTGAAAACACGAATCCAACAGGACCAGGGCCCAGCCCTTATGACCTCCTTTAATCTTAATTACTTATTTAATGGACGGAGGCCATATCTTCAAACACAGCCACTAACAAGCAGGCCACAACATCCTGTTTCATAACTTGGTGGCCACATCTCTATTCTGTCTCCACTATCATTTCTGGCCCCTTGATTCCAAAGCTTTTGGTCTTCAGTATGTCATGCAAGCTTCCCACAGCAGCTCCATCCAGAGTTGGTGCTCAAATGTTATTAAAAGGGCTGATAATGCATTTGCCAATGTTCTTCCTGTTGCACTGGGAAAAGGTGTACATGACTATTTGACTTCAAGCCATTTATGGTGGTGACACCCAATATGAAACTGCAGCATATTTCCCAAAGAGATGACTTTACAGTAATTAGGCTGAAAATTTAAGCAAGCTTTTTTCCAAAAACTCAATGTTTCATTTAGCAATATTAACTAATAAAGTTTACATTTTTAAAAATTCTGTTTGCCAAAGAGTATCATTAAAGATAACACACAGTTTTGTCTGTTATTTACGGTGCTTTCATTAGCCATCTCACGAGTTGAGGTGAGTATTTCTGACTCACTCAATTTCTTATTTCTGAGGTGGTTCACATGAGAACGTGCATCGTGGGGCTGTGGTACAACTTCTTATTTTTAAAAATTCTTGTGTGACTTTTTTTTCTCTTCTTTTTGTCTCGAGCACCTTGGGAGAGCAAAGATATAATACTGGTAATGAGACAGGAGGAAACATCACAATAGGACTACATAATGCAACCATTTTTTTCATTCTTTCTCATCATCTTACAGAATTTTTCCAACTCTTTGATATTTACATAGACAAAACATTGTAAATAAAATTGTGTATTGTTTTACATTATATCATTTTATAAACATTTTGCCTGAGTCCCTCCTTGTGGTCACTAATGTTTTCAATATTTCATTTACTGCTTATTTCTTATTTTTCAATATTTCCGTTGCTTCCCATTTTTAACTATTGTAAATAGTATTACAGTGAACATCTTTATGATATGGAACCATATTTCTTCTTTTTTCAGATTACTTCTATTATTATGGATCATCAGGTAAATTTCTCAAAACGGAATCACTAGGTCAAAATTCTGAAGTATCCTGTGGCTCCTAATGTACAGGAAGAAATATTTTCTAAAACAGTGTGTCTCTATTCTAGCATTTCAGAACAACTCAACATTTCTTGCTAATTATTTGTAGATGAAAATGGAAATTTTTCATTAATTCTTTAGCTACTAGAAGTTGGTTCTCAGCTGGCTCACTTCACTTCTCCTTCCTCTTATGTGACTTGTGTCCTCATTTCATTCCTGATTTTTCTACCACAGGCTTCTTATTTTTAGAAATCAATTTATATAAGAATGATGTTAATTTATGGCTACATTTGCTTCCTCCCATATTTCTTTTTATTTCAGTTATTGATTTTGAGTCCACCGAGAAATTTCTGTAACAAATTACCTGTTCCTTATGGGGGATGAAACCGCTACCTTTGTCCTCATTACAGGGACAGTCAACTGACTTCAGTAATGTCAGTGTATACGTGAGAGCTACAGCATAACATGGATAGACCTGCTGGTGTCACAGTTCTGTCTTCAGCACCCCCAGATCTGTGCAGTTTCCTAAAGTGCATCATTAGCCACTAAGCCAACCCATCAGAAGCCTTCTGCTCTCCTCCACATATTTAGCTGACTACAAAATTTTTTTCACTTTATGCAAAGATACAACACAAATCCAAAACCCCTTAATAGAACACATGCAATACAGTAAATTATGGTTGGGAATCCACTGTCAACTTTTAAATTGTATCCATACAGTACAATTCTCAACCTTAGCATAGGGTGAATGATGTGTTTTGGGCAACATACAAGCCATTGTGAGCCATTCATTCATTGTATTGCAACTTTCTTCCTGAGCCCTGCAATGTAACATAAACTTCTGAGTAATGAATTTAAGTGGAGACTGTTAGTGACTCTATAATATTTAGAAAGCAAACCACTCTCTTTCAATAGAGAGACTACAGAGGAGGTTTGATAAATAAGCCCCTGCATTCTCCTTCTCACCTGCCCAGTCCTCACAGGCAGCTTGTGTACAGTAGTATATTGCCTGTGATGTCAAACTAGTAAGTTCATATAATTTTTTTCTGCGTATCCCACAATTTAACCCTGATACACATATATTTACTTTGTCTTTTTGCACCTTTGCCACACATCCAACTTTTTTTATCATTTACATTATTGAAAACAATTTTCTGAAATATTCCAATCTTTTGATTAAAAGAAAAAATATTTTATGACATTCCTTGTTGTTCTTACCATGTTATGCCAAATCTTTATGATACTGCATACTGAATCAACGGATGAAAAGAATAAATCCTCTATGTGCTGCAGAGAAAAACACCTAAAGGGCTGAACCAACTTCTGTCTTTTCACATGCACGTTTAGGCTACATACAATTACAGACTTAAGTCTGCAATTTGCCTGCATCAATAAGCATCTGATATCTGCTTATTGATTAGACAAAAAGAAAACATTACGCAGAGCAATCTCCGCAAACTCCTACATCTAAAGACAACTTGATACCTCTTTCTGGTTCAATATCTTATCCAAGTGCCCACTCCAAACATCCACAGGATGGTCTAATAGTCACCTAAGCCTGATCCAAACTCTTGTCTCAAAACTTGCTTCTTCCCCTGCTGTCTCCTTCCAGATAAATTGCAAGACATTGACCCTGTTGCTGCAGCCGAAATCCCGGGCATCAGACGTGACTCCTCTCTACTAGCCTTCATCCAAGCTGTCAGCAAATCCTGTTGGTGCCGTCTTCTATTCCAAACATGCCATTACTCGTTCCATCGTCCAAGCCTCCTTCGTCTCTTGCCCCAGGATCACACAGGTGTCCCTGCGCCCTACTCTTCTCTCCCTCTATCACCCATTGTCGACCGTGCAGCAGCGAGTGATCCTTTCAAAACTAAAACCAGAGTCCTTCATCATTTTACATCCTTTATACTTTTTCCCTAATCTTCATGTCTTTCTTTCAAAACCAATAAATTTTGAATAGTTTAAGGTTAGCTTAGCTAGCCCAAGCCTGGGTTCTATTCTCACAGCCTCCTTCTTGCTCACGCTTTTCCTGCTGCACTGCCTGTCTCGGGAGTTTGTGAACCCAGCAAACTTGCTCCTACCCAGGGCGCTGGGTTTGCAGCTCACGGGTATTCCCAGGGCTCATTCTCTTAGCTTAGTTTAGATCTATGAGCAAATATCACTGCCTCTACGAGACTTTTCCTGATTATCCACTAAAAAATTCTACCCCCATAACTCTTACTTGGCTTTATTTTTTCTTTCTGACACTTATCTGATATTAGAGTATATGTTTGTCTCTGTTGCCAAAATGTACACTCCAGAAAGGTGGAAAATTTGCCCGTTGCTATATCCTCAGTGGCTAAGACAGATTTCGGCATGTGGCACGGGCTTGATGAGTGTTTGTTGAATAAATGAACTATACATATAATTAATCTTATTTAAATAACATTGATATTTTACGCTTCTAGCTGTTATCCTCTTGTAAAAAGACTTGCTTGTTCTTACCCCAATTTGTAAAACGTGACTGATTCTCCTTCTTTCTTGCCATGTAATTCTTATCTCTGTTTTCCCAGTAGATGAGACACCCTACTATGTGGGAACTCTCAGGATAAATTTAGGGTAAACTGATCAGTGTTGGAGATTCAAATTGGGATAGCTGAGTTTCTTAAGTGGGAAGAATTGGGTGATTCTAGTTATTCTGTTCTTGTCCCCACTTCAGTCCTCTGTGGTTGGTCCATTTGGTAGAATGCACATTAAAATGGTTATCAAGTATTCTCTATTTCAGCCTAAGGATGCCTTCTGTTGAATTTTAAAGGCAAATTAAAGAGGCGACATTTCCCCTTCTGTAATCACCAAGTAACATTGCTTTGGCTTTCACTTACTGAAAAAGAAACAGAATTCCATTTGTTTCTCACTAAACACACTTGAAGATTGTCCCTTGAGTGAAATGAATGAAATCAGTGTTGTTATTTGTTTAAAAGGTAGTTATTGAAAGAAGTTTCTGTTGCTATTACCAATAAATTTGTGTCTCTGGAACCATGGAGAGATTAAAAATCAAAACCCAATAGGAGAGTGTGAGCCCTAGGAAGTATTACCTGGTCTTCTGGCTTTCAACAAAGCAGGACTTTGCCTTTGATTACTATCAGCAACACGAGGTTTTAAATTCTAGTAATATCCTCTGTTTTTCCATAACACCAGTCCAGGCACAATTTTACAGGGTATTGCTGTGTTATTAGTAGAGAGGTGAGATTATTAGGGTATCTTAGCCCCTTTTGTCTGGATAAGATTGTGCCAGTTGTTACTAGAAGTTAAATGTTACCAACAGATGGTAGACATGTCACCTTTCTTCTGAGCAGCATCTCTCAATTAGTAGGGTCACAGCAAAACTTTTTATGTCAATCAATGTATGCTGTATATATTTCCCATATGCTTCCTTCCTCATTACCAGAGTACATGAGACCAGCAACCCTCACTGCATTAGTCTGTTCTTGTATGGCTATAAAGAAAGACCTGAGACTTGGGTAGTTTATAAAGAAAAGAGGTTTAATTGGCTCACAGTTTCACAGTCTGTACAGGAAGCATGATGCTGTCATCTGCTCAGCTTCTGGAGAGGCCTCAGGAAGCTTCCCATCATGGCAGAAGGTGAAGGGGGAGCAGGAGCAAGAGAGAGAAGGGAGGAGGTGCCTCACACTATCAAACAACCAGATTTTGTGAGTGCTCACTCACTATCATGAGAGCAGCACCAAGGCAAAGGTGCTAACCCACTCATGAGAAACCACCCCCATGATCCAACTACCTTCCACCAGGTCCTACCTCAACACTGGGAATTACAATTCAACACAAGATTTGGGTGGGAACACAGATGGAACCCATATAACTCACCCAACCCCTAAATCTCTTACAAATACATCAGCTTAAGTGGTTCTGTCATTTCTCATGAGGCAAATCTGATTACTAACTCTCCACACTGACTGCTCTCTCACTTGTTCGTGTACAATTTGGATCATGACCAAATCCTGGAAACGAGTTGTAGAGAATACGATTCCGCCATCCATGTTCCTTACCGCAAGTAAGGGAACAATAAATGCTCACCGAGTATTTTTTGAAACTGAAGTCAAGTAACACAGAGCTAATGCCATCTTCCCAGTCTCAAAAGTTCATTGTTTCAGGGTCATTTTTTGGGCAATTTTCTGTATCCTCTATATTTCTTACATGCTATCTTCATAATATTTCTATATGTTTTTATAAATATTTTATCTCTCCATCTTGTAATGTATTTGAGACTGAATGAGGGAGGCCTGAGGCAGATTTCCACCTGTTCCTCTCACTAGCAATAGCCATCCATTCATCCATCCATCCATCCATCCGTCCATCCATCCATCTGTCCATCCATCCGTTCATCCGTCCATCCGTCTGTCCATCCATCCGTCCATCCATGCATCCATCCATCCATCCATCCATCCATCCATCTGTCCATCTGTGCATCCATACATCTCTTCAACAAATACATATCAGTCAGTTCCTATGCAACAAGTACTATGTTACAAGCTTGGGGTAAAAGAATGCACAAATGAACATAGTCCCTATCCTCATGAAAGTGTGTAAAAATTATCCGGCCGTATGGAGATGACAGTGCCACAGAATATTTCTAAATGGTCACTTAATCAATGTTGATAAAATACTTAGCACAGCAACTAAGATATTACAGAAAATTAAAAAATAATATTTTTTAGTGCTCAGATAATTAATTTTATTTTTTCTTGTTATAAAAGGAAATAATTTCATGATATGGCATTACTGCTGTGTACAATTTTAGCAGCATTTCACACTTTTTAATAGATGCTAAACTGTTCTCTCTCTTATATTTACTAGATTTTGCCTTCAACATTGGTGCCAATAATTTTGTTCAACTTTACTGTGCCTATCCTTGTCATCCTCCTTCCATTTTACCCATTTATGTTGATATAACTTTACCTTTTATACCCATCTTACTTGTTTTCTCCCCAATGTATGGATTTGCTTTTTAGTATCAATTTAATTTTTGGATTTTATTTCACAGCCATATTCCATTACAAGTAGTCCAAATTAATTTTATGCATAGTATTCTTTCTCACAAATAATGCCAAATTAAATGTATCATCTTCTATCTATTATTATAAGGTTGGATTGTTCTCTTTTTTCAGTATTTTGGCATTCTATTTATCTTATTTTCTTTATCTTCTATATTTTCAAGTTTGCTGCCCCATCATGGATTTGATTTGCTTTTCTAATTTTATACCCAATTGCATTCCTGACTTTCTATTTTTCCTTTTTCCAACTTAGTTCCATTTTTCTTTACTATTTCCATATGTGCATGCTTCTTTTTGAGATACGAAGCATATGTCCTCTAAATTTTCACCTTTTTTTTTTTTTTGGTAGAACATCATTTTTAGTAATATACGTTCTTTTTCTTATTCCTCTGTTCCTTCTGGGAAGTTTTCCATTTCTTAGGTCCATGTATTCATTTTTTTTCTGTTAAATATTCTTGAGCATGATAGATACACTTAGGCATGTGCCAGCAAACAATTTGGGCTTCATGCACATGTCCCCTCCTACGTTCCACCTGGGTCTTAGGTTAATACAATGGTCCCTTTCTTAATATACAGTGGCAAGTACGAGATTGCTAGAGGAGACTGCACATCCCCTTACCCTGCCTGTGGCATTTCCATACCACATTAGGGAGTTTCGCATTTGTCTTGGGAGAGTAGAAGCATGTCTCGATCACAGGGCGGCACACAATGCCGCGACCCTCCTCCTGATCTGGGCTTCCATCACAGTTCCTTCCCTTAGACTAAGAAGCAAATCTAGTGGATGGATTTTCACCTACCTTTCCTACTGACTTTTCATATGCTATTTAAAAACATGTTGTTGAGGAGAGCTTTGGGGAGTTCAAATCACCGAGGTGTATGAACAGTTTTTTGGGTTTTTTTTTCTAATTCTTAATTCTTCATGGTTACCTTTAGTTTCTTAGACAATTAATCTATACCAAGTTTCATTTTCTTCATTTGCTATCAATCAACAGATTCTCTCTTAGCCTTAGATTCCACCCTGTCATTCTTTTATATTCATTTACTATGAGTATCCAGATGTATATTATTCTATATCAAAACTCCAAATGCTGATTAGTCATTTAAGACACAATATATACCATAAACTAGAGATGCCTGTCTTAAATGTACAAAATTCTAGGACCAATGGCAAGCAGACCTCATTCTGACTTAGGCAGCTACAGTTATAATCAACTGAAGTGTCCACCAAGAAAATACAACTTAGTACGGTCTTCGAAGTGTCCTGGGGCCAGTGATCCCCCATCACACCAAAGCCATTCAGAATTCTAGAGCAATGATGTTGATAGTGAAATCTACGAGAGCTGCCCGTCTTTTCGTGGTCCTTGTGTCTCCTTTCCTTGATTGCTGTGGTTGATAACATACAGGAAAATTGACTGATATCGTTTATAAATGGACTTGGTCAGTTTACTTTGTGCACTTTCTCTTTATATGAGTCTGATAAGAATTGAAATGACCCAAAGTCAGATCTCATAAAATAGGTGACAGACAGTGGAAGAGGAAAGGGAAGAAAAGGATTATTTGCAGAGATGACTGACTGGTTTCTAATTTCCTTTTTTTTTTTTTTTTTTTTTTGAGACGGAGTCTCGCTCTGTCGCTCTGGAGTGCAGTGGCGCGATCTCGGCTCACTGCAAGCTCCGCCTCCCGGGTTCACGCCATTCTCCTGCCTCAGTCTCCTGAGCAGCTGGGACTACAGGCGCCCGCCACCTCACCCGGCTAATTTTTTGTATTTTTAGTGGAGATGTGGTTTCACAGTGTTAGCCAGGATGGTCTTGATCTCCTGACCTCATGATCCTCCTGCCTTGGCCTCCCAAACTGCTGGGATGACAGGCGTGAGCCGCCGCACCTGTCCGGTTTCTAATTTCCTAAATGCATTCTCTGCTTGTATGGCCAGACAAATCAGATTCGACTTGCTGAAATCCAGTGGTTGTCCAGCAAAGGCATTTAGAATGGCCAAAAACGGTATAAAGAACTAACAATCTAATAGTTTTGTTTGCATGAATATCCTAGTGACCCTGATTAAGTGGTGCTCGATCCAGGGCAAAGATGGGTGGGTGGTTTGAATAAGATTGGTTAACCTACTGGCGATGTCTAGAACCTACTGGAAGCACCTCCCTGATACATTCAACATCTCCCGATGAGACTCTGTGTCTAAGAAACGTTGCATTTGTTAGTAATTCTAGCAAGAATATTGTCATGAACAATACTTTTTAAAAGGTAAGAACATTGGATTTTTCTCTTCCTTTAGTGTCATCTCATTTCTAATCATTCTGAGCCCTGGCCATGATTTATGAGTGATTTAGGTCTATGTTGGCCAAGCTGTTCTGTGAAACAAGATTGCAGAAAATGAGAAGAAGGGCTGGCTACATTTTATCCCTCCTCCTTAAAGTTACCCCACACGCGAAAAAGTGGGACTTCCAGGATACCCATTTAATTACGAGTTATTTCCATCACCTTAAAGCATGTCACCCCTTTTAATTTTTTTCTTTCCCACAGCAAAATTTCAGCATCTTACAAGGATTGGTCCTTGGAACAACTGTTTGCAAACATTGCTTGAGATGATTTGCATCTCTTCTCTGATTGGCTGACAAACGCAAGTAGCTGCAGTGACAGACTTCTCATTGTGACAGATGGGCCACAGTTATTTCCATTTTAGTCTGTTTTGTTTAGAATTTATGTTGACAAAAAGAAAAAAAAAAGAAAAAGGAAAGAAAAGATTTCCTGGAAACGGGGAGGTGTTTGTTGTGTTTCACAAGATGCCTGAAAGGCACAAGATTTCTTTCAACTTCAATCGTCGGAGGATAACACTGCCTGGGGGGCCGCAGAGCCGCAGTCTGGCACCGTGCAATGCAAATCAGCCTGGAGACTGACAAAGAAGAGACAGAAAATTGATATTCCACTAGTTTTGAAAAAGCCCAAAGTAATATTTACAAATAAGATTTTTGATGATGCCAAGAGGAAGATAGTTTTTTTAATAAAACAGAAAACCATAAATTCTCCTACCAGCAAACAAATGCAGTTCTCACAATGTGACTATTTTCAGCAGTCTTTTTTGGTGAATGCGCCCACTGCTCATTTGTGAAGGAAACACATATGGACCCATTAACTCGTGATATGGGATTTCTGGGTTAAATTGGGATTGCCAATGGGAAAATCATTTCCAGGTTCAGTGGTTTAATTTCTGGTTGACAAGACTAAGTTTATTCAAAGCATAAATGAGGAGGAGGGGGATCTATGGAAGACCAAGGCATATAGGTTAGCAAAGTGCCTTACGCCATGCTCAATAAATTGTAGTTATTATTTGCAATTGTTATTTTTATTGTAAATATAAATTGCTACCCATCTTTTTTTGCTATTTTTTTTCTTTATGGGATAATTTGTAATTGTTTATCTGAAATTTTTTAGAACTCCATGTATTTCTTTTCTTAAAGCTTAGGAAATGTTTTATTGGAAATTTTTGATGTAGGTCCTTCTAAGGTTTAGGATATAAATATGAAAGTGCTTTTTCTTCACTTCGTTTGCAATTTTTAATTTACAAATTCCACAATCACATCCTTTTGAGGCTCCAATCACTTCTGTATCACAACAATCATTTATTTTTTGCTGAATTAAATCCTTAGAAAAAGCTTCCCTCATTATTCTCCTAGACTTCCCCGCCACCACCCCCCCCCCAGAGTAATAAACTGTGAGCATAGCAAGCAAAAATCTGTTTCTTTTTTAGCAGAGTGATTTTTTATTCAATGTCAAGACAGGTGAAATTTGCTTTCACTCCCATGGCAAACCTTACACAGTCCTGCTTTCTGCATTTCTTTTTAACTGCTGCCCACGTTCCCCTCCTGGTGGAGAGGCTGACCTCATCCCCACGGCCCCTCAAGAGCTCCATTCTATCCTCTTCTCAAGCTTCTTCACCACCAGCTCATCTTTAACTTCTTCATTCTACCATGTTTTAAAAAATTAATGTTTGAAACTTTTTATTTTGAATCATTTGTAGAATCACATGCATTTTTTCAGAAATAATTTAGAGATCTTGTATACTTTTTACGTACTTTCCCCCAGTGGTAATATCTTAACCAAACTATAGCACAATATCACAACCAGGAAATTGACATTTACTCAACCTGCAGGCATAATCCAGGTTTCTTCCCCTCCCCACCCCCCGCCCCCGCCCCACAGGGCCCATAGAAAAACTTTGGGAATTCTTTCCCTCCATATTTTGAGTTTGAATTAGTGCCTTTAAGAGTCTGGGATGAAAAAGTAGGAAACGGAATAATACCATATGATCAACATCCTGGAAGGACTATGGCTGTGACCTAAGTAGGGGAAGTTTTGCTGTAAACGTCCCCCGCCAGAGCGGGCCTGGGAGGATTCGGAATTCCTAGTACCTGGCTATGACCCAGGGCATCACTCACCTGTAGCCAGCAAGGGGATCTCTGGGTGACGGTGTGACAACCTAAGATAATGCTGCCCTAGAGGTGGTACACTAGTTTCCTAACCCCAAGGCATAGCTTATTTCTGCAAGTTCTCAACTGTTCTGAGCAATCCAAAACAACTATAGGCAACAAGTGTACTGGTTTTATCAGCAAAAGGGCGGGACTTGGAGCCCATCCTTCTAAGAGGCTTCCATCTTCATAAACTGTTGCTGTCTCAGCAGTGTCTCAGAGCTGGGTCTCTGAATACAAATGGTGACGTCTTCTATCAGCCCAGAGTTCACTGGTGATCTCTCCTCTCAGATAAATGCAGAGACCTCTGACTATCCTAGTTATTGAGAAGAAGCGGGTATTGCAAGATAGGAACTAGGCACTTGTAAGTGTTGATGTGTGGAAATGCAGGGGACCTTGTGCTGGGCGTCAAAGAAAGTGCAGAAATGAGCAGCTGCTACACATGTTCAGCTTCCTAGAAGCAGTCTGTTTGGGATGCACACAGTGGCGATATTGAGATTCTACACATGACCTTGCATACAGGGACTTTAATGAAGCAATGCCCTAAACTACGTGGGCTTGGGAATTACTCAAAACACTGGGAACAGTGGAAGAGGTGATCATTGATTGGTTGTAGGGTTGCAACTAAATGATGTAGTGGGAGAATCTGACACCAAGGGATGTGACCCTTATTTAGGGCGACTTGTGGGGCTGTGGAAGAGAAAACTTAGACTTAAAAAAATAGTCTTTTCCAAAATAGAACAGGCCCTGCATTTTGAGGCAACCGTCCATCAGATTCCATGGCTCTAGGCTGTGTTGCTGTAGCATTTCAAATTCAAAGCAATTCAAAGGAATTTCCAGCTACAATTCAAAGGAATTTCCAGCTAGACCTCAGACACAGCACTCAGCACCAGGTGTCACAATGAGCTTACAGGGTTCTCTGAACACCTGGAACCTTCCAGAGCATATGCCCACTGTCTGTTCTGAGATGGCTAAGTTTTCTTCGTGCTTGAACTGAGGCCTTGGTTACTACACTCTCATGACCATGTCTGGAACAAATGTTTAAGGAAGCAGTCCACACAAGACTCTCAGGATGGCATGGCTGAGAAGATGCCCATTATATAAGAAACTGTAGAGTGAATAATGTTGGAATTTTAGTTTTTCAATTTCAACATAAAAGCAGAAGGGGATCGTATTTTTGGGCTTTGTGGTTTGTTTTTGTTTTTTTTTTTTCTGAGAATTTTATAATGGGAGGTGGTCTACAGTCGGGTCTGGGGCATTTGGTGCTGCTGCCACTGCTCTGACGTCTCAGGAGTGGTTGGTGGAGGGTGCAATTGGTGGAGGGGGCAGTGCCTGTCCATAGTGGGGTGGGGCCTGTCTGTGATAAGGCAGAAACAGGGCAGAAGATTCGGCAGAACATGGTTCAAAACAGCGGTGAAAGAAAAATAAAGAATTCCATCACGGGTATTCCATCCACCGGGATGCACCTTGTTACAACTGGGTCCAATCCCGTCACAGTCAGGTGCCGCCTGTCCTTCTGCTAAGCCCTTCTCCCCTCTCCCTGTGCTCCTGGGACTTGCATGTGTACTCACAGGGTTCCTCCCACCGTTATTCAGACCTCCGCTCATTTTATTTCCTTTCTCTCTTCCTCATTATATCCAATGGTGTTTGTGACCCTTTCTTTGTGGTCCAGCCGAAATGCTGTCTATTCCATCACACCTCTGATAGTCTATTTATAAGGCATCTCTCTCCTTTTAACTTCTGTGTCCAGTTATCTATACCCTTCTTGTGGTACATATCCCTTTATATATCCCCATTGTCATTATTTGTTAAACTTAATATCTTCTTTACTAGGGAGAAATTCTTCAAAGTCAGGATATATATCTATAGTAGCTTTGCAGGTCATAATAACAATAGCAAGTCTGTGAGATTTATGTCCTTCCAGATAGTAAGGCACAAAAGCCCATTGTGAGTTGCTCCAGTGATGTGATGCTGGTGAGAATGGACAGAGTGACACAGAAGAGCAAGAACCCCCCAGGCAGCCCCTCGGTGGAAGGGAATGTGGTTGCCAGCAGCGGATCCAATGGCCCACGAGTGCCATGGTGCTGGGTTTGCGTCTTTCCTCTGCCACACAAGCCATCTTTACAGCCCCTGGCGCCCCCTGGCTGCTGCTTCATGAGTGACTTCTGCTCACCACCTGCTCTCTTTGTTCTCTTAGCAGCTGTGTTTTCCTGTCATCTCCCTCCCTGTCTATGCTACATGCCTCTTTCCTAAAGAGAGGGTCAAACTGGGCTGGCCCATGTCATCCAGTATGGAGCAATCCTCTTCTGATGAGCGCTCTCGCCTTGCCTCACTGGATCCATAAGCAAAAGCTGCTTTGTCCATCCTCTTTAACACAATGAGACCACAGCAATGAGGCCAAACCCACAATCAAGTGATCCAAGCTTGATTACCAGGGGTCACAGACACCTCCACAAGTTACTATGGGCATAGCAGCTTTCTTATGTTTCCTCAAAAATGAGTATTGTAATATTTCCTGGCCTCACTGTTACGATAGCATTTTGGGTATCTACTGTGAACCAGTTATCATGCTAGATACATCCAAATCAATCTCTCACTTAATACAACATCCTTAATGGATCAGGTACATCTGGCACTGTGACTTCCTCACAGAGAATAAGTAGCTTTTCTAGTCACACAGTGGGTGGAGAAGGGCCAGCTCTAAGGTCGCTCTCAGAGTAGCCTTACTTAGGAATGCAATTGATCTCTCTATATCTGAAGTTCATGCCTTCCTGCATTGATGAATAATATGCTCTTCTCCTTCCCTTCTCCTGGAGCAATTTCTTTTTAATAGTCTTCTAATTATGAGCTCTTTAGCATCAAGTTTGTGTGAGAGTCGTGTCTTATACTACCTTGGGCTAAACTGTGTTTAATTTAGGCTTTATACTGATATTTTTTCAAATTCTTTCTTATCTTCATTGTTATTTTCTCTTTAGGATCTTTTCCATTATTTTTATTCATTCTATGTCATAGCAACTTGACATAGAATGTCCTGTCCCCTGCCTCATGTTCAGGCTGGAGTCCTCGATCAGGTGCCTCCTCCTTCCTCTAAGTCCTTGTCAGATGCACCCGTCACTCAGACGCCATCAGCAGCGATCCAGAAGGCTACATGCTCCGGCTTTTATTTTCAATCTAGCTACACATATTCCACATCCTTTTTCCTCTTTCAAAGTCAATAAAAATAAGTTTCAGGATTTTTTAAGGTCTCTCATTTATTCTCACATGAATCAGCAGAGATGAGTAACAGTCATAGGTTTGATGAATCCTGGCAGTTCCTCCATCATCCCTGGGAAGAGAGAACCTCTCACTACCCATGTCAGGGCGATGCGTGCCTGCCCTCATGCCCTTCCTGGAAAATTGCAATGTCTCCCATTCCCGGGTGAATAACACATCCATGGAAACCTGGGGCTCTTTTCCCCTCGCAATGTGAGAGATATTAGGTCTTCATAAGAAACAGCTCTGTTCTGTGTGGCAAAAACCTGACTGATTATTTTCACTAAACTCTGAGCTTCCTATTGGCAGGGTGCTTGCATCCTCACAGCACTATTACAGTTTTTTTTAATAATTCTTTTCTGGATAATTTTCTCTAACCTAATTAGGAGCTCTTCTAAGAAAGCTCAAATAGACAGGAGCGTTGGGGAGAGAAATAAAGACAAAGAGAGAGAGAGAGAGTGAGGGAGAAAGAGAAGGAGAGAGCGATTTCTCAAGTCTTTGTATCTTCTGTCTTCATAAGACATCTTATTGGTAGTGACGGCTTTAAGCAGGAGATGTGCCTAACTTTCTGGTCAGTGAAAACATCTTTTCAAAAGCCCCAAATGTGGGATTGGAAATTGAATTAGAGTCTTTCCTTCCTCTACAAAACTTTACCTATATCTGTTCACCTTGGACTGTTGGTGGCTTTGGGGCTTTTGGAAACCTGTGTATGAGTTGGTCTGACTGTTCACCTTCCTCTCAAGATGCAGTGGTATTACACTTGCAAAATAGTAAACACTAGCAAACAAACAAACAAACAAAAAGCATCACATCAATTTTGCGCTCTGTGAGCAATCCAGCTTTGCACCTCACCCCTGCACATGGCCCTGCACACAGTGTGCAAGCAAGCTCACTTCTCCTCCAGACCATCTCAGTGTCCTTCATGGGCACCTTCCCTGCTGACCATCTCTGGTCCCTCTGAATGTCACAATAAGGCTGTAATTTAGTTCCTTAATCAATGACATTATATGGTTACTATGATCAAGTAGTTCAACATCTAATTTCCTAATCACCAGAATGTCAACATTTGTAGTTTCAGGGGGAAAGGGAAAAATAAAAACAACGACTATGGTAGTTTTGAGAAAATACCTATTCTAACAACCCGCTACTAGATATACGAATGCTATTTTTTGAAAATAATAAAAACACACCAAAGAAAAACCCCAACAAGCCCTTGAGGTGTACAAAACAGAATATTTAAGCTTATGAACCACAGTGAAAGTTTTAAAAGTTGTATTTCTAGTTGAGCTGACGTTTATTCCAGCCTCTGGATAATATTGAGTCAGAAATTCCCTGGAAATCCAGCATAAAATAATTAGATGAGCAGCATATCATGTATGTAGTCTTGTAAGAAGAAAATAGAAAGCTTGTTTAGCTTCCTTTTTATTGGTCTGATTTTTAAGCCCTTGGGTGTGCAAGATGTGGAATTAAAGTAAGTCCTAGAGAAGTTCTGAATACTGCTGTCCTTCCACTTGTCAATTACTTTAGGGTAGCGTGGGGTGGATAGAAATGTATCTGTTTGATTTTGTTCCTTCTCTTTCTCCAGGATTTCCTGAGTCTCCCGGTTATTCAACTAAGCACAGATTGCTGTTCATACAGATACATTGCCATGACTTCTGATTTGCTGGCTGTCACTCCCATTAATAACCGACTAGGCTGTCAGGCTGTCACTCTTTGTTGTTGTAACGATTTGTTTCATACAAGGGACTTGATTCATGAGGAAGAGGGGAAATAAAAACCCTACAGTTGTCCTGTTGACTTGGAGGTACACAGGGGTTATGGAAAAGCGTTAGGCAAGAACACACACTGCACTTTTATCCTCAAAAACTAATCACCAAGCACACAACTGGGATATTTTTAAGCTGAACAAATACTCCTCTTGGAGCTTGAAATTTGGTGGAATTCTGACCAGCTCTCAGGAATATTTCCATCCACAATCCTCAAGTAGCAAGTAGCTTTGTCTGACATAGCCCAAAGCACAGTTCTCCAAATGAAGAAAAAGACTTTGCTTTCTGGAGCACTCTGCCTGGCAGGGCCATCATTAAACACCCAAAGGTGGTGTGTGGGCAAGCCGCCTCCACGTGCCAGTCCCCTTGTGGGAGGCCTGGTTCTTTGAGAGCCCAGGTAGCAGAGGGTCTACTGAGGTCTAATTGCAGTGCCATTTTTCGTTCCAGTTTTCAGAAGAATTTTCACCTGTGCCTTTAAAGAAATGCAGACTGTGCTTGGTGACAGCCACAACAGGGGCCATCTGATGTCCTTGCCACCCAACGCTGCAGTTTCTCCAGTTCTAGCCCAGTTTCTCTGCTCCATTCAGCAGGGAATTCTCCAACAGTTCATGATGGAAGGAGGGGAGATTCTCCCTTCATCCCCCATTTCCGACAGAGAGGGTAAGAGGCCCTGCTTACAGGACAGATGGGTTTGTGAGTGTCACGGACTCCTGAGTGGTTGCTCAGCTAGCCAGCTCCTGCTCTGGGTGCCACAGCCCTACCGGTGGGAAGCCTCCCCTCCTTCCCCCCTTCTCCTGCACGCTGTCCTTCAGACAGTCCCACCTCTCTTCTCTTGGATGGACAGCCACTCTCATTTTCTCTTTCCCTCCAAGTAACACTGAATCCAAGAAAAGACCTCTCTTTCCAAGGAAGGCTGAGATGTGAAGTACTGCTCATCACCCATGACAGGTATCAAGCAAGCGAGTGACAATTTAAGGCAGAATGTAAAGCATTTCTAAAAGCCACGTGTATAATAGGCTCCATTCCTCACAGGTTCTCCAAATGCTCATGAGAAAAACTGGGTGGCGTGAAATAATGAAAACACAACAACAACAACAACAACAGAGAACAGTCCACAATGCTGCAGGCCTGGAGAAGGGGACTGGCCCCTGCTGTGGGGTAAGCACAACCTGCCCTGCCCCGCACACCTGCAGCTCTTTTCTATATGGAGCACAATCCTTAAGCTTCTGGTGAGAGGCAGCAAACACTGTTGTCTGCAGGCACAAGGAAAGACTCATTCTGGCTAGAGGAAGAATAAAGGTAACAAGAAATCTGCCAGGAGGGAGAGGCAGGAAACTGTCCTGGGCCCGTGGTCCTGTATCAATACCAGTAGAGGTATCAGAAGAAAGGCTGGAAACTCTCAAGCCCCACCAAGGGCACAAGGATGAGACTGGCTGCAGGAGGAGTGAGGTCAGTGAGAAAGCCCCACCCTGCAGGCTCAGGCACACAGGGCCCGTGAAGGCCAAGGCCCAAGGAGAACTCTGCAAGCCGGAAGTCAGCATGTGCCATCTTTAAAGCACTGGGGAAGAAAGAGAAACCGTGAACCTGGAAATCCACACCCAACAAAAATCTATCAAAAATGAAGTCAAAATAAAGACTGCTAAAGAGAAACAAAAGATCAAAGAGCTCAATACAAGCCAATCTTCAGGGAGAAGAAATAAGATACCAGCTAGAATCTTACAAAAGAACTCAGAACATGATTAAAATAAAGTTGATTTTTCTAATTTTCAGTCACTGGAAGTGATAACCATCTAGAGCAAAGCTAGTAGCTACGCAATGTGAGTTGAGGCATATGTAAAAGCAGAACGCATGACAGCAATACCGCATAAGACTGCAGAGTGAAATTAGAAGCAGGCTGGTGTAAGATTTTTATAGTACATGGGAAGCAGTGTGTTATTATATGAAGATATATTGTAACAAATTAAAGATACACATTATAAAGTCTAGGACAGCCACAAGATATATTTTTAAGATACATAAATAATGAATAAACAGTGGAGATGAAATTAAAACCTAACACAACTTGAGCCAAAAGCAGGTGAAAAGAGATGGAGAGAAATACAAGAACTGGTGGAACAAATAGAAAATATAAGAAATTAGTAGATACAAACATATTAATAATCATATAAAGTATAGACAGACTACACATACCAACTAAATACAGATATTCTCTGACTTGGGATAAAAAAGAAATATTCAACTACATGCTGTCAGCAAGGTGTATGCAAGGTGTCTGCAAGGTATCTTCACAGTGACTTAAATACAATGGCATAGATAGGTTAAAATAAAAAGATACAAAATACATTCCATGCTGACACTAATGAAAGTATGGCTATTATAATATCAGACAAAGTAAACTTTGAAAGAAGGGAGATTGCTATGGATAATGAGGGACCGTATGTTATGATAATGGGTCAACCATACATCATGATATATGAGTCAAGGTATCACAGTCTGAATGTGTATGCATGTAACAACAGGGCTTCAAAATACAAAAAACAAAGACTGAGTGAACTGAAAGAAGAAACAGAAAATCCAAAATTATAATTAGATTTATGGTGTCAGCTCCAAGATATAAGGAACTTGGCAGTCGCCACCCCCCAAATTTTACGATAAGGAAAAGCTGAACAAACTGAAAATTCACACCTTTCTTGGATCCATTAGCGCACTGAGTTGCAAGGCAAACTGTCATTCCAAAACCTGGAAAGCCCGAAGAGATATAGCACCTCAGTTCAGCTACCTGGAGCAGAAAGAAGCTACTGGAGGCCTTAAACTCCTAGGAGCACTTACTTGGTGAGCAATTGGGACCCGTTGCTGGAAGTTGGGAGCAGAATGGTGTGAGAATGAGAAGCCCCTGGGGCTGCAGACATACCAGGACTCATACACTCTTTAGGGCTTGTGAGTAGAATTCCCCAATATTTATAAAATATATGAAACCATAAGTCCAAGCCATCCAGAGATACCTAAGCAATATAATTATAATAAATGCAAGAAAAATGAGAACATTTTAAAAATAAAAGCAACACCATCACACCTAGATATGTCGTATTCATACTTCAGAAAACCAATCAGGAAGAATAATATTCTGAAGTTAGCCAGTTTACCTAAATCAAGGGGAAATGACAAATATAAAGATAAGAGCAGAAATCAATGAAATTGAAAACAGAAAAACAATAAAGAAAATCACCAAAAGCTGTTTTTTTTTTGTTTTTTTTTTAGAAAATCTATAATATTGATAAATCTCTAGTCAGTATAACCAAGAAAAAAGGAGAAAAGACACAAATTACCAGTATCAGGAATGAGGGGTGGGATTTCCCTACAGATCAAACATCATTTGAAAAAGAATAAGTGTAGAGGAATAACAACTTTATGCCCATAAATTCAGCAACTTAGATGCAATCGACAAATTCCTTCAGAGACACAAACTATCAAAGGTCACTCAAGAAGCCATGGATAAACCAAATAGCCCTGTATCTATTAAAGAAGTTGAATTCATAGTTAAGAATCTTCCCATAAAGAAAACTCAGACCCAGATGTTTTCATGAGTGGATTTCATTAGTCAATTAAGGCACAAATGCTACCAATTCAAAAACTTTCCCAGAAATTAGAATCAAAGGAAATACTTTTCTTTTTAAATAAATTTTAAGTCACATCTTTTTAATTTTATTTAATTTTGTTTTTATTTTTAACTTTTAAGTTTAGGGGTACATAAATAGGATGTGCAGGTTTGTTACACAGGTAAATGTGTGTCACGGGGATTTGTTGTACAGATTATTTCATTACCCAGGTATTAAGCCTAGTACAAATGAGACACATTAATTATTTTTTCTGATCTTCTCCCTTCTCCCACCCTGCACCCTCTGGTAGGCCCCAGTGTCTGTTTTCCCCTCTATGTGTTCATGTGTTCTCATCACTTAGCTCCCACTTATAAGTGAGAACAGGTAGTATTTAGTTTTCTGTTTCTGTGTTAGTTTGCTAAGGATAATGGCCTCCAGCTCCATCCATGTCCTGCAAAGGACATAGTCTCATTCTCATTTATGACTGCATAGTATTAATATTCCATGGTGTATATGTACTACATTTTCTTTATCCAGTCTATCATTGATGGACATTTGGGTTGATTCCATGTCTTTGCTATTGCGAATAGTGCTGCAATGAACATAAGAGTACATGTATCTTTATAATAGAACAATTTATATTCCTTTGGGTGTATACCCAGTAATGAGATTGCTGGGCCTAATAGTATTTCTGTCTTTAGATCTTTGAGGAATCACCACACTGTCTTTCACAATGGTCGAACTAATTTACACTCCCACCAATAGTATATAAGGGTTTCTTTTTCTCCACAACCTCCTCGACAGCATCTGTTATTTTTGACTTTTTTTCGTAGTTTTTTAATTTTTTTTGAGACAGAGTCTCACTCTGTTGCCCAGGCTGGACTGACTGCAGTGGCACAGTCTCAGCTCACTGCAACCTCTGCCTCCCGAGTTCAAGCAACTATCTGCCTTAGCCTCCCGAGTAGCTGGGATAACTGGCACCCACCACCACGCCTGGCTAATTTTTATATTTTTAGTACAGACCAGCTTCCACCATCTTGGCCAGCCTGATCTTGAACTCCTGACCTCGTGATCCATCCTCCTCGGCCTCACAAAGTGCTGGGATTACAGGTGTGAGCCACCACGCCTGGCCTATTTTTGACTTTTTAATAATGGCCATTCTGACTGGTCTGAGATGGTATCTCACTGTGGTTTTGATTTGCATAGGAAATACTTTTCAACTCATCTTATGAGGCCGAAATTATTCCGATACCCAAAGTAGACAAAGATCACAAGAACACTAGAGTCCAACATCCCTTATGAGCATATGGACAAAAATCCTCCAAAGAACAATTTAGCACACTTAATCCAGCAATAAATAGAAAGAGAATGTGTCATGACCAATAGGAGTCTACCCTAGAAATGTAAGATTGTTTCAACATTTGAAAATCAATTGATGTCATTTACCACATAAACACACAAAAGAAGGAAAACAATATAGTCATCCACAAATGTTGACATTCATTCACAATAAAATCTATCATTCTCAAGAAAGGGAGCTTCACCTGTTAAAGGGCATCTACAGAAAACCTAACGCTAAAATAGTATTTAATTGAGAAGGAATAAATGCTTTCCCCCACAGACTGGGAACCAGCAAAGATGACTGCTTATATGGTTTGGCAGTGTCTCCACCAAAATCTCATCTTGAATTCCCACATGTTGTGGGAGGGATCTGGTGGGAGGTAATTGAATCATTGGGGGCAGGTCTTTCCCATGCTGTTCTCATGATAGTGAATAACTTTCATGAGATCTGATGGTTCTGTAAGAAGGAGTTTCACTGCACAAGCTCTTAAACTCTTTTTTTTTTTTTTTTGCCTGCTGCCATCCATGTAAGACATGACTTGCTCCTCCTTGCCTTCTGCCATGATTATGAGGCCTCACCAGCCATGTGGAACTGTAAGTCCATTAAACTTTTTTCCTGTATAAATTACCCAAACTTGGGTATGTCTTTATTAGCAGTGTGAAAACAGACACACTGCTAATAAAGACAGACATGCTGCTAATAAATTGATACAGAGAGTGGGGTATTGCAGAAAAGATACCCAAAAATGTGGAATTGACTTTGAAACTGGGTAAGAGGCAGAGGTTGGAACAGTTTGGAGGGCTCAGAAGAAGACAGGAAAATGTAGGAAAGTTTGGAACTTCCTAGAGATTTGTTAAATGACTTTGACAAAAATTTGAACAATAAGGTCCAGACTGAGGTGATTTGATAGTGATTTGAACAATAAGGTCCAGGCTGAGGTGGTCTCAGATGGAGATGAGAGACTTGTTGGGAACTGGAGCAAAGGTGACTCTTGTTATGTTTTAGCAAAGTGGCTGGCACCATTTTGCCCCCACCCTAGAGATCTGTGGAATTTTGAACTTGAGAAAGATGTTTAGGGTATCTGGTGGAAGAAATTTCTAAGCCACCAAGCATTCAAGAGGTGACTTGGGTGCTGTTAAAGGCATTCAGTTTTATAAGGGAAGCAGAGCATAAAATTTCAGAAAATTATCAGCCTGACAATACAATAGAAAAGATAATCTCATTTTCTGAGGAGAAATTCAAGCCGGCTGTAGAAATTTGCATAAGTGACAAGGAGCTGAATGTTAATACCCAAGACAATGGGGAAAATGTCTCCAGGACATGTCAGAGGTCTTCATGGCAGCCCCTCCCATCACAGGCCCAGAAGTCTAGGAGGAAAAAGTGGTTTGGTGGGCTGGGCCCAGGGTCCCCATGCTTCATGCAGCCTAGGGACTCGGTGCCCTGCATCCCAGCCACTCCAACCACGGCTGGAGGGTGCCAATGTAGTGCTCAAGCCATGGCTTCAGAGGGTGCAAGCTTCAAGCTTTGGCAGCTTCCACATGGTGTTGAGCCTCTAGGTACACAGAAGTCAAGAACTGAGGTTTGAAAACCTCTGCCTGTATTTCAGAGGATGTACAGAAATGCCTAGATGCCCAGGCGGAAGTTTGCTGCAGGGGTGGGATCCTCATGGAGAACCTGTGCTAGGGCAGAGCAGAAGGGAAATGTGGGGTCAGAGCCCCCACACAGAGTTCCTACTGGGGCACCACCTGGTGGAGTTCTGAGAAGAGGGCCACTGTCCTCCAGATCTCAGAATGGTAGATCCACTGACGGCTTGCACTGTGCACCCGGAAAAGCTGCAGACACTCAATGCCAGCTAGTGAAAGCAGCCAGGAGAGGGTCTAAACCCTGCAAAGCCACCAAAGCAGAGCTGCCTAAGGCCGTGGAAGCCCACCTCTTGCATCAGCATGACCTGGATGTGAGACATTAGTCAAAGGAGATCATTTTGGAGCTTTAAGATTTGACTGCCCCACTGGATTTCAGATTTGCATGTGGCCTGTAGCTCCTTTGTTTTGGCAAATTTCTCCCATTTGGAATGGCTGTATTTACCCAATGCCTGTACCCCCATTGTATCTAGGCAACAAATAACTTGTTTTTGATTTTATAGGCTCATAGATGGAAGGGACTTGCCTTGTCTTGGATGAGACTTTGGACTGTGGACTTTTGAGTTAACGCTGAAATGAGTTAAGACATTAAAGGACTGTTGGGAAGGCATGATTGGTTTTGAAATGTGAGGACATGAAATTTTGGAGGGGCCAGAGATGGGATGATATGGTTTGGTGGTGTCCTCACCCAAATCTCATCTTAAATAACCACATGTTGTGGGAAGGATCCAGTGTGAGGTAATTGAATCATGGGGGCAGGTCTTTCCAGTGCTATTCTTGTGACAGGGAATAAGTCTGATGAGATCTGACGGTTCTATAAGGGGCAGTTTCCCTGCACAAGCTCTCTCTTTGCCTGCTGCCACCCATGTAAGACGTGACTTGCTCCTCCTTGCCTTCCTCCATGATTGTGAGGTCTCCCCAGCCATGTGGAACTGGAACTGTAAGTTCATCGAACCTTTTTTTCTATATAAATTACCCAGTCTCAGGTATGTCTTTATTGGCAGCATTAAAACAGACTAATACGACTGCTTTCACCACTCCAATTCAACATCACACTGATAGTCTGAGGCAATGCAATGAGGGAAGAAAAATAAATTACAAGTATATAGATTGGAATGGCAGAAATAAAACTTTCTGTATTCACAGGTAGTAATCTACTTAGAAAATCCCAAGGATCCTAAGAAAATCTTTTACAACTAATAAGTGAAATTTAGCAAGAACATTAGCTACAAGATCAATAAACAAACTAAATGCATTTCTATATCTCAGTAATGAACAAATGAAAATTAAAATTTCTGAAACAATATTTCTTGCAATAGCTCCTTGAAACATTAAAAACGTATTTTGTTATAAATTCAACATGATATGAGTAATATGACAAAATATGTGTATGACCTGCATGCTGTAAACTATACAACGTGAATGAGAGAAATCACAGATAAAGATAAAAAGTGAGATGGCATGTCCATGAACTAGAAGACCCCCTGTTGTTGATGTGTCAATTCTTCCTACACTGACTTACAAACTCAGTGCAATCCCAGTGAAAATCCTAGCAGGATTATTTTTAGAAGCGATTCTGAAATGTACACAGTTAAGCAAAGGAACCAGAACAACCAAAATAATTTTGGAAAAGAACAATTTTTGAGAGTTCAAATACCTAAATTCAAGACTTCATGTAAACCTACAGTAATCAAGACAATATGGTATTATGAAAAGGATAAACATGTGGATCAATGAAATAAAATAGAATCCAGAAACAGGTCCACATGTGCATGGTAAAATGATTTATGACCAAGGTGCAAAGCAATTTAGTAGAAAAGTAATTAGTCTTTTCAATAAATATGTTATGACAAATAGACATCTACATAAAGAAAACCTTGACCTCTCTGACACACCAGAAACAAATTTACCTCAAAATGAATCATAGAACTAAATGCAAAATGGAAAACTACAAAACTTCCAGAAGAAAACAGGCAAAAATCTTTGCCAGCTTAATTTGGGGAAAAAATTTTAGATGCAACATATAAAGCATGTTTCATAAAAATGTTAATAAGTTGGATATCAAAAAGTTTAAAACCTCTGCTCTCCAAAAGACACCATTAGCAAAATGAAAACTGTAGTCACAGGCTGAGAGGAATATTTGCAAAATACATATGTGATAAAGAACTTGTGTCTAGCATACGTAAATAATTCCCAAGTTTAATAATAAGGGAAAGCATACATAACAAAAAATGGATAATTCACCAAAGAAGACATATGAATGGAAAATAAATTCATGAAATGATGTCTAACACCATTAGTAAACAGAGAAAGCGAAGTAAAACCACAACGAGATTCCACTTCACACTCATGAGAGTATTTCAAAAAGAAACCTGAAATGCCAAGTGCTGGAGTGCTGGTGAGGACAAGAACTCCTGAAATTCTCATTCGTTGCTGGTGGGAACATTACTGATATGGCCACCTGAAAACAGCTTGACAGTTTCTCAAGAAGTTAACCGTACACTTACCTTTTGACCCAGCAATCCCCTCCTAGGTATTATCCTAGAGAAAAGCAAGTTATGTTCCTACAAATACCAGTGCACACATGTTCAGAGTAGAATTATTCACAATCGCTCCATCTGGAGCCAATCCAAATGTTCTTCAACTGGCGAATGGATAAACAAACCGTGGAGCATCCGTAGAAGAAAATATTCCTCGGTGTAAATAGGAACCAACTACTGAAACACACGATGACACAGATGACCCTTAAATGCATCATGCTGTGAGAAAGAAGCCACACCCCAAAGGCTACATACCATATGGTAATTCTATGACATTCTGAAAAAGATAAATTATAGAAACAAACCAGTGCATGTCAGGGGGTGGGGCCAGGGTAAGGGTTCACCACAGAGGGGCACAAGGAGACTTTTGGGAGTGAAGGAAACGTTCTGCACCATATTTTAATTGTAGTAGTGGTTATATGGCTGCATTAAATCAGCTAATAAAACCATACACTAAAAGGAAGATTCTATTTTGTAAATTATAAATCAAATACACTACATTTTAAAATAATTAATGTGAACTTACTGTTTGTTGTAGCTTAGACAAAACTTTAACCGTTTGATACATTTTAATAAAATAGATGAACAACAAATATAATTTCTGCTTTAAAAAATGGAATGTAACAAACTGGAGAAATTACTAATTAGCTAGTGTCAGGACACATACTTGTGTTGCTATGTCTCATTTAACTATACGTGACTGTCCCTCCCTGTCACCACTGCATGAGCTTGCAGCCCTTACAAGTGTAAGCGCCTGTATTTGTTTCCAATTGAATGACAGTAGTAGAGAAAGGAGATATTATCCACCTGAACATCTCTTATAAGAGTGAATTTACAGTTTTATACCTACAATGCTTAGGTATTTTTAACTCCTTGCCATATTCAGAAGCTGCTGTTTAAAAAAGATCCTTGCATTTTAGCATGTAGAAGTGTCAATGCAATCCATGTCCAGGTCTCATTTCCTCATTCAACAGACACCCAACCTGTGGTCCATCAGAGAGGGGAGGAGGAAGAAACACCACAACCTCACTTTGCTTCCCCTGTCCTATTTCTGTAGGGTCCTGTGTGCTGCATCTGCCCCATGTCCTGTGGGGATCCCCGTTGACTGAACTGAGCTGGCTGGTGGACCCCAAGCTGCTTGCAGATGTGGTTCAGGAGGCTCAGCTTCCTAAGGCACAGAGTGGAACATGGATCTCAAAGGACACAGGAAAGACATCCAACATCATATTCGTTAAAAAGAACATTTCATTTTGCTTTGTCAACATCTATCACTCTTTCCTCTCACAGGTTAGGTTTTCCCAGTCCTAGGAAATCCTTGGTGTACAGGCTTTCTGGGATTGCTGCACATCAGTTTTTCAGTGATTTGGGGCTTAATTACACTTTTGCTTGGATAGTTGTGTTATCTTTCATTCCAAACTAGAAAAGGGAGTCTCCAGGCTTTCATAGGAATGCCTTTAAAGGGTAAATAAATTTCGTGAATCTAAACAGTCTGAATAAGAATCTGGAAAATGAAGCACTGGAGAATGTTTGCATACCTTCTGTTCACAATAACAACAGCAATGTAAAGAAATTTGAAACTCTTTAAAAAAAAAGCCATAGAAGAAAATAATGGCCCCAATATTAATATAATAGTTAAAATCACAGACTTTGAAGCCAGCGTGATTCTGCATGAATTACGGCTCTTGCATTTCTCTGTGTGATCTTGGATAGCTTACTATCCAAGTATTTTGCTGTGTGATCTTGGATAAGTTACTATCTTACTTGTGCCTCTTTCTTTTTCTGAGAAATAGCATTAATAACAGTACTCTGTAGTAAAATATGTCTCCCTTTTAGAATAGTACTGGTGTGTATTAAGTGCCATAAAATTGTTTTCTATGAAGTGAAATATGACATGCCTTAAAACAGTTAATGGCATGTAAGAAAAGAAATCAAGTTGACTTCGATATTTTAAACATTTTCTTTCAAGGGGCACAGATTTAATAAAATAGGTTTACATTTTTTTCTCACCAGTCCAAACTCTTTGGTTTTTAAATACATAAAATTTTATAGTCCTAACTGTGTAAGGTTGGTCAATTTTTTTTTCAAAAAATTTACAAGAAGCCATGGGCAGATGGTCAAAATGCAAATATTGTAATAATTAAATTAAAATATAATGAGTTACTCAGCCAACATTGGAGATAAAGGGATCAGGGACAATTTAGAATTTCTAGTTTCCAGATCCCACATAATAGGAAGTCAATAAATACTTTCTATTGTTGATACAATGAGAAATAAAGTGAGATATATTATTTATACTAAATCAATTGAAAAACAAAAAGTAGCAACGGATAACAGTGTGTCTGACTAAAATCTTTCATCATTCCAAGCAGGTAGAGAATAGGCATTTTCTGAAATGAATAAATAAAGAGAGGTAAAGGCATCTGCATTAGTCTGCTTCAGCTGCCATAGCCATACCACAGACTGTGTGTCTTAACAGACATTGACTTCTGACAGTTCTGGAGGCTGGAAAGTCCAAGACCAAGGTGCCAGATGTCTCAGTTCCCGGTGAGGACTCTCTTTCTGGCTTGCAGACAGCTGCCTTCTCACTGCTTCCTCACATGGTGGCATGGCAGGGGTTGGGGGAGAGAGGGAGGAGAGAAGAGAGAGAAAGAGAGAGCACGCACAAGCACACACTCTGGTATCTCTTTCTCTTCTTATAGAGGCACTGATTCCATCACGAGGGCCTCAAACTCATGACCTCGTTTAAAACTAATTACCTCCCAAATGCCCCAGCTCCATACCCCATCAAATTAAGGGTTAGAGCTTCAACATATGAATTTTGAGGGGACACAAATACTTATTTTGTTATGGTGTTAACCACCAGAATAATTAAAGATAATATGTTTGAGTAGGACTGGGAAATAGAAAAGATGTTTATTTTTTACATTTAATCACCAACATATTGTTGGCATTATTTTTTCCTACGTACACACATTAAAAATAAAAAGAAACAGAACTTTGGAAAAGCACTCCAAAAACTGTATATTTATACTGTGCAGAGCAACATCCTTATTACCGGGGTTATTTTTCTGGATTGAAAGGAAGCCAAGCAGGGACATTGCTGAAATCATTGTCAAAATACTTTCTACGTGGCTCAAACAGAAAACATTCCTTAGGCATGTTCACAGGGAAATATAGTTTTAAACGTTATTTTCCTTTGTTTTTAAAGGTTATTTTCCTTTTTTAAAAAACATTTTTTTCTTTTATTTTTTAATCATTAGGTCCTTACAAAGAAATGAAATAATAATATTGCCATAATTAAGATACAAGA